>NC_000002.12:203550224-203853254 GCF_000001405.40 Homo sapiens | reverse complement strand
CTGAGCAGTGAGTGGACAACTGTTAAAAAAAAATATATATATATATATATATATATATTCCAAATCTAAAAACCCAGAAATTACTCTAAGATCATAATTCTAAAATAATGTTTCTGATTAAGTTCAAACTTTCCAAGAACATTCACCCTTGATCTGAAACTGAACCTTGAGAAATTTCAAACTAAAAGTCATCATAAACTCCTGGCATGAGAATTATGTTTTCATGATGGAACTATAGCGTAATCATTGTCAGTTACTAATTACCATCTTGAGACAGAGTCAGTGGGGCCAAAAAAGAAAGAAAGGGAGAGGAGAGAGAGAGAGAAAGGGGGAGAGAGAGAGAAAGGGGGAGAGAGAGAGAAAGGGCGAGAAAGAGAGAGAGGAGGGAAGAGGGAGGAAGGGAGGGAGGGGGAGGAAGGAAGGAAGGAAGGAAAGAAGGAAGGAAGGAAGGAGGGAAGGAAAAGAAGGAAAGAAGGAAAGGCAAGAATTAAGTTCATGCATTCTCAGAGCAAGTTACTTTGACCCTTGGAAATAAGACACTATTAGTCTTATTCTGAATGCTTCTCAGAAACATCATTTTTCTTGGTGTGACATCTGACATTTGGATCAATCCCAGAGAGCTCTGTCACAAAATAATGGGATCGATATTGATATCCAATGTCCACTGTCATCATTTCTCTAAGCCAAGATTCCCTAACCTCAGAACTGTTGATATTTTGGACCAAAATTGGATTAAACAAGCACGAATTTTGTTAGAGGAATGTCTCTAAAAAAATATGGGGAGGGAGATGAGAAAATCTGGAAGAACCATCAGATCATGATGAAAATTTGACCCCTAAGTGAAGGATAGAAGGAAGAGAAGTTGGGTGGAAGGGGTCTAGAACCTAGTGAAATCTAAAAGGTTCCTGACAAGACTGTCAGGGCATCTTGATCTGAGGTGAGCACCTGGAACAGGCTTGCTTTAGCATTCCCGCCCTGCTCAGTCACTGGCTGGAAGCAGCTTATAGGAAGCAAGACCTCAGCATAAACAGAGCACCATAGACTGAATGTTTCTGTCCCACCAAATTTCAGACTTTAAATCCTAATCAATTGGATAGTATTTGGAGGTGGAATCTTTGGGTGGTGACTAGATCATGAGAGCAAAACTCTCATGAATGGAATTAGTGCCTTCATAACAGAGACCCCAGAGAGTTCCCTCTCTCTTTCTCCCACCATGTGAACACAAAGAGAGAAGATAGCTGTTATGAACCAGGAAGTTATCTTCTCTCACCAGACACCAAAATGACCATTGCCTTGCTCTTGAACTTCCCAGGCTCTAGAAAAACAAGAAATGAATTGTAGTTTATAAACCACTCCGTTTATGGTATTGTTATAGCAGCCTGAATGGACTAAGACACAGGGCAATGGATGCCAGAGTGAAGCGGCTTGGGCCTTTGGTCCATTACACTACTTATAGGAGAGGGTCTGTAAGGCTTATCCTCATGGATGCCATAGTCCGTCCCTTATGCCATGCTGATCCGCTTGTCCACAAAAGTTCAGGCAGCTCTTCTTTAGTGATTCCTGTGAGCCTTTCTTCTTCAGAAAAAAACTCAGAAGAGGGAGATTAATGGGATGGACAACTCCCATCACTGTGACTGATCAAGGCCACAACTGGTCCTCCTCTCTCCCTCCTCCCCAAACCATTCTAAATGCCTTTCCCTCATTCTCAGCTATCATCTCGGCAGGTCTTGGTGGTTTACCTGGTCATGTGATCCAAGCCTTAATACCTGAGGAGTGTGTGCCCTTAAGAATCATACCCTTCACTGTTTGGAGTTGTTACACGGTTGTTCACAGTTATAATGGGACAAGAATACCAGGAAACACCTAAGTGGATCACCTGTTTTCCACCTGTATTCCTCCCTGTCACCATTGTATAGAACCAGCCTTGGTCTCCTTGATTGGGACCTATTATCCCTGCCTGTATTTTGACTCTGATTCCTGCCTGTTGGTCCTTGGAAACAGGACTCCAAAGTGTCCTACCAGCCTCTGTAATGTGTGGTTCAGTGGGACACTTGGGCCTTCTAGCAAGAATGTGCACCCTTGGGGGACCAAAGTAGCAAAGGCAGGAAGCACAAAATCCCCAAATGGGTTATTGGAAGCTATGGTAGATGGACCCACTCTGCTTCCACCTCTTCACTTCTGAACTCAAGTTCTCCTCTTACTGAGGATATGGTATTATATAGGAGTCTCTGATTTAATAAATGCATTGCATCCTTAAGGATAATAGCCCATTCTTTCTAAGTGTTTCCTCCATACTAACATTTTAGCTGCAAATTTTGAAGGCCATTGCAGAATCCTATGATGCCAGCTGCCTATTGGGTACACAATGTGATATGACCAGTGGATCCCATGAACATGAGTCCATTTCAAACCTCCTTTGATGTAAAGTGGGTCCATTGGTCAGATGATATTAAGAGTGAAGTTCTATGTACATGGACCAGGCATTCAGTAAGTCCCAGGATAATAGTGTTGATATGATGCCCCAAAGGCAGAAAAAGCAAATCTACCCTCAAAATAGTTATCATTCCCTGTGAAGATGAACCACTGGCCCTTTCAAAATTGAAAGGTCTCAGTGTAATCAACCTGTCACCCAATTGTGCCATATGAGAAGCTTGGTGTTGCTAACAATTTGTACACTCATTAAAATAAGTCACTAAATCTACTTTGGTAAGTGAAAATTCATACTACTGAGCCAAAATGTCATTTCCATCTCTTCTACTCTATTCATATGTCCAGCATATCAGTTCTGGGGTGACCAGTAATGAAGGCTGGCTAATGTCAAATGACCAAATCACTTTGTTCATTTGGTTGTTCAGCGCCTTTTCCATGGTGGATGCTTTCTGGTGGGCATTAATGTAAGATACAAAATCTTTGCACTTTGTGCCCACTTCCATATGTCTAGCCATAAGATTCCAAAGACCTCCTTTTCTCTAACCTTCCTTCCAGGTTCTTGACCAGATGGCCAGGCCATTGGTCACCTTCCAGGATCTATATTCTCATTTCAGGCCACTTCTCCTTCCACACAAATGGATGATCGGGTACATGGCTCATGTCTATGTCCATTGGGAACACTTTTCCACCTGACTGCCTTCAGGGCCGCCCCTGAATTAGGCTATAATGCAGCTACTGTCAATGTTCAGTTTGTACCCAAGTACCAAGCCAAGCCACCTGTAAACAAAACTACGGCTTTTTCCTCCTCTTTCAGTTGGTCAGCTGAAACACCAATTATAATCCCAAATTTGGCCATACGCGCAAGCTGAGGGAGGGGCCCTGGTGCAATTGTGGTGGGTGATGTGGGAGTCTGGGCCACCTGTTTGTTTAGCTTGCTCATATCCTCTCATTCTTCTTGGATCCATCTCAGATTTAGTATTTCCACCTTATGATGGACTGTTTCTGGGTCCATATGACTTTATGGCTTGGTGAAGCCAATAGAACCCAGTTTATAATGAGAAGTCCCAGATGCACAGTGACTTGGAGTCCTGTGGTCAAGGGTTCTACCTCTATCATGGTCCAGTAACAAATCAAGAGCTTTTTCTCCAAGGACATATTATTCCCTGTTGAAAAGGGCCTGACTCCAGAATCCCAAAGGTCTTCATTATGATTCTCCTGCTGGAGCATACCATATACTCCACACTGCATCTTTTCTACCACTGATGCCTTTGACACAATAGGATCTGCCAGATTACATGACCCAAATAGCACAGGGTGCTGCACCACAGCCTGGACCTGCTGTGGTGCCCTTTCCTGCTCTGAACAGTACTCAAAGCTGGCAGCCTTCCATATCATCTGGAGCATGGGTGGAAGCAATATCCCTAGATGTGGGATGTGTTGCCTCCAGAACTCAAAGAGTCCTACCAGATGTTGTTTTATTTGTGATAGGGGATATAAGATGCAGCAATTTTTCTTTTGCTTTGGAGGGGATATCCCAGCATGCGCATGACTACTGAACCTCTAAAAGTCTTCACTGAAACTTCCCAACCACTAGAGCACATATGTTTTCCCAAGACACCACACACTAGTCACCTCTTGCTCAACTTGTCCAATCATCGTGATGTTGTCAATGTAATAGATCAGAGTGATGTTCTGTGGGGTGTTCAGGCAGTCCAGTTCCTTCAGACTCACCATCACAGAGGGTGGCAGAAACATAGACCTGAGACAAAATTGTAAATGAATATTGTTGTCCCTCCCACATGAATGCAAACTGTTTCTGATCGTCTTTTCTAATGGGAATGTAAAAGAACATATTCACCAAATCAGTGTCTGCATACCGTGAACCTGAGGCCTTATTAAAATGCTCTAGGAATGATACCACATCTGGGATAGCAACTGCTCTTTGGGCTGATGCTTGATTAAGTCTATGGCAGTCTAGAGGACCACCAGAATCTGTTCAGTTTCTACGGAACGAGATTGGTGAATTAAATAGAGATAAAGTAGGAACCACCACCCCTGCATCCTCTAGACCTTTAATGATGGCATTTATCTTCACCATCCTCTCACTCCAAAATATATGATATTTTGGATTTATTATCTTGAATGAAGTGAGAAAGATGTTGGACAATTTGAAAAGTTTCAATTTAGCCTACTTTAATAGCTCATATTCTACAGACCAGGAAACCTATGTGGAGGTTACTACAATTTCCAAATATATCAACTCCAATTGTACATTTAGGGACTGGGAAAACAACCACCTCTGGATGGGTTCTTAGGATTCTATCTATTACATGACCCCCACAGGCTGTCATTCTAACAAGGGGTGCCATGATGACACTTTAGGTCTCCAAGTACTGATGTCAGCTCAGACCCTGTGTCCATTAATCCCAAACATGAGTGGTTGTTCCCCTCTTCCTCATCCGTGTAAGGGATCATAAGTCCCTTGGGGAAGGACTGAGGGAATTATCTCAGTATATTCTTGCCATAGTGCTGAAGGGTCTTTCCTCCTAGTACCAGGCCACCTCTTCAGTCAATGGGTTACAAATCTGAAAATTGGCTCAAGTTCAGGAACTGCACAAAGGATTGTGGCTTTTTATTAGAGCAGTTGTTCTCAGTCTCCTGATCCTCTGCTTTTACCTGTATTTTTTTTTTCTTTTTACAGTCAGCCTCCTGGCTTCCCAGAGCTCCATCATCCTCATAGATGTCAACAAACTCAACTCTGTGACTACCTCTCTTGCCATAATCCCTTACCTGCAAAGGAGGAAACCACTGTGGTGCTCGTGCCCCTCTCACCAGCATATTCCTTATAACCCTAGTGAATGATTTTCCCTCTGGTCCCTGTCATGGAACATCAACCTCCTCTTGGTGGGTCTTCTGGTCTCACATAATATATCCATTCCAGCGTCTCTACCTCTTCAGTCCCTTTATTCGTCTACCATCTGCCACGGTAATTCAGGCACTTCCACTTCATGAGAGTTGGCTATTTTTTTATCCAGGCTTCTAAGAGCCACCCAGCAATAAGTTTGCCCTATCACCCAACAACTTTTCTAGGGTGTTAAATATCAGGTCTCAAGAAAGTGCCCTTAGGTCAATGAATTCTTGCTTATCTAGTCTTACATTTTAGCTTCTTTGATCAAGCACCCTCAAAATCAAATCCTAGGAGTATTCCCCTGGCTTCTGCCAATTAATGCTGGCAAACTATTGCAATTCCTTAGGCATAGAGTCTCTTTCTTAACTTACCAGGCCCAGCATGACCTCAATCCTAGTTATTGGCTTGGCAGGCAAGAGAGGAGGTGGGGGCAGATTCTGAAGTGGCACCTCTTACAGGGGTGAGATTTCTATAGCATCTTCCAGCACTGTAGAACTGCTAGCCTTTACTATGGAAGGTGAGCCACATCTGCAAGCCCAGAGGATCTGAGGGGGTTGAAGAATGAACATCCTCAGGGTGCCATCCAGATGTCCCCATCCCATGTTGCAGTATTCTGCAACAGGGTCCCACCAGGTCCCTGACCTTTGCATAATATACCTGCTTTGGTTGAGCATTCAAACATCTCTGAAGCTCTGTGACTCTAACAATTGAGTCTTCATTCTGCCCCTCAGCTACATCTATCCTACTGCTGGGGATCTGGGCCACTTTGAGGGTGATCACAGAGGTTTTCTGGCTCACAAACTTAGCAATAAACTGCCTCCACTCCTTAGTCTGCCAACATCCTTTTGTGGGGCATTAAAGCAACTGTCTCTGTATGCATTATTCCCTCCATATTTTTTAATATCTTGGATCACTGCACCTTACTCACTACTACCCTCCACCTGAACATTTTCACAGGCCACCAGTGGTGAAACATTTAGCAATTTGTGCCAGGGACAATCTGTAGTCGCCCGCTAGCCAAGACTGTGTCCTTTTCACCTGCTATTTGGTGGAAAAGCCAGTCCCAAATTCCCAGCTTACAGCCTGTTTCCTCTGAAAAACAAGTGCCAAAATGGGATTAAACATGCAAGGATTGTATTAGGGGAAATGTCTGTGAGATAAAATGAGGAGGGAGCTGGAAAAGGCTGGGAGAGACATCAGACCGTTATGCAAGAATCGGCCTGATCGAGAGACGGAAGGAAGGCTGGGTGGAACCACCCCCAACTGCCACGTAGTAGAGGAAGGTTCAGAAAAGCCTCCAGAGAATTATCATGCTAAAAACAGCTATCCACGGAGTCCTGCATCTCCCAGGAAGGGGCTGCCTCAGTATCCCTGACTCATTCAGTCATTGGCTAGGAACAGCCCATGGCAAGCTTGAAAGTTTTTAACCCATCCTGGCTAACATGGTGAAACCCCATCTCTACTAAAAATACAAAAAATCAGCTGGGCGTGGTGGCGGGCGCCTGTAGTCCCAGCTACTCGGGAGGCTGAGGCAGGAGAATGGCGTGAACCCGGGAGGCGGAGCTTGCAGTGAGCCGAGATGGCGCCACTGCACTCCAGCCTGGGCGACAGAGCAAGACTCCGCCTTAAAAAAAAAAGAAAAGAAAAGAAAAGAAAGTTTTTAACTGCACCACGAATACAGGGATGGACGTCAGAACACAGCATCTGGGGACTTTGGTCAGTTATGCTCCTTGTAGTTGGAGGTCTGGAAGCCTGGAAGTTTGTGACTTTTTTACTGTGAGCTCATCTTACTGGAGTTGTTTACTGTTGACATTCCAGGACATTCGGGTATGGAGATGTTCTTATCAGGCAGTTTCTAGTTTGCTTCTGTTGGAGCACTATGTGTTTTACCAGATAAAGACTACTTTTTTTTCTTTTTTTTTTTTTTTTTTTTTTTTGAGACGGAGTCTCGCTCTGTCGCCCAGGCTGGAGTGCAGTGGCACCATCTCGGCTCACTGCAAGCTCTGCCTCCTGGGTTCATGCCATTCTCCTGCCTCAGCCTCCCGAGTAGCTAGGACTACAGGCGCCCGCCACCACACCTGTTTAGTTTTTTGTATTTTTAGTAGAGACGGGGTTTCACCGTGTTAGCCAGGATGGTCTCAATCTCCTGACCTCGTGATCCACCCACCTCAGCTTCCCAAAGTGCTGGGATTACAGGCGTGAGCCACCGTGCCTGGCCAATAGACTACTTTTAATGTGATTTCCTTGGTTTGGCTTACCTACTCTGTGCAGGGAGTTCTAATTCAAACCCCGTGGACTTTTGTAGTAGGCTTCCTTGCAGCCTCCCCAAACAAGACAGAGTTTTTCTAATCGCTGCTTCATGGGTATGTACCACAGTCATTCATGGTTCCTATGTGTATGCAAGAAATGAAATTCCGTATTTCCAAATAACTAAAAGTGAAACTGGAATGTTCCTTAAAAAAGAAATGATAAATTATTGAGGTGATGAGTATCCCAATTACTCTGATTTGATCATTACATGTTGTATGCTTCTATCAAAATATCACATGTACCCCTAACTATGTAAAACTAGTATGTATCCATCACAATTAAAAATTTTAAAACTTTAAAAAAGAAACTGGTCCCAGGTTTTATCTTAATATTAATTTTCAGGCCAGCCTTGGTGGCTTACGTCTGTAATCTCAGTACTTTGGGAGGCCGAGGCGGGAGGATTGCTTGAGGCCTAGAGTTCGAGACCAGGCTGGGCAACAAAGTAAGACCCCGGCCAGGAGCAGTAGCTCATACCTGTAATCCCAGCTCTTCGGGAGGCCAAGGCATGCGGATCACCTGAGGTTGGGAGTTCAAGACCAGCCTGACCAACATGGAGAAACCCCATCTCTACTAAAAATACAAAATTAGCTGGGCGTGGTGGCACATACCTTTAATCCCAGCTACTCGGGAAGCTGAGCCAGGTGAATCACTTGAACCTGGGAGGCAGAGATTGCTGTGAGTCGAGATCGTGCCATTGCACTCCAGCCTGGGCAACAAGAGTGAAACTCCGTCTCAAAAACAAAACGAAACAAAGCAAGACCCCGTTTCTACTAAATAAATAAATAAATATTTAAAAGATTAATTTCCAGCAACGGGACCATGAGTCAAAGAATGTTATGGCTTTTGATATATATGTAGAAAGTATTAGGCAAAATGCATCAGTTTACATGCCCATCAGCAGCCTATAGATTTTGCAACTTTTCTAACATACCTATCTTTTAAAAAAAAATCTGCTAATTAAATAAAGGTGAAAATTTTCTGATTGTTTTATTCTGTTTTTATTCATTGATTTTGGGTCATAAAACTGAGCATTAAATGACCAAAGAACAACAGTGACCTGAGGTGCTGACCTGAGGACTGTTTAATAATAGTCCACAGAATGGTCAGGATGAAGACCCAGTTTCTCTGGAGGTTGCTGTCCACCTCTTGAATCTTCCACCACTTGCACCCTGCTCTTTGGTCAGACCAATCCTGTGAACCTACGAGGCTCTCTGAAACTTTGATTTTCTCCTTCTGCCTGAGCTGCCCTGTTTTTCATTAACCTGATGAAGATCTACTTTTTCCATGCAGTCTTTCCCCTCTTCCTTTTCCCTCATCTCCACCCCGGTAGATTACCAACCACTCTTCTGCCATGACTGGATCTTATAGTTACTTCTGTCAACATCAACAACACTCCATTGCCCTTGTTAATTTGCAGATCTTCTCCCCATATTCTATTCCTTAAAGTCAGGAACCACCTTGGTTTTATTGTTATGCCATCAGGATTTTGAACAGTAAGTGTGCACACAGTAGATATAATAAATAAAGTGTTCCAGAATTACCTATGAGAGGGGAAAAAAAGTGGCATAGCTTTACATTCATGTGTTTTTTTTTTTTTCTTTGTCTGCCCTCTTTGCATTTCTTTTCTTTGGCCAACCAGCACACTCAAGTGTCTACCCATCTTATGTTAGCTTCTATAAGGCAGCAACAAAACCCTCCTAAAAGGTTAAACGGTCTAAGCCTAAAAGGTTTCCTAAAAGCCTAAATAGTCTGAGTTCACATGTTTTGGAGGTTCCAGGCAGGTATCAAAAAATCACAATGAAAACTCAAATAATCAGGCACCAAAATGTTTTTTTAAATGCAGATATACAGTGTTAGATAGAAAAACATATAGATGCCAAATCAGAACTTTCCATTTTAATCTAGACACACAGCCCTACTTTTACTAGGATGCTAGCAGGAATGCTGCTAAGACTCAAAGCTGCTCTTATGAATCTGTAACTTCTAAATTGTATTAGAGTTGACAGCACTTGCTGAGCCTCTGCTGTGCATTAAGAGGAGGCTTTAAATGATTTCCTGATGTCCATGGAAAAGAGACTTTCAATGGGATTGAAATTGATTAAACAATAATAGAATGCCATTTTTAAGATTCATATATCACAGCCTTTTTAGCTTTAGGTGAAAGCAACCTGAAGTGAAGTTATAACTTTCATGAACATATATACAACCCCGGCCATCTCCAGCAGACAGTGCAGCAATGCTCTTTCTCTCTCATTCCCAGAGTAAAAGTAGCTTAACAAAGAGCATGGAGTGTAAAAGGGAAGTCCCAAGGAGAAGGCCTTCATCCCTTTTACCACCTCTATTCTCCACAGTTCTAAGCTCTAACACTGGTCCAGAAGAAAACTAAGTCTTGTCACGTACTTGAATGTGGACCATTACTTTAACCCTAAAAATGCATGAGGAATTGGATCTGCTTGGAGGAAATCACATAAAAACATTTGTAAGCTGAAAATATGTTAAAAACATTTTAAAACATAATAACCTAGAGTTTCTGTGGCTTTGCTAAGCCAAAAGAGGGGAAAAAAAAGGAAAGAAAACATACTTCTCATTTCTAGATTTGCATCATCTGGAGTAACTGAATATATGCCCAAGAGACTTCCTTGGGTCTCAGGCTCCAATAAAGTTGAATTTAAAAGAATTTGCACCTGCTCATTTTTCCTACAACTTATAAAGTTATGAGGTTGAGTGGAATTACATCTATAAAACAGAAGAGAGTCTTGAAGCAAAGTCTGGTCAGGAGAGAAAAGGAAGCCAGAAAGGCTGCCTAACAAAATCCCTGCTTCTCTCCTTTCACCCTACAGCCCCTCCGTCAGCAAGTACAGTTGAGTTCAAGGCACCTCCTTATTTAAGTTACTTGAGTGACTTGAGTTCCTGTTCAGTTTTGTTTGGTCCTGGAAGATGGACTAATCAGAATCGAACATAAAATCACAGGGGGTACTCACAGACTCTAGACCTACCTAAAACAAACTGATAAGTGTTGTCATTGACTCCTACTTTCTTTACCAGGAATTATTACTCACCTGTGCACCATGTAGTCTGAACTAGAAGAAAGTACCATAATGGAAGACATTACCCGTAATGTTTACAAGAGAAGACAACAAGAAAGATGGTTGTGAACAAAACTTATGAAAGCAGGTATTTATATGCCCATACGTAGTATATGGGTAATGAATTAAATGATTTTGATTTTCGTTCACACAAAGATAGTGGAATAAGACTGATGCTTTGGATGTAGAAAAGAAAGATTAGATCATGATCAAAAGAAACCAGTGTAAAAGAAGATGAGGGCAGAAAAGCACTCTGTTACAAAGTTATATACCCGCAAGGAATGTGACTCATAAAACCAAATGGATCCATGAGGAGAGTATTTATATCCATTTTTTGTTATTTTTATTACAAAATCTATGCATGTTAAGTACAGAAAATTTTTAAGAAACTCATATAAACAAGATAATTCCTATACCCATAAATAATGTGTTAGCAATGGTATATGTATGCATACTAAACCATGAGCAAAGGACCCTAGCTGTCTTGTTCACAGCTGATAACTCAGTGGATATTCTTTGGATGAATGAATTTAAGATGTTTTTTCTATGCATATATACATATAAAATGGAGTTATCCCATACACACTATTTTGCACTTGACAGTATATGACAGACATAGTTCCATGTCGAATTATCTCCATGTCAGTATATTTCCATCTACCGTATTTGATTGCTGTGTTTTATGACATGGAGGTACCATAATTTACATGACTGATTCCTTTTCTGTCTGAGCCCACTGGTTGGAGGCATTTCCTCCTTTTTATATTTCATTTATTTGTCCCTCCTTTTCCGTGAGCTCTAATAGTTAATCTCACGCTTTCATGAGCGTTTTGGTTTCCTGAAGAACTTGTTAAAAATTCAGACTCCTGAGCTCCATCCCTGGAAATCTGAATTCATTTGACTAAAGGGGATCATGGGAAACTGTATTTTTTAGAAGATCCTAAGTGATTCATCCACAAGAGGGTGGGAAGACCACACTGTGAGAATCACCATTTGGTCAAGCTACAGAATACTATAGGCATATTTCCACTCCTTTTCATTATTTGCAACCCTCCACCCTCTGGAAGCCCTGACCCGATTTTGAGAGAAATATATAAAAATCTGCTTCCAGACCCCAGAGATGCAAAATAAAGGACTTGATGCTTACGGATTCTTAACCATAGAACAGGCCAACATATACAGTCAGTCAGAAACATGCAGGTCTTATCACATCTGCTGCTTCTGAAAACAAGCAACCATTTGAGACAAATCAGTGACAGAGGGACACCTCCCAGGTTGTGAGAAAATTTTGTCCGCTGATAAAATTCTACCTAATTCCAATTTTACAGAGGCTTTGGATATGTGTGTGTTCGGTTAATTAAACCTTTCCTTCAATTAGCCCATTAAAAAAGTCCAGAAAGATCAGAAAGCATACTGGGAACCTCCTTTATCATTTGTCTCACTGATTTGTCCTCCCACCTTCCTGCCCCTCCACCACTGCCTCTCACCCTGGTCTGTGGCTTTGTGCTGGGAAGGGCTGCCACAGGAAGGGGGATGGAGAAGTGTCACTTACAAAGTGTTTCAGTTGAGTAAGCTCCTTTTCCACAGTCAGACTTGGAAACCCAAGGCTTATTGGAAGCCAAATAATAAATCCTGTGACCAATCAATCACCGCATTAATTGACAAGCATGGGTAGGAACCGTAATAGCAGTGGGAAATGAGGTCTGATCCCTGTAACAAGGAACGCAATGGAGCTGGAATCATGTTCTAGCAGAAGCAGAAATCAGCCAGCTCTGGCTGCCATCATCTCTCCCCAGAATGGCCGCAGCAGCCCTCTGATTGATGTCTTTGCCTCCTATGAGTCCCCTCACCTCTTCTCCAGAGGCTGGTGCAAATCTGAGCACATAAGATGTCTTCTTAAAACCCTTCCATGACTCTCCATGACATCTGGCATAGAATCCAAACACTTTAGCATAGCTATCAAAGTCCCTCAAGATCTAGCCAGTGCTTTTCTCTCTCCAGACTCACCTCCTGTCTCTCCTCCCACAGCCCTCCCCTCATGCATCAACACACACACCTACTATGTGCTCCAGCCATAACCACACTCCGTGCAGATTCTCTGATTCACCACACTCCCTCAACTCAGGGCCTTTGCCACACACTGATTTCTCTGCTTGGAATATTCTCTATCACTCTTGCTGCTTCTCCTCCTGACAAAATTCTGCCTAATTTTTTAGGTCCTATTTTATACACTGTTCCCCCAGGAAGCCTTCTTTCATCCTTATCCCTTGTAGTGGTAGTAGGTTGAATAATGGCTACCCAGAGATATGTCCTAATCCCTGGAACTTGAAAATGTTACCTTACTTGGAGAAAGTGTCTTTGCAGTTGTAACTGAGTTAAGGATCTTGAGATGAGAAGATTACCCTGGATTATTTGGGTGGATCGTAGATGCCATCATAAATGTCCTTATAAAAAAGAGGAAATTGAAGATCATATAGAAACATACAAGGCAGAAGGTGATGTGAAGTCAGAGGCAGAGACTGGAATGATGCAGCCACAAACCCAGAAATGCTGGGGAGCCACCAGAAGCTGGAAGAAACAAGGCACTGATTCTCCCCTAGAGTCCCCAAATGGAGTGTGGTCCTGCCAGATTTCTAGCCTCCAGGACCTTGAGAGAATAAACTTTTGTTGCTTTAAGCCACCAAGTTTGTAGTAATTGGTTACAACAGCCTCAAGAAACTAATATGCCCTCCAACCTGGAAGAGTTCTCTCTTTCCCTCTTTTCCCAGGGTACTTACAGCACTGAACTATTATCACCTATTTACTTGATTTCAGACTCCACGAGATTAGAATTAGGAGCACTGTCTGCTCTGATCCCCACGGTATCCTCAGTGCCCAGCACAGGGCCTTTCACACAGGAGAGGCTCAATAAGTAACTGTAGAATCAATAGATGGATGAATGAATAATGGAATGAATGCATGCATGCACAGGGAAAGCTTTGCTTAGAGCGATAAAACAGGGATACCTAATAACTATTATTTGAAAGGCTGTTATTTAGAGAGGGAGAGGAAATACAAATGTATTGAATGTCTACTGTATCAGCCACTATGCCAGATGACTAATGTCCATTATCTCATTAATACAACATTTTTTTTTTTGAGACAGAGTTTCGCTCTTGTCACCCAGGCTAGAGTGCAATGGCGCAATCTCTTGGCTTACTGCAATCTCTGCCTCCTGGGTTCAAGTGATTCTCCCACCTCAGCCTCCTGAGTAGCTAGGACTACAGGCGCCTGCAACCACACCTGGCTAATTTTGTATTTTTAGCGGAGATGTGGTTTCACCATATTGGCCAAGCTGGTCTCGAACTCCTGACCTCAGGTGATCCACCCACCTCAACCTCCCAAAGTGCTGGGATTACAGGCATGAGCCACCGTGCCCAGCCAATACTCACAACATTCTTAAGGAGTAGTTATTATTGCCCTGGTTTTACAGAGGAAGAAGAAGTAGGCTCAAGAAATTAGGTTATTCACTCATGGTCACATAGGAAGAAACAGACATCTGTGAGGACCCTGGGGTTGTAATGAGACCCACAGGGTGGAAGCCACAGGGGAGGCAGAGTGCAATTTAGAAAGATGCTCTTTGTATTAATAACTGGAGCTATCCAACAATGAAACGAGTTGTAGAAATCTAGCAGAGGATTAGTAACCTACAGCCCATGTACCAAAACAGAAGTGGAAGTTGGCAAAGAGCATGGGCTTTTCTGGGACCCTCTCTCCTGTCTATGGGCTGGCAATCCACCGGCCCTTTCCCTCTCCTGAAGCCTCACTCTAACAAGGACCAATACTCAGCATTAGCCCAAACTTCCTCCCCATCTCCTGACACTAGACCAGGATTCAAACCTTCAGAAAACCACTTTTGAGAGTTCTCTGAGCCCTGCACAACGTTTCCCAAAGTGTGCTTAAGCCTATCAGGTATTCCATGAAAAACGATCTTCCCTGGAAAAGGACTCCCTCCATAAGGACTCCAATACAATGTATGAATAATCCTGTTTTACTTTTTAATAAAATTTCTGAAATTAACTTGTTTTCTCCTCGTTTATCTCTTTCTCTCAAAAGCAGACTGCAAAAGATCAGATCAGTAAGTCAAGAGTGCAGTTGGACTTGTGATCCTCAATCTGATATGACTTCTCTCCTTCCTTTCCACATGCAGAGATACTGTGAGCTTCTCTTAGCATGTTTGTGTAATCACTTTTCTCAATTGTTTGGTATTATTATTGTTTTTCTCCTTCTCTTATCCTCCCTATGAGATTGTATGCTCCTTAGGAGCCCAAGACAATATCTTGTTTTTCATTCCTTGCAGCACTATCTTCATTTCATAGCATGTGGCAGTCAGTCAATTGGACTGCTCAAAGAAGTTTGACTATATTTTATTTTTTAATTTATGTGAATCTGATTATATTCTACTAATGGATTAGAATTTCTTGGTGACAGAGTAATTAGTACTTTCTGAATTCATATTCAATGCGATAACCTCAGTTTGGAAAAATTCAACTTACTACATGCAGAAATCACAACCAAAAATTTAAGGCTTTTCTTTACTATCAGTTTAAACAGTTCCTTTTTATCTTCAGACACACCAATATATTTCTTGATTGTTGTTAGGTTTTAGCTTTAATTTTTAAATTAACACACAGCAAAATTGACTTTTAAAAATGGGTTTACAGTTCCATGAAATTTAACACATGTATGGATTAGTATAACAATCACTATCAGAATACTGAACAATTCCATCATTCCCGAAACCTCTCTCATACTATTCTTTTTTAGTCACACTTGCTCCCAGCCCTAGCCACTGTCCCCATGTCTTTCCCCATCACTATAGTTTTGTCTTTTGGAGAATGCCAAATAAATGGTATCATATGCTATGCGGCCTTTTCATATGGGCTTCTTTCACTCAGCATAATGCTTCTGAGATTCATCCAAGTTATGCGCATCAGTAGTTTCTTCCTTTTTGCTGATGAGTAGTATTCCATTGGATGGATGTCTCATAGTTTACCCATTCAGCTGTTGAAGGGCATTTAAGTTGCTTCTGGTTTTGGTGATTATGAATAGAGCTTTTACAAATATTTACGTACAAGTTTTGTGTGAACATAAGTTTTCATTTCTCTAGGGTAAATGTGCAGAAGTGGGATTGCTGGGTCTTATGGTAAGTGTATGTCTAGCTTCATAAGAAACCATCAAAGTGGCTATACCATTTTTGCTTTCCCACCAGCAATGTCTAAGAGCTCTGGTTGTTTTGACTCTTCACCAGCACTTGATATCAGTATATTTTATCTTAGCCACCATAATTGGTATGTAGTGATATCTCATTGCTATTTAGGTTTTTACAACATTTACACGTGAGGCAACTCAGTCTAAGTTAGGGAGGGTGTTATCTAACAAAACATATGACCCCACATTTTATTTGATTTTCCAACATCCCTAAGAATATAATGTAGCAGTTGCTTTATAAAATATCCAAGGATAAGCTCATCACTGTATCATTTTCCCAATCTATATTTGAAGTTTAACTGTTGGTGTATCGTAGTAGAGCAACTGAATGCTCCAACTGAACCTAAGCAGAAATTGTGCATGGACATAACAAAATACAATTCGCCCCTACATACAGAAAAGGCAACATGGTACAGAGCATGAAAGAGGTAGGTCACTCTTCTATGCATTGTCTCAGAACTGGGTTCCTCTTCCCAGATCCCTTGCTTCCTATACCCCAGCCACACTTGTCCAAATTCATCCCTACTCCAGAGCTTTGGCACAATTTGTCCCCTCTGTCTGAAATGTTCTTTCCCCGTATCTTAGTAAGACGGGTCCCTTCTGGCCATTCAGATTTCTGCTTAAATGTCATCTTATCAATCACATCAATGATCACGCATCCGAACGGTAGCGCCACAAGTCACTCCCTATTTTCATCATGCCGCTTATCATTGCCTGAAATTATCTTGTTAACTGTGATCTGTCTTTCTCTGCCAACTCAATAGCTCCAGTGCCGGGAACAACACTTCATACATAGTAAACACTCGTAAATGAGAGCTAAATGGGTGGATGACTGAATGGATAAACACATGTGTAAGAAACTTTCTTCTTGCAGACACTGCTGGGGGGATGTTACTCATGGTACTTTAAGCATAAGCCCTGCCCGTAACTTGGTCTTCACATCTTTGAAGCATTGATGGGAAGGGTAAAAACTGGAACCATCGTTTCGAGACTGTAAGCACTTTTCTGGCTTGTGAGGCAGAGACTCAAACAAACCTTTGGTACAGACCAATCTGTCGTTCTCGGAAAATCACTGGAGCAGGCCTTTTATTCGTAGAGCAGAGACCCTAATCATAAATACAGATGCCTGAGACAATGTCACAGCAGGAAGCGAACTGCTCTTCTGAGAATGTAAAAGGTTGTCTGTAGGGTGGGCAGACTACGCTTCCTCTGAAGAAACACTTCTTTTCTAAGAATGAACTTGGATGGTGCTGTGCCTGCCCACTTGCTCTGGTTCTCATGGGGCACTGTTTTCTGCACTCATGGGCAGATCTGCTGCTGAGGCCTTGAAAATATAGGACGTACAGATTTTATTTCACTTCATGTAAAAGCGGACTGACCCGGGCTGAGTGGCGCACAATCAGGACTCTGCTACGATACCCCTATCTGTGTTAGTATTGAAGCCGGAGCAACGAACACTTTGAGAAAGGTTTAAATAAATAAATGCATACAGCTGCTCTCACTGTCTTGGCTCTGACATGTTTTCAGAGTGCTCCTTACCAACTGCTTTTCTTCATAATAAAATGACAGTACTTACAACCAACAGCAGCATCCTAAATTATGGTAATAAACGCTTCCTCTTACAAAATAATTTGGTTTGGCTCTTCGGTCACGTGATAAATATTTGTTGAGTACCTACTACATGTCACACACCTTGTAGGCACTGAGAAAACAGTGGTGAACAAAACAGACATTATTCCTACACTCATGTATCTCATAATAGTGGGGAAACAAATATCAAATACAACAATCCAATTACAAACCATGAAGAGTGCGCAAAAGCCATGGAAACATTTAATAGAGAGGCATCGCCCCATCTAAGGCATGAAGGAGGCCATCCTGAAGAAGTCGTTGTTCTTGAGCTAAAATCTCAACAACAAATGGAACTAAACTAGGCAAAGAGGAGGGGAAGAACATTTCAGGCACAGGGAGTAGTATGTATGGAAGTCCTGAAGGAGAAGAGAACGTGACATCCTCAAGGACTGGAGGCCAGCCAGGCTACGGAGGGAGACTGAGGTCCAGGATGAGGATGGAAATGTTCAGGGGTCAAATCACACAGGCCCGTGGGTCATGTTAAGGATCTCTGCCCTTATTCTGAGAGCCATGAGAAATTTTGAAGGGATTTGGGAAGATCACTCTGGTTCAGGGCAGAGCTCCTACTTGAGAAGGCAAGAGGTAATCCAGAAGAAGTATTTAGGAGGTGTACCAATTAGCAAGTTATGGTCCCTCAGCTCACATAGACACTACTATGATTTGTGATGCTGAGCCTGGGAGTCTGCAAACTACATTTCTGCTTTTTTTTTTTCCTTCAACTTTTAAGTTCTGGGGTACAAGTGCAAGAGGTACAGGTTTGTTACATTGGTAAATGTGTGCCATGGTGGTTTGCTGCACAGGTTAACCCATCACCTAGGTATTAAGACCAACATTCATTAGCTATTCTTCTTGATGCTCTCCCTCCTGCCTCCACCACACAACAGGCCCCAGTGTGTATTGTTCCCATGCCCCCTGTGTCCATGTGTTCTCCTTATTCAGCTCCCAGTTATAAGTGAGAACATACGGTGTTTAGTTTTCTGTTTCTGTGTTATTTGCTGAGGATAACGGGTTCCAGCTCCATCGATGTCCCTGCAAAGGACATGATCTCATTCCTTTTTATGGCAGCATAGTATTCTGGATCTGTGTTAGACTCTGTCAGTAGAAGGTGTTAGAGGGAGAACTGCAAGGCTGAAGAAGGAAGCAGGGACTTGCTCCATGTTTGTGTGGATGTCACCCCAGGCTCACTTCTTCACCCCAGCAGCAGCAGCAGGTGTGTCCATTAGCAGCAGCTGAATCCACTTTGCAATTTTTTCAAGACTTGCAGAACCAGCTTCACTGCCCCTTATCCTACTCCCCAGAGACATCAACACTAGCCAACTGGAGACCCTCCTCGGAGGTCTGGGTCCCAGGTTATAAGACTCCTGCAAATTTCTAAGTTTTAGTAATTCTAACCTTTTCCTCTTGTTCCTCCAACCCTAGGAATAGTAGCTGCAGCTGCTTCCTCTGAGATACATTAGCATTCTCCTTTTGTTTCTCAATTACCTAGTTAACTGCATTATGCCTGGTTAACAGCTTTTTTTTTTTTTTTTTTTTTGACGGAGTCTTGCTCTGTCGCCAGGCTGGAGTGCAGTGGCACGATCTCGGCTCACTGCAACCTCTGCCTCCTGGGTTCAAGCGATTCTCGTGTCTCAGCCTCCCAAGTAGCTGAGATTACAGGTGCACACCACCACATCCAGCTAATTTTTGTATTTTTAGTAGAGAGGGGATTTCACCAGGTTGGCCAGGATGGTCTCGATTTCCTAACCTCGTGAGCCGCCTGCCTCGGCCTCCCAAAGTGCTGGGATTACAGGCATGAGCCACCACTCCCAGCCAACAACTCTTTATGTAAAATTCTCTCTGTTTAAATAGTTGATGTGGTTTCTGTCTTCTGCCTGGACCCTAGCAGATACAGGTCGCTACTGCAGCTCTGAAACAAACGGGGATAAAGGTGGCAGGTAAAATGGGAAAATATCATTTTTTATCTGAAGTTTCCATCCCAACTTGATTACTCCATAATTGATTTGTTCTTTAAGATTATGAGGAAAGGGACTTTCTTTCAAGCTATTGGTAAAAAACTGGGTCCATAATAGATATCTAATAAATATTTATTGAATAAATTAGAATAGGCTTTATAAAAGTTTAAAGGGTCTCAACAGACATCTTTACAATTTCTAATTTATTCTACCATCTTGAAATGTATACCCATATATGTTTAGAAATAGGTATATCTAGAGATCAAAGTCATAAGATATAACAGCCCATGCTAAATGTATTTTAGCACAGTAAAATACTCCCATGCTATTTTAGCACAATAAAATACTATATACAGTATATGTACCCTGTACATATAAAATACAGTAAAATACTCCCATGCTATTTTAGCACAATAAAATACTATACACAGTATATGTACCCTGTACATATAAAATACAGTAAAATACTCCCATGCTATTTTATTGTGCTAAAATAGCATGGGGGTAACATCGAATAATTTTAATGCAGAATTTTATAAAACACCCTTTAATCCTACTGGTTGATATGAGGCAAAAGTTATTCTGCCCAGCTTGATAAAAGATTCATTTTAATATACTATTTTCTAAGCAAAAATGAAACAGCTATTGTCTGATTTTAGGACACAACTTTAAATGTTTTAGAAGAATAAAAGTTATGAGCTTTCATTTATCTGGGTTATGAAAAGGCAGACTGATATCCTCAATGCTATTAATAACATATTTAAACTTCTCAATACATCTACAAAAATGTTAACTATTTTTAAAGAAGGTAACTTTTATTAAATTTTTAGTTTAATTTAAACTTGCAATAATGTCTTTCAATGTTCATTTCACTAATCAAGGCTCTCAATTCACAGAACCACTACTCCATGTTCAGTTCACCCATTGTTTTCCCTTGAAGTATATAAATTTTCTATTAGAAAATTAGCCTATTAGATCCTGGCTCCTCTTTCCACATTATGGTATCTAAAGCCACATCATTTTCTCTTATCAGTTGCCAAGTCCTATCAATTTTACCTTCTCAATTCTTTCACATCCGTACTCTCCTATCAATTTCCTCTTCCACCACCCTTTTTAGTTCTTTGTTTCCCCTTACTTGGACTACTGTAGTAACCTCCTAAATAGAGTTGCCGGTTTTAGCAAATAAAAATACAAGAAATTCAATTAAATATGAATTTATTCAGATAAACTACAAATACTTTTCTAGTATAAGTATGTTCCAAATATTTTCCAAATATTGCATGGAACATATTTGTACTAAAAAAAATTCTTGTTTATCTGAAATTCAATTTAACTTGGCTTCCCATATTTTATCTTGCAATCCTAACTCCTAACTCATGTCTTTATCCTCTCCTTGTTTCAATCCACCTTTCATATGTTTCTACATATATCTAAAATACAAACTTACGATCATACCACACCATCACTACCACCCTGTCCATGTTTTTAATTTTTCAGGCAAAGGGAAATGATTGAAGATTTTTAAATATAGGCACTTTACCTTAGTATTTAAGGCTATCATAATATCCTCTTAAAATGCCATCTAGGGCTGGGTGTCGTGGCTCACGCCTGTAATCCCAGCACATTGGGAGGCGGAGGCAGGTGGATCACGAGGCCAGGAGATCGAGACCATCCTGGCTAACACGGTGAAACCCCGTCTCTACTAAAAATACAAAAAATTATCTGGGCGTGGTGGCGGGCGCCTGTAGTCCCAGCTATTCGGGAGGCCGAGGCAGGACAATGGCGTGAACCTGGGAGGCGGAGCTTGCAGTGAGCCGAGATCGCACCACTGCACTCCAGAATGAGAGAGGGAGCGAGACTCCATCTCAAAAAAAATTAAAATAGAAATGCCATCTTGGCATTTTAACTTAATATACCAACTTCTAGAATATATTTTCATCCTTAAAGGTCCACATCAGAAACAGAGAGTAATAATGCCTATACAGAAAGCACTCAATAAATGTTTGCTTTTATTGTAATTTTATCATTATAATTATCAACAGTGTGGAGACTTCATGGAAAAAAGAAAGTGGACAAGAGAAAAATTGGAGAAAAGAATTGATCTGATTCTTACTGCACATTTGCTATATGGAACCCAAGAGCTCCAAGCTCCAATAATATAAAATGATATATTATTCTATAATAAATGTAAAAGTTATTGCAGAAACCAGCTAACAGTGCTAAATCTTGGACACATGAGAAATTAACTAGAGTTTTCCAGAATGGAAAAACCTAGAAACAAGCCACCAGTCACCTATGCATTAGTGAAACGAAAGCCCTCTTCACCCATACCCATGCTGTCTCCAAAAATAAACTGCAGTTCTCTTTCTGTTATCCTTAAGTGTTAATTTGTTCTATTTTTATTGTAGAGCCATTTTGAAATTCTGAGAGTCTGTTCTTTATTCCAAAGCTTGGGCATATAGCTTGACTTTAATGTTAAATACCTATTTTAATTTTCCAAATGTGGTTTTAAAAAATGAATAAATAAAATAATCTCAACCTTCCCAAATAAATTGTATGTTTATTCACTAAAAAAAATTTCCATTGGGGTCCCAGTTTTATATCAAATTCCAATTGGATACAATATTAAGACACGGTAGATACTAATTTTATTTTTAATGGCCCTTTTTAAACACCAGTAACCACAGTGCTTGCATTGTGCTTTTTTTTTTACCCTTAATATCACCTTACATGGAAACTTACCCTGAGAAAAGAGATTGCCTTCTGAGAAATGATATAAAGCAACTTACAGTACGGGTGTTCAGTGACTCAAGAGAGTGAGAGAGAGACAACCTACATCTCCGTGCTCTTTAGATTTACCAGTTCATACATTTCCAAGTACTCTGCATAGATGTTTTCAACCTGCTTCATTCTAAAACCTTCCAAAAACAGTTTTCCTACTTTGAGAACAGTGAGATTGCTTTCCTATTAAGAATACCAGATGTCAGTCATAATGGAATCCCCACCATCGAAATGCTCTGGGACAGTGAAGCGTGGGCATGGTCAGGGCATGTGACCTCATACAACTGGGAAATGACTATTGTTCTCACCGGGTCATTCAGTCCCCATGATCGTGAATGGATGAGCCAGCACCCTCCTCTCCTAGTGTTGCCGAGTGGGCCTCCAGGAAATGAAATGTCTCCACCAACACCAAACCCCAAACCAATGAGAGGAGCAGCATTTCTGGCCTTATTCATACCCAACTCAGCTCTGTGGAAACAAGACTGCTGGCTTGCCAAGAAGCCAGAAATAACATTTCCTCTACTGGTTGAGGCAAATGCTGAGAGACACCTTGAGAGGTTACTGAGTTCACGCTTTTCTACCTAGAACTACATCTTATTTGCAAAATATTCTGGAGGCTCATACTTTGGGTTGGGGGAAAAATAGCACAGAGAAGAGAACTACTTTAAGCTTCATGCAAATTTGTCACTGTATCTCCAGCACTGAACACCGTGCCTGTCGAAAGAGCTGACTGTCAGCTCTTCCCAACTCCACATCCACTGACAACAGACTGGTTGTTTGAAATGAGCCATTGGGAGTATGTACACCATGGAAATCAGCAAACACTACAAGTTGTCCTCCCCTCCTCTCCTGGAGAACCTGTGATTTCACATTTATCAGCCTGACATTGGGCTCAATCACTGTTTATGGTTGAAATGTATGGTGTGCCTATTGTATTCCAGGTGGTTTTATGCCATCTTTAAGTGAGATATGCCAGCTCACTTGATCATCACAACATTGAAAGGTGGAAATTATAACCGGCAGATGTGAGTATAAAATGCCTATGATATATCTCACCCCTTTCAGGGCCAGGGTTCATTGTTATTGTCTTCATTTTGCCATACAGATGAAGAGACTGAGGCTCCACAAGATTAAGTAACTTGTCCAAGATCATCCAGCCAATATGGGGAATATCCAGGACTTGTATAAAGCTTATGGAGAATATCAAGGACTTGTATCAAGGCTGGCTGGAGTGAAACCCCACACTCTACCCCACAACGCCAACTGAACCCTACAGAGACATTGCATGAAAATTAAAATAGCTCCTACCAGCTTAGTTGCTGGAAGCAGTACCACCTTGCCCTTAGACCCAGGCAAGCAGGGCTGCAATTCTGACCCCTCAGGGAACCTCTGCAAGTGGAATGTCTTCTCTGGATCCCTCTCCCATGCCTGGGAACACCCAGAATCAGCAATTCCATCCAAGCAGGAGCCTAGACAGGGACCTATGTTGGCCTCAGTTCCTGTTTCTTCCTTTAGGGATGTTCTCAAACCCTATACCACTTGTAGAGTGGACCACATTGCCTAAGGGATTCTGGGATTCATGCCCATGTGGGGGTCCCAGGCATCCTAGTCAGATCTCATTCCAAGAGGGTGTTCTGGCAAGTAGATTGCTCTTGCTGACCAGTGGGATTTTTCTTTCATGGATTCATGCAGTATTGGGCTGCCAGAATAGTGCCAACATGCTGATTTAGGGTGGACTTCACTCATATCAGACCCAGGATGAGTTCAGGCCTTAGAACAACCAGCAATCCTTGTGGTAGGCAGAATAATGACCCTTCAAAGATATTCATGCTCTAATCCCTGCAACCTCTGAATATGTTACGTTTCATGGCAAAGGGACTTTGCAGATGTAATTAAGATACAGACTTTTTTATTTATTTATTTATTTATTTTTGAGACTGAGTCTTGCTCTGTCGCCCAGGCTGGAGTGCAGTGGTGCGATCTTGGCTCACTGCAACATCCACCGCCTGAGTTCAAGCAATTCTGCCTCAACCTCCTGAGTAGCTGGGACTACAGGCACACACCATCATGCCCGGCTAATTTTTGTATTTTTAGTAGAGACTAGTTTTTACCATGTTGGCCAGGCTGGTCTCAAACTCCTGACTTCAAGCAATCCACCCGCCTCAGCCTCCCAAAGTGCTGGGATTACAGGCCTGAGCCACCGCACCTGGCGGGTACAACTTTAAATCAGGAGATTAGCCTGGATTATCCAGGTGGGGCCAATCTAATCACATGAGCTGTTAAAAGCAGAGAACACTCTTCAGCTGGAAACAGAAGAGAAATGAGGCAGAAGGGAAAGTCAGAGAGATTCAAGGTATGAGATCCATTGCCACTGGCTTTGAAAATGGAGAAAGGGGGATCCAAGGCAGACAGCCATCAAGGACATTGGAACTTCATTTCTCCAACTGCATGGAGCTGAATTCTGCCAACAACTGGAATGATCTTCAAAGCAGATTCATCCCCAGAATCTCAAGAAAGGAACACAGCCCAGCCCACACCTAGATTTTGCCTTATGAAACCTGGGGCAGAGAACCAGCCAAGTCATGTGTGCCTGGACTTGCAAGCTACAAGACTGTGAGATAATAAAATGGATGGCCAGCCTGGGCAACATGATGAGACTCTGTCTCTACAAAAAATAAAAAATAAAAATAAAAATAATTTAATTAGCTGGGCATGGTGGCAAACATCTATAGTCCTAGTCACTTGGGAGACTGAAGCAGGAGGATCACTTCAGCCCGGGAGGTTGAGGCTGCAGTGAGCTGAGATTGTACCACTGCACTCCAGCCTGGGTGACAGAACAAGACCCTGTCTCAAAAAATAGTAATAAAGTAAAAAATAAAATGGATGAGAGAAAAGAAACAGCCAAGCCATGTGTGTCTGGACTTCTGACCTACGTGACTGTGAGAAAATAAAATAGATTGTATTAGTCCATTTTCATGCTGCTAATAAAGACATAACTGAGACTGGTCAATTTACAAAAGAAAGCAGTTTAATGGACTCACAGTTCCACATGGCTGGGGAGGCCTCGCAATCATGGCGGAAGGTGAAAGGCATGTCTCACATGGTGGCAGACAAGAGAAAAGAACTTGTGCAGGGAAACTCTCCTTTATAAAACCATCAGATCTCATGAGACTTATTCACTATCACAAGAATAGCACGGGAAAGACCTGCCCCCATGATTCAATTACCTCCCACAACACCTGGGAATTGTGGGAGCTACAATTCAAGATGAGATTTGAGTAGGGACACAGCCAAACCATATCATGGATGTTGTTTTAAGCTGCTCACTGTATGGTAATTTGTTATGGCAGCAATAGAACACTAAGAGTCCACCATGACCTTAGGGCTTGAGCCACATGAGTAAGCCCATGCATGGGCTCTAACCTGACTGTGTTCTGACCTCAGTGCCACCTCTGGTTACAACACTCAGGGAGGCAGGAATGAAAGCAGGTACCCAACCTTGTCGAACCCCTCCCCCATTGCTAGTGTCCCCTCCACCAACAGGCGCTTCCAAATGATGTTCTCACTTGCTTTCAATTGATGTGGTGATGTCATGCTCTCCAGGGACAGTGTTAGGTTGTACCTGAAATGGGCCACACATCCCTTATGTGAATGAGACCTCTCTTCTATTCTTCCCATGAGACCCTCACCTCTCCTTGCCTCTTATGGCAGTGTATGGAAGGCAGGGATGCAATCATTATTGAAGGAGGTCACATTCTGGGAATACAGTGATTACTACCTAAAAAGTTCAAAAGAAGACATGGTTGGAAGATGAGCTATTCCACATTATGCTATAAAATTCTGAACATGACCAGAAAACAGATTATCATTCACACATTTCTACATACTCTGAGTAAGACTTGCATTTGTGGTCATCTTCAATGAAGCACAATAACAACTTTGGAGATGGTCCAATACTCACAGGCAGCCTGATGGATGATGCTGTATCATGAAGAATGCTGTATCAGCATTAAATAAATAAAATTAGGGAACCACAGAGGCTGGAAGATCTATATTGCTTTAATACAAACAGGTTCTGAAGAGCTTTAGGGTTGTGAGTAAGAACAGCATCGCTACCTTTTGCTCATGGTGGAAGATGCTAACTTAGCCAGGAACAGCATATTTGATGATAAAGATTACAAAGAAATGGTTCCCAGACCCAAACAGAAATCTTAATGTGCACCGATTAGACAAAAAGTAAATTCAAAAGTACCATTTTTCTACACATTGTTCTAAACTTTCATTGACACATCATATGGGCCTTACATGGGTCGATGAATTTTTGTGATACAACTTGTCATCATTTTTAATCAAATTATTTTTATATAGAGAGGCCCACAAAATAATCTTGCCCAGGGCCCTGCATACTCAGAAGCAGCCTTCGTTAAACCCTTCAACAGCAGTGGTGGTGGCCAACTATAGTTCATTGATTGTCCTCAATAAACTTACTTGGCCAACCTTCAACCAGAACTCTCCTCATATCCTAGCCAATTAGCAGAAGCCATACAGGAGGCAGAAGTAGGGGCTTCCCCCAACCCCACCTCCATCTTACTTAGATGGGGGTGGTTGGAGATACTGATGTGGAACTCAAGCTTCCCAGTGTCCCTTCGTACATTGTCAGGGATTCCATTCTCCTCCAACTGCTGGTTAGGGTTCCCCAAGTTCACTGCCTGCATAAATCAAGAGTGGCAACTTTTGGTTGACTTTTCTGTATGAGTTAGTGCCAGGTCACATAAACGGAGTGTAATTGAGTCCAAACCATCAGATCATGGAATGGTAGAGCCATAAAGCACTCGAGAAACTCATCTACTCCAAATACCACATTTTGCAAGTTGGGATACTGAGGCCCAGAAACTCAAGTCAGCTCCCCAAAAGTCTCACAGGGCAGATCCAGGTATCTGCACCTGGATAGGGATGATGGGGGTACAGAAGCCATAGAGCATACCGGTTAGGAGACTGAGCTCTGGAGTCAGATTGTCTGTATTTGAACCTCTATCTCAGTTTTTCCATAAGAAAAATGAGCATAACAATAATAGTACCTAATTCATAATGAAAATTACATGATAAGATAGATGTAAAGAGTTTAGCCCAATGCTGGGCACCTAAAAAGCACTAAATGAAAGTTGTTTATATTACTATATAAGGCTGCTTCACTAGGCAAGTAATGTTGATCGAACTCTACACTGAAGCCTGTACTTAGCAGAGCGAGGCCATTCTGCAGGCATTATTGAGAACCTGCTATATGCCACATACATTGCTGGACCCTGGGGGAGTCTGCACAAAAGGGTTTACTGGAATGACAGACATAGATGGTAGGAGATGCCAAACTCCAACCTAGAGGCCATGTTTGCTTGTGAAACCTGCAATCCCTCCTGCTCATCCAACCCTGAAACTCGCTGAAGTTTGGCTTCTAGCCTTCGCACTTCCTTGCTCTTGCTAAGGTTACAGGATTGTCAAATTCAGAAGACAAATGCCTACCCTTGTCTTTGCTGAGTATTTGCCTTTGTTTAAACAGTCCTTGAAACCCTCTCATCTTGGTGTATTTGTCTGCTCAGGCTGCCATAACAAGACATCACAGACTGGGTGGCTTAAAAACAGAAATTTATTTTCTCACAGCTCTGGAGGCTGGAAGTTCAAGATCAAGATGTTGGCAAGGATGATTTCTGGTGAGGCCTCTATTCCTGGCTTGCAGATGGTGCCTCTTTGCTATGTCCTCACTTGGACTTTTCTCTCAGAGACAGAGAGAGAGAGAGACCTGGTATCTCTTCCTTTTCTTATAAGGACACCAGTCCTATCAGATTAGGGACCTACCCTTGTAACTTCATTTAACTTTAATTGCCTTCTTAAAGTTCCTTAACTCCATATACAGTCAGATTGGAAATTAAGGCTTCAACACATGAATTTGGGAGGTGGGGGAGGCAGGCCATAACACTTTGCTTTCATGACATGGCTCTCTCATGGTTCTCTCCTAGCCCTGTAACCACTCCTTCACAGTTTCTCTGCCTCTAAAGGCTGGAGTTCCCCAGTTCCATTGTCTTCACCCTGCTACACATTTCCTGAGCGATCACACCCCACACCCACATGCATGGTTTTTACTTCCACATCCATGTGGATGGCACCCGAATCTATATCACCAGCTTAGATTCTCTCCTAGCTCCACGTCTGTATATCCCACTACCTCTTGGCCATCTTGTATGATGTCCCACAGAAATGCCTGAGCCTCTTCCCAAATCAACCTAGTGCTTTTCTAAGTTTTTGTGTCTCTATCATCTAAACTAGAAATCTGGGGTTATCTTTGATTCTTTCCTCTTTGTACACTGTACAACCCATGAGCAGGGATGCCAGCTCTTTTGTCCCCTTTATTTCCAGCACTTACTATAGTGCCTGGTTTAAAGCAGGCATTCATTAACTATCATAAATAAAATAAAGAATAAATGCATCCCTCATTCCCTACATCTAATCACCAAATTATGGTGAATCTACTCCCCAAGTAGCTCTCAAATCTGCACCGTTTTCTTCATCCACTGTGCCCCTGCGTATCTTTCCAGGCTTGTTTTAGTCTCCCCGCCCCCCTCACTCTCTCTCCTCTACACACACTCATCCTACACACCAGCCATGCCACCAAATTCTCACACCTCCAGAAGTGTACACATGCTCTTCCTGTGGAAACATCTTGGTCACTCTCTTCACTTAACTCAAGTTTTCCCTCCTACGAGAAGCTTCCTGAACCACCCTCTCATCCAGACCTCAGGCCAGACTCCTGTATATATTACTACTATAGGATGGATCACACTATATGCTAACATCTCTTTTCTTTTCTGATGTCCAACCATCACTGAGGATAGAAACTGTCCACCAGCCATCTCAACAGCCAAGCCACTAAAAATCACGAGAAACAGTGGCCAGAATCACAGACTTTGCAGTCAAAGTGATGTGGATTCAGTCCTAATTCTGCCTCTTAAGCTCTCTGAGCTTTCATCTTTTTATCTCTCAAACGTTGGGGGCAGGAGGGAAATAGATCCGCTTCACAGGATAAGATTGTTAGAGGGATTATTAAATGGGGTAACACATGCAAAGCACTTAGTGCATGGCTTAGTACATAATAGGATCTTGGTAAATGGTTACCAAATGAACTAATTCATTAATGCTGTGAGTTAAGTATACAAGATGAGTAATATTTTTCTATTTCACATATCTACTCCCTACGCTTCCTTGACCAAGATGCGCTATTGTCAATGGGAAGGTGTAAATCTTACTAGAATGATCCCAAATTCATCTGGTGCAATGATGTTGGACTATGTTGAACTACCACCTGGAAAAACTAGACCCACATCACCAGGGTTTAGGCTGAGGGGTGCTCTCTGGAGGGTAAAATGGCTTGTACAACACCATTCGGGAAGCGTCATTCCCTGGCTTCTCACTCTCCCTGCCACATCCTCTCTCTTTTTCTCACCAATATGCCACATGCCCTGTACTCTGGGACTGCATCTCTATGTAAGAGTGAATTGGAAACCTTGGGTGACAAAGTGACACAGTACAAATCTAGTGAGAGATGACACCTTTTTTCATCTAAGCAGAAGTGGCTCATTTGGCTCTACTTCAGGTTTTTAAATAAAATCCAAGGAGATGTTGGCTAAATTGGGTTGAGGAAAACCTAATTATCTCCACGGAAGTTTTAAAAACTAAAGCTCTCCGGTTTGGATGTTTCCAGACACATAGTCGCTATGGTATTCGATTGAAATGGGTTTTTTTCCATGAATGTTTTCCATTTTTCCATTGTGTCTCATGGAAAATAATATTTTACTTAATTAATTAATACATTAATGAGAAACAATGGAAAATATTCATGGCAAGTAATCCATCCCAATCCAATACCATAGCATACCAGTAACATAGGCTTGGGACGGGGACAGGGAGGATGAGTGCAGAGCTAATATCCCTTAAAGGGATTTGGATGAAGCTGAAACTCCTAGTCTAGCAAAACTTGAACAATTACATATGAAGCAGTTCTCACAGTACTGAGGATTTTCAAAAACAGGCAATAAAGGAATAAAGTGTCTCTTTGCTATCACGGTTACCATTGTCGGTTTTTCTTTTGGTTTGGCTGGGATTTTAATAATCTGTGTACACCGAGGCTTTTGTCCTTTCTGGGAGCAGGGGAGTTGGTATAGTTTAGTCCATATCATGGACAGTTGCTCTTCCTTTCAGCTGCCTACCATTTGAGTCTCCTGCCTCTATTTGGAGCGCTGCCTTTCTTATGAGTTTTCATGGGAGGCACAGCCCCCTTTCCAGTATAAAAACTGAGATGTGGTACTACTTTCTCAGCATCCTTTGCAGGTGGTTATGGGCACAGGATCCAGGATCCACCAATCAGAAGCACCCACTCTGGAGTCTGAATCAGATGCTAGTGACACAAAGAAACAGCGACTCAGACCCTTTCTAGAGGTGGCGGCAGTGGCAGCAAGATTGCTTTTCCACGGCAGCAGTGGCTGCGGTGCTGTCCCCAGCCTGCACCTGGAGCAGACATTCTACTGTGATAGCAACAGAATACAGCATCTGGACAGGCCAGTGAGAATGACATCTTCACCAGAGCACCCCGTGGCATGATTTTGGGTATGCTGTCCTGCTACTGTAGCTCCAAGCCTGGTTTTCCAACTCTCCTAGAACCCAGTAAATGAGTTTAAATCAGCTGGAGTCTTCTTGCCAACAACTAAGAATTCTGACAACACCTATAATCGCAGCACTCTAGGAGGCCAAGATGGGAGGATTGCTTGAGGCCAGGAGTTCAAGACCAGCCTGGGCAACGTAGCGAGACTTAGCCTTTACAAATAATTTAAAAATTAGCTGGTCGTGGTGGTGTGTGCCTATAGTCCCAGCTGCTCAGGAGGCTAAGGCAGGAGGATTGCTTGAACCTATGAGTTCAAGGCTGCAGTGAGCCATGACTGCACCACTGCACTTCAGACTAGTGACAGAGCAAGACCCTGTCTCAAAAAAAAAAAAAAAAAGAATTCTGACAGATTCCGAGAGCCTAATGGTGTGGTGGGGGGTGGGGTACATTCATAAAGCTGGAGCTGGGAGTTCCGGTCTCTGGGAAGTATAGAGTTAGTGGTGACACATTCTTCTGATCAGACCCACCACAAGAGAGATGAGCACATATAAGGAGCTTTTAACATCCCAGCCCCCAGACAAGCCAGCTGGAGCACAGTGGGCAATTAGCCAATGCCAATGGGTACACACAGCTACATGCTGAGTGTAGTGTAAAAGAAAAGAGATCGGGCCTGGCACCGTGGCTCGCGCCTGTAATCCCAGCACTTTGGGAGGCCAAGGCAGGTGGATCACGAGGTCAGGAGATCGAGACCATCCTGGCTAACACGGTGAAACCCCGTCTCTACTAAAAATACAAAAAATTAGCCAGGCGTGGTGGCGGGTGCCTGTAGTCCCAGCTACTCGGGAGGCTGAGGCAGGAGAATGGCGTGAACCCAGGAGATAGAGCTTACAGTGAGCTGAGATCACGCCACTGCACTCCAGCCTGGGTGACAGAGTATGACTCTGTCTCAAAAAAAAAAAAGAAAAGAAAAGAGATTGAAGCAACTAACTGCACTATACTGAACATGGAAGTGTTGAGAGAGTAGGCAATAGGTGCCCATGAATGGTGAATATCTGAAACCACAAATTGAAAATCTGTACTCCCTTGGGTCTGTCTCTCAGTCTGTTTTGAATACAGTTCCTATTTCTGCTAACACAACTCTAGAGGTATTCAAATAAGTGGCTCCGACTATTTACTTTTGAGAAATTAATTCAACAGAATTTTAGCAAGAATGTATCACCTACAGAGTAGCAAGCAGGATTTTTTTTAAGGATTCAGATATGAATTAGATGCAGGCCTCAGTATCTCTACATTTATAAAAATGTCATAGTACATGCTCAAACAGTACTTCAATTAATTCCAAGTGTTACATTCTTTTGAAACTTCTCACAATAAATATTTTTATTAGCAATGTAATTTTGTTCTTAAAAAATGCTTCCAAAGTATATGAAAAGGGTTTATTTTCTTTTTTGAATTTTTTTTTTTTTTTGAGACAGAGTCTCACTCTGTCACCCAGGCTGGAGTGCAGGGGTACCATCTTGGCTCACTGCAGCCTCCATCTCCCAGGTTCAAGCAATTCTCCTGCCTCAGCCTCTCGAGTAGCTGGGATTGCAGGCATGCATCATCATGCCCAGCCAATTTTTGTATTTTAGTGGAGACAGGATTTCATCATGCTGGCCAGGCAGGTCTTGAACTCCTAACCTCAGGTGATCCGCACCCCTCTGCCTCTTAAAGTGCTGAGATTACAGGCGTGAGCCACTGTGCCCAGCCTAGAGTTTATTTACATAGATAAAATATACCCATGCATTCTTGTAAATTCCCAATCTAAAAAAATCAAGTATTCTAGATACAGAAAATTTGTATCTGGCCTATAGATTACAAACTTTCAAAAACAGAAGATAAGATGTGCCTATTCTTTAAAAAATCTGTTTCTTGGAAAATTCAGAAAAATTCTTCACCTTCAAGATTTCTCAGCAAGTGCCTTTGGAGTGACATTATGAACTCTGATGTAGATGTCCCAGTGCCAGGTAAAAGAGAAGAAAATCCTTTATGCCGATTTGCTTAACACACAGCTTTGAGGGGACAACAGGAGTCAGAGTTCAATGTGGCTTCTTTCTAAATTAGACATACTTCTAATGATGAGAATGAGAATAAATTCGATTTCACCACAGACCCTGGGAGTGTGGATGGCGGAGCCTGGAACCAGCCTGGCACACACGTGACCCTCTCAGCAGGGCCAGGCACAGTGTGTTTGCAGGCACTGACATCTGTCTTTGACCCCGCCTTCTCCACCCCATTGTGTAATGTTAATATCTTGTTCCACCAAGAAATCCCGGACGAGCTCTGCTGCGGCCTCACAGGAAGCTCAGAGTCCAGTTCAAGTCCTCTGATCCTCATGTTTGCTGTTACTCTGGGCCTGCAGGTCCCTCAGACTCCCCGCAGGCACCCCCTATGTTTGGTGTCCAGCTTGCTTGCTCCTCCTCCACGGGTCCTTGTACCAGTTATTAGCATGAGACCACTTCCTGTCCAAGCACTGCCAAGTCCCAGATAGGCAACTCCCAAGGAAGAGACACAGAAGCTCAATGCTGTACAAAATCCTGTGATCTGGGGTTTTGGGGTGACAGTGTAGACCTTCCCTTCTGGAAAGCAGTCGCCTCCATCCACTTGCCCCACAGCTGCCCACGTCTACACAGGGCCCCGCAACCAAGATATTCTGGCAGAACTCTCCGAAAACTTATTTAGTCAATAACGATGTATTTTTAAGGTTTCCAAGCCCAGTTTTTGCTCAGAAAGTAACCCCACAGGCTCCTCCACACTGGTACAAGAGGACCACCTCAAGATTGGACATGATCTGGAGAAAGGGTGGGGGGGCTAGAGATTGGGTTATAAAAACTATTGAGCCACGGGGTTTGGAGAGCTTTCTGGGCGGGTGACCACATCGAGGTGCCATGAGGATGGAGCACCGTGGGAGGGCATGAACACTCCACTCCACATATACCCTACCCCTTGCCCTATGCATCTCTTCCATTTGGCTGTTCCTGAATTGTATCTTTTATAACAATCAACTAAACATAAATAAAATGTTTTCCTGAGTTTTGTAAGCCATTCCAGCAAATTACCAAACTTGAGGAGGAAGGTCATGGGAACCCCCAATTTATAGCCAGTCAGTCAGAAGTACGCATGACCTGGGATTTGCAACTGGTATCTGAGATGGCAGCAGTCTTGTGGGACCGAGCCCTTTAACTTTGGGAGCTGATAGTAACATCAGGTAGACAGTCTCGGAATTGAATTGAACTGTTGGACACCAAGCTCATGTTAGAAAATTGGTTAGAGTTAGAGAAAACACCTCAGAAACATCCATGACTCCACTCCATAAATTCCAAAGCAGTAGAGTGCCTGCTTTTCCAGGAGCCAATTTACTTTGCTATGCCTTTGCCAATGGAGAAAGTTAAATGCAAACACCCCCAAAGGCCACAGACCAATAAGTCATAGTCCAGTGTTTGAGGGATGAGGAGGTATGTTAGTTTCCTCAGGCTGCCTAACAGAATGTCACAGGCTGACTGGCTTAAACAACAGAAATGTATCTTCTCACAGTTATGGAGACTAGAAATCCAAGGTGAACTTGCCACTGGGGTGCTGTCTAGTGAGGGGTTTCTCCTTGGTTTGCAGATGGCCACCTTCTCACTGTGTCTTCCCATGCTCTTTCCTGTGTGTACCTGTCTTCTTTCTTTAAATTTTTTTTGAGACGAAGTTTCACTCTTGTCACCCAGGCTGTAGTGCAATGGCGCGATTTGGCTCACTGCAACCTCACCTCCCGGGTTCAAGCAATTCTCTTGCCTCAGCCTCCTGAGTAGCTGGGATTACAGGCATCCACCACCACACCCGGCTAATTTTTGTATTTTTAGTAGAGACAGGGTTTCACCATGTTGAAGGCTGGTCTCAAATTCCTGACCTCAGGTTATCCGCCCATCTCGGCCTCCCAAAGTCTTTCTCTTCTTACAAGGACATGAGTCCTATTGGATTAGGGTTCCACACTTAGAACCTCATTTAACCTTAATTACCTCTCTGAAGGCCCTGTCTCCAAATAGAGACACGCTGGGGCTTAGGGTTTCAACATACTGATTTGAGGGATGGGGAGGACACAACTCACTTCATAACAGGAGGAATGCCTCTATTTGTTCTCCAGCACCAAGCTGCACCACGGCTTCCAGTTACTGGATCAGAGAATTATAGAACATTAGAGGTGGGAGGAACATTAGCTGCTTCATCTAATAGTGAGGAACTTGGGTTCCAGATGGGTGAAGTGGCTTGCTCATGGATATAGCTACTGAGTGGTAAGTTTGAGAATGGAACCCAGACTCCCTCCTTCCAGGTCAGCGCTCTTCTCCACTGACTTGCGCAGGCTCCCAAAGGGAGCTCCTAAGAGAAGACATCAAGGGTTCAAATCTTGAGTTACTAGTAAGGGAGGGCTTTAGAATATTACCTGCTATCTTATCATGAAAGGTTTTCCTCAAGGGAGCCATGAAATATATGATCAGTAAAAACTCAGTATATATTCCTAAATACAAATGCTTGGGATTTTCTCCTGTCAAACTGATGATCATGGTGCTAGCCAAACTGGATTCAAAGATTTTAGCCAACTGTGTATGTATAGCATGAGCAACTCCCCTGAGCTTATGAAGGTTTTCTCAAACTTACAGGGGTGTCAGTGACCCCTCTTATTCCTTGACCTCATCCCCCAGGAAACCTACTATTACCGTGGTACAGCCATAAAGACCTAGCTTCCTCCCCTCCCCTGGGTCATTCTCAAATCTCTTCGGTCAATCAGGAGTCAAATGACCAGGCTTGCCTCTATGCCAGTTCCTATTTTTGTCCTAGCTTTGCAGAACCAGGTGCTTCTTGCTGGCAACCAAAAGCAATTCTCTCATGAACCTCAAATCGTGCTGACAAGACACTCACATGGCCAAGGGCCATGTGAGGCAACAGTTCTCTGGAAAACTCTGGAGTGGTTTTCCAGGACCATCTTGACACCAACAGCTGAGCTAGGTGTCCCCTGACAGCTGTGCTACCCCACTTTAGCACATCGCAGAAGCTGAAACCCAGGACTCCTTCCAGACCCCGCTTTGTGCATTCTGTATCAGCCCTGATCCTTACCCATCTCTCCAGGACTCATCTTCTCTAATTCTCCCCAAATACTGCAGCCCAATTAGCCTCTTGGATTACTTTTTCTATTTCTCTTCTTCAAAATTAAAAAAAAAAAAGAAGTTGAAGGGTTGTACTGCGACCATAATTAATCTTTCCAATTCGTCCTTGCACTGTGGGAAATAGCTTATCCCAAGTAATGGAAGGAGAAAAGTCTCCTTCCCTTTTTCCTGAGTTTAGTGGTCTTGTCATGCTCCAGCCATATGATTCTCTGCACAATCACCATCCTACTCCACCCTTGGGGGTAGGAGGAAAGACAGAGCTTGCATCCCAGAGTGCTGCCCCTCCTGTCCCCACAGGACCAGGGAGGAATCAGAAAACAGGGGCCAAGTCCATTGCTGTACTGGGAAAATGACACCCACAGTATTCTATCCCTCAACTCTACCATGAGTTGGTGAGTTGGCACATTTGGTCACCTTTAGCCTAGCTTCTAAAATAAACCTCCACAGAAAACTTAATAATGGAATAGGTACAGTTTTGTTACTGTTTTCCCCTCTTGACTCCTCCAATGGGTGCCTCTTCCTGGATAAGGGGGATGCAGGCACAGTGCCGTACTTGCAATAGAAAGAAGGCTGATGTTGGACACGGAATCTGAGCTCCTGAAAAGTATGAATATGATGCATGGCACGTAGAGCCAATCCAAGGGAATGGGCAACGCCTCTTTGAGGAAGTGAGTTTTAAGCTGAGATATAAGGAATGGAGAGGAGTTCCCAGGGCACAGAGAGTTTCTAGCGGAGCAGGCAATAGATGCAAATGCCCCTAGTGATGGAGACCACAGTGCTTTCCAGAAACCGAAAGAGACTCGTGTGGTTGAACCAGAGAGAAGGAGAGGGAGCTTAGCATGGAAACAGGCAGGTGAAATAGACATGGAGATTCAAAGGAAAGAAGCTAGCTATGAGGCAGCCTTGTGGGAAACTGTGTCCTCTTTCTGCATGAAACTCTCTTGAACTGCAGACACAGAACATAAGGAGCACCTAGGTGGTCCTTTCCAGCAGCGTATCCCCTCTTCCTGTGACTTTCATTTCTTTTCAAACCCAGAGCCCACCTCATTCCCTCTAAAAAGTCCTCCCTGATTTCCTATGTCTACTGCCCACCTATCTGTCCTGCCCTTCACAGCACTTCCCGGTTTCCTTTGTCACAATCAGTGGCTTTCCCTACCCTAGTTGATGCTAAAAATAAAGCATTAGAACAATAGAAAGCAGAAATCACTGCAATTCCTGGTCCCCTTTTCCTGTAACCTGAGGGAAAATGCAAGCCTCACAGGATATTTCAAAATGATGGCTTCGTCTTTTAATGCAGAGGGAAGAATTTCCTGGCTATTAAAAACACTTTAACAAATGGAATCCAGGCACCCAGGTCCTTCCTCATGCATGTCTCAATACAAATTTCCCCCCTTGTTCCAAAGAAATAATTATTTATCATCACAAAAAGTGTTTTATCTACCAAAAACGAAAACAAACATACTGAAAAAATGAAAAATGGCTTTTGTGGACAAAAAGGAGGAGGTGTGACTAGTTTAACAAAAACATCAGCTTTGTGTCTGATGGTATCACAGCCTACTCCCCTGTAACTGCAATGAAACATATAAACCCATAGATGGCAGAAGGTGACTGCTAAGTAAATACCTAGTTCCAGACCTCACAGAATCAGGTCTAAACAGCTCACGGCGGGAGCTTCGCGTCCATCCATCTTTGCAACAACCGCCGTACTGGTAGTGTAGCTTCCACTTCCCTATTACAGTTGGATAATCATAGAGGAGGACTCAGATTTCACCATTTTCAAAAACACTTTCTGGCATTTTAAATTCCATGCTATATGAAAATTAGCCCAATTCCTCACATCCTGGTGCAATCATCCCAGTCCCATCTTCAGTGAGCGACATCTGGTACACATGCACTACATTAGAATCCCAACTAGGTAGGCACCGTGGCTTATGCCTGTCATCCCAGTACTTTGGGAGTCCAAGGCAAGCAATTCACTTGAGAGCAAGAGTTCAAGTCCAGCCTGGTCAACGTAGTAAGACCCCATCTCTACAAAAAATAAAAATAAAAAAATTAGCTGGGCATGGTGGCACACACCTGTGGTCCCAGCTACTCAGGAGGCTAAGGCAGGAGGCTTGTTTGAGCCCAAGAGGTTGAAGCTGCAGTGAGCTATGATCACACTATTGCACTCCAGTCTGGGCCACAAAGCGAGACCCTATCTCTAAATAAATAAATAAGAATTCCAACTCTTCCTCATGTCTGTCCTTGGCCTCTGAACTCCCTCCATGTTTTCCACAGTCTCCCTCAGTTTTAGTGCCAAGACCTGGCCACAAACACCAAATCAGTCTGGGCAGTGACTATCAGAGCTGCAGGGTTTACTTCAGTTTATAGCTCTAAGTCTTGATTATATTTGTTTAGTGATAAGAGTTTATCAAGCCTGATCTTTGCTTTAATGAATCCTCACAATGGTGCCATGCACTCAATTCAGAAGTGAAACAAATTTAGATGCCAAGTGGCTAGCATTTTCTAGCCTGTGACATTGGGCCAAAATGGTCCAATGAATTTTCAACCCATCCAGCTGTGCTTCCCCATGTATTCATGTGTGTCCTCCTAAATTGGTTCCTTTTTTTTTCTTTTTTTCTAATTTCCAAAGTTTCCGTGGTGATCCATGGTCACTTTGCTATTAACTATTATTGTTAAGATAATTTTATTCAGGTGTAGTGGCACGCGCCTGTAGTCCCAGCTACTGGGGAGGCTGAGGCAGGAGAATCGATTGAACCCAAGAGGCGGAAGTTGCAGTGAGCTGAGATTGTGCCACTACACTCTAGTCTGGGTGACAGAGTGAGACTCTGTCTCAAAGAAGAAAAAAAAGAGAGAGAGAAAGAGAGAGAATTTCCATTTCTTAGGTATAATCAAAATGTCAACACTACTACCTTGACCCCCCCATTACAGAGCACTTCCAGGGTGCAGGTACCTTCCTAAAGTACTTGCTTCTACATGTTAATTCAGGTAATCCTCACAACAACCATATGAACTAAGCAAAAGCATTGTTATTAATCCCCAATTTACAGATGAGGAAGCTGAGCACAGAGAAGTTTAATAATTTCAATGAAGGTCACACAGAAAACAGTAGAGTTGGGATTTGAGCTCAAGCCACCTGGCTCTGTCTGCCATGTTCTTAACCACTATGATAAGTCTCACTTTGAACTATCACAGGGGCCCAAAATGAACAAAGTTCATCTTCTCTCTCCCTGTTGAATTTGTGACAGGTTGGTTTGAGGGTGAGCATGGGAATGGAAATAGCTACTGTCTGGAACCTCATGGTGTGGTCTTTACAAGTCCAGACTGATCAAAGAAATCGACTACAGGCCCAATAAGACTGCCCACAAGCACTTGGTGAGCCTTCCTAAGGGCAGAGCCAGAAGTTTGATTAGTGGAGCTCTGGTTACCAAGGGTAGAGTGGGGTATATCGCTGGCTTAGCCTCCTATTTTTGTTTCTCATTTCTAAAATAGGGATAATTCCATCCAGCTCACTTCAGCATATATTGAACAGAAATCCCTGAATAGATACAGTGGGCAGCATCAACCAGCTAGAGAGTCACCTGGATCCAGAGGAGGCAGCCCCTCTAGATCAGTTCCAACGTTGGCTTCAACAACTACAAGTCTGTAAAAACAACATAAAATACAAAATGTAAAGGGCAACTGGCAGCTCCTCAAAAGGTTAAACACAGAATTACCACAAGATCTAGTAATTCCACTTCTAGGTATATACACAAAAGACTTGAAAGCATGGGCTCAAACAGATACTGGTACACCAACATTCCTGGCAGCGTATCCACAAGAGCCAAAAGCTGGAAATAACCCGAATGTCTACCGACAGGTGAATAGATAGACAAAATGTGATATATCTATAAAATAGAATGTAATCCAGCCATTAAAAGGAATGAAGCTCTGATACATGCTTCAACCTGGATGAACCTTGGAAATACTATGCTAAGCAAGATAAGCCAGACGCAAAAGGACAAATACTGTATGAGTTCACTTTCATGAGGTACTAACTTCATAGAGACAGAAAGTAGAGAAGTTCCCAGTGTCTGAGAGCCAGGACAGTGAGGAAGGAGTTACTGTTTAACAGGTACAGTGTACTATTTGAGATGTGGATAATGGTGATGGTTGCACAACATTGTAAATATATGTAATGCCAATGAACTGTACATTTAAAAATGGTTACAATGGTAAATTCTATGTTATGTATATTTTACCACAGTAAAAAATAAAATACAACTTTTAAAAAATGTGAAGTGCCTGGGACATCTGGGAGACCCTGCCAGTTACCTAGCCAATATCTGTTCTCCTCTTTTACTTTATTAACAGAACCTTGATTTGGTGGCGACAGCAATGAGCACGGCTAAAAATCTGTTTCCCAGGCTCCCTGCAGATAGGGGTGGCCACATGACTATAAGCTGTCCAGCGAGATGTAAGCTTCCAGTGCTTGAGTGGGGTTTCTGGGACAGTTCATTAAAAGGTAGGAGCGGGAGATGTCAATTCATCCGTCATGCTCCCTTTCGCCTTTGACCCCTACCTCCTTCTTCCAGCATGAAACAGGCACAATGGCTAGGACTCCAGCCACCGTCTAGGAGGACGGAAGTCAACACTAGAGAGGCAGAGCAGAAACAGAGGCTCCTGACACAAAAGGCAGTGCGAAACTGCTATACCTTTCATGGGATGCTTATCCCTGAACTTCATGGTACCTGAGGGAAATGAGAACTCGTCTCTGATTTAAACCAGTGTTTTTCAGGTTTCTGCTACCTGCGGCTGAACACAACCCCTAACTGATTATTCAGCATGTTAACCGCTACTGCTGTCATTGTTGCTATTGGTTTTATTATCAAGAAAGAGGTGCCCCAGACCAGGGTTGTTCTGACAATGTCAGAAACACTTAGAGGACCCGAGATGTGAAATGAGTTGTCCACAGGCATAATTCATTCGAAGCTGGAGGATCTGCAGAAACAGCCCTGCCTGTCCCGGTGCCACAGATGCCATCATAAAAAATGGAGACATCATGGTGGGTCCCCTGAGGCAGCCATTTTGATTGACGTGCTTTCTCCTCAGAGAGTGAAAGTGTGAAGAGTTTTTTCTCTGCTCCTCAGGGTAGACAATGGACTGGGAGGCATCTGGCTCTTCCCTGCTAGATTTAAAGAGAAGCTGAAGGTTTCTCTAACCACATTTCTCCAGTTCTGATGAAGAGCTCACCAGCATAAACTAGCTGACATCACCGGGGTGAGTCACCCACCAACTCACAGCTCTTTAACTTCCTCTGCTTCACTGACCTTCGCCTGCACTGTGCCCCATGCCACCCACTTCCTGGTGCGGGCACACCCTGGACCTTGTCCTCAGCAGGAACTGTGCCACCAGAATCTTGATGTCTGCTATTCCAGGCCTCACTGCCCCACCCTCCTCTTCTACTCCCTACCCCTCCACTTCCGTTCTTTGGCCTCCTAATGGTCAATCCCATAGGAATGTATGTTAGGTCCAGGAAATTCTGCACTATCTATCAATATTTCAGATGCATGTGTCATTCAACCCAGCAATTCTATTCCTACGCACTTACCCTACAGATTCCTGTAATGCTCTCAATAACACATGCACAAAAATACTTAGTTCAGAAGAAAAATATTTTTAAACAATTTAAAAGATCTGTTAAATTGTTGTGCATCCATTAAATTGGGTGCTATGCAGCCATTTTAAAAACTGAGGCAAAGCTACATGCAGTAATATAAAAAGTTCCCCAAGATACATTTGTAAAAGGAGCACAATATATTATATGCTACTGCTTGTGTGGGGCAATTTATGTAAAAACATAAATATGTATGTGTACACACATACATACACATATATATTAACTGTATGTGTAATATGTATACATATGTAATACCTACCTGTACAATATGTACACACACACACGCACACTCAACACCATTGTACTGTCTCTGAAAGGATATACAAGAAAGTGCAGCAGAAGACAGACGTGGGTGGTGAGAAAAGGAGACTTACACTTTTCACTGTGTACTTTTATACTCGAATTGTATACAATGTGGAGTATTACCTATTCAAAATAGTCTTCAAGAGGATGTTCATCAAGAACTTTTCCTTGGCCGGGTTCAGTGGCTCATGCCTGTAATCCCAGCACTTTGGGAGGCCGAGGCGGCCAGATCACTAGGTCAGAAGTTCCAGACCAGCCTGGCCAATATGGTGAAACCCTGTCTCTACTAAAAACACACAAAAAAATTAGCCGGGCATGGTGGTGCATGCCTGTAATCCCAGCTACTCAGGAGGCTGAGGCAGGAGAATTGCTTGAATCCAGGATGCGGAGGTTTCGGTGAGCAGAGATCGCGCCACTGCACTACAGCCTGGGCAACAGAGGGAGACTCTGTGTCACAAAAAAAAAAAGAACTTTTCCTCTACTTCCTAGGGGAGAAAGTAGGGAAAATTTTTCCTCATAGCTTCACTGCCTCTCTGCCCCAGCCACACACCCATCAATCTACTGTAGCCCATCAGCCACTGTGTCAATCAGTAGCTGACACAGTCACTGCCCTGTCTTTACTCCTTCAGGCCTTATCTTTCAGTGGGCACTGGTGGACTGGATTTCCAGCAGCCCACCAACTCTTTGTCTGTGGCCTTTCTCTAGCCACCAGAGTCATGAGCAGCTCTCCACCCATGAGCACCCCAGAGCAGACCAACCATGGCTGATGGGAATTGGGTACACTGGTGAACACGGGTGCCCGTTGGGGGAGATGACTCTGGGGTGTATTCCACACTGGCTCCCAGAGGGCCTCAGCAGGATTAAGCTCCAGTTGTCCACAGTGCACACCCTTTGTTGGCTTCTTTCTATCCTCTGCCTCACCCCTCCCCTCCTCTGCCAGGATCACCTCCCAGTAAACTTCTTATTTGGACCCAGAGACACTCATAAAGAAAAGATGATGTAACAAGCTGTAGGGAGAGACGCTGGGACAGAGTCTCCCTCATAGCCATTGGAAGGAACCAAACCTGCTGACACCTTGATCTCAGACTTCCAGCCTCCAGAACTGTGAAATAATCAATTTCTGTTGTTTAAGTCACTCAGTCTGTGGTACTTTGTTAGGCAGCCCTAGCAAGCTAATACAGGATAGGTATCCTGTATCCAAAATGCCTGAGACCAGAATTACTTCAGAATTCAATATTTTTTTTCAGATTTGGGGATATTCGCATTATACTTACCCATGCAGAGCATCCCTAATCCAAAAATCAGACATCCAAAATGCTCCAATGAGCATTTCCTTTGAGCATCATGTCAGCACTCAAAAAGTTCCAGATTTTGGAACTTTTTGGATTTGGGACTTTCGAATTATGGATATGCAACCTATATAGTGGGTATCTGCTAATTAGATGGAAGGTCAGGGAAGGCCTCTCTGAGGAGGTAGTATGTAAGCTGAGGCCTGACTAAAGGAAAGAGCCAGCCATGCATAAGTCTAGGGCAGACCATTTTAAACAGAAGGCACAGCAAAGGCAAAGGCCCTAAGCCGTGAATGGACTTGGAAAGTTCGGAGAACAAAAGGAAGGCCAGTGTGGCTAGAGTTAGTGAGTAAAGGGGAGAATAGTACAGGAGGAGGTTGGAGAGCTCAGCTAATGACTCAGCCATCCTTCTGGCCTCCTTATTCTCACCTCCTCCTGCTTCCACTCTGCATTTTTCTCCAAGTCCCACAATCGTTAGATATAGTTATGACAACTGTCACTGTGGAGAATAAAAAAAGGAGAGCATTAGGAATTAGGATTTTAAATGGCATTAATGATGTAGCTAAACTAGAAGACACTACTCTTAGGTTATGTGAAATATTGTGAGGTTATCTGAAATACTTGGTGGATGGCATATTTGCTTGATGAAACACTAATTTCCTGGTGGAGAACAGACCAAAAATCCCTGGGCCAGAAATCAAATACTTGTTTGCCATTTGTTCTTAGATAATAAGTCATTTACTATCTCTGTGTTTCAGTTTTCTAATCTATCAAATGATTATGAAACTAACACCGTCCCTACCCAACTTGCTATATACAAAAGAAGATTATCCTCAAAAGTATCAGAAGGGAAATAAATGAAATCAAATAGAATATTGAAAGAATACCCTATCATTAACAAATAGTATTGATCCCAGAAGTCAAAAGATAGCTTAATATTTAGATATCTATTAACATTCACTATGTTAACAGATCAAAGGAAAGAAGTTGAACAATAATCAAGAAAGATGCCCAAAAGCCACTTGAAAAAATTCAACATTATTTATGATTTTTTAAAAAAAGTTATCAAGTTAAACAATTTTTCTTTTAATTTCCGGCTTGCTCAGTTAGTAACATATCCTATGTGTTTCTTATAAGCATAGTTGTAGGGTGAAGCATTTCAAAAGCCCTTGCTTTTAATGATTTGTAATTTTTTTAAAAGCTACAAAAAATGGATTTCAGTGATAACAAGCATGAAGGAATAGAATTTCATTATTTAACATTATTTTAAAGGCTTATACTTGTTGCGCTATTTTTGTGCATGTTACTGGTCATGGCCTTAATTTACTAATGCACAGTCTTAAATCAGAAATGCCATCTCCAATAACTGTGTGAAAGATGAAAGAGCACCTGCTCCGGAAGTGGGAATGAGGTTAGCAACAGAGAGCCAGGGGCACAAAATGAATTTTGATATATCTTTTTTTTTTTTTTTAAAAGAATGGGCTGCAGACATTCCTATCTCTCTCTAACAACTCAAGCTGACTGTATCTAATTGGAACACAAAGGCCGGTCATTCAGCGCTCCCACCCCTGGCTCTTCCCACTGCTTCCACACCATGGAATGAATGCTGGCAGCCCTGAATCATTTCCAAGTCACTGGGAATGCACTGCGGTCAGCAGAGCTTGTATTTATGTCAACTTTCTTCAGCGCAAAAATGATTTGCCTGTGCTTCAAGCTATAGAATCACAGTGCATTGTTATTGAAAGGGGTCTGAGCAACTCAGTCTAGACCAGTGGTTTTCAACCCTGGCTGCACATTAGGGTAATAGGGGACTTTTGAAAAACTTGGTGATGCCCAGACGTCCCCCTCAAAGTGTCTGATTTAGTTGGTCTGGTAAAAGACCCTTTCTTTTGTATTTTCGAAAAGCTCCCCTGAGTGATTCTAACATATAATCACAATTAAAAACCACTAGTCTAGTTTTGTCTTTTCATTAAATGAGCAAATGTAGGCCCAGAGTGGCCAGCTATGTCATGGCAGATAACATCGACTTACAGTTAATTCTTGTGATAAAAAAAAAAAAAAAAAAAAAAAAAAATTTGTCCAAAACCTTTTTTCCCAAAACTTGGAAATAACGCAAAAAGATGACTTGTGTCCATCCAATCCCTTATTAAAACATTGCTTTTAGCCCATCCAAGGATCATCTGACCCTCTAGTGGAAAGTAACTTTTACCATTACTACTATTAAACATCTAGACATTTTTAAGCCTGTAAAGGATTTGATGTAACTTGTGGAAAACAAATATGATGCAAATGAGTTTTTTATCATAGAGATAAAAATTATTTCTGTTCAGCTTAGATGATAACCCCAAAGGTTATGATTTTTTGCCCTGTGGGACATTAACCAGTTTGTATGTAATTTAGCAATTTTATTCCAGCATATTTTTCCATTCTCTCTCTCCCCATCTCTCTCCCTTTCTCTCTCTCTGCCTCTCTTCCTCCTTCTAATACGTCATTTGCCTGTCCCCCCCTTCCTTTTTTTTTTTTGAGACAGAGTCTTGCTCTGTCATCCAGGCTGGAGTCCAATGGTGCCATCTCGGCTTACTGCAACCTCCACCTCCCAGGTTCAAGCGATTCTCATGCCTCAGTCTCCTGAGTAGCTGAGCTTACAGGTGTGTGCCACCACGCCTGGCTAATTTTTGTACTTGTAGTAGAGATAGGGTTTCACCATGTTGCCCAGGCTGGCCTCAAACTCCTGGGCTCAAGTGATCCACCTGCTTCGGCCTCCCAAAGTGATGGGATTACAGGCATGAGCCACTGTGCCTGGCCATTTGCCTTCTCTTTGTGTCACTTTCCTCACTGGCTTTATCATTCTTCTGATTACCTCATTAATGAGAAATGAAACTTTGACACCTACTCACTAAGGGGTTATATGAAAACTATGAGTATAAATTTATAATTGTTTTGACACTTATAGGTGATGTAAATTTTATTAAAGTGTCTTAAACCATTCAGAAAGCTTTAATTGGTCATTCAAGGTATACTTTATTTTGTTCTCTAAAAATATTACTCATCAACCACAGTCAGAAGCCATAATGTTCAAGACTTTCACTTCAGGCAAAGAGGAATACCAAAGACCTAATTGATCCTGTCTTGAAAAATGCTAAAAAGTAAATGGGCAAAATATCAGAAAGTATAGTTTTTAGACACTGAACATCAGACAGCACAGGACAGTGATCTCTAAGAGCGGGAAAGCAAATAAGGTGAGCTCTATGATTGTTCCAGCTCACAGCCTGGAAAATTTCCAAGATACCATGCAGAGAGGAGGTCTCATTTAGTTGAGAAGATGGAGCTGGGAGTCTGGAATCAGTAGTGAGAAAAATCAGCCTTATACCAAAGGCAGCTCTCATCCCACCTCACAAAGCTTAAAAGCAAACTTCAAATTGTTTTCAAGTAATGCACATGTATCTCAGAACAAACATTAAAAATATTTATGGGACTATAAAAAAAACCAATACCCAACAAGGTAAAATTTACAATATCTGGCATCCAATCCAAATTACTGGGTATGCAAAGAAACAGGAAAATATAACTCATAATGAAAAGAAAAATTGATCAGTAGAAACAGACCCAGAAATGATAAAGATGTTAGAATTAGTAGAGAAAAACATTAAGACATGTAGTTATGGTCAGGCTCAGTGGCTCACACCTATAATCCTAGCACTTTGGGAGACCAAGGTGGGCAGATAGCTTAAGCTCAGGCATTCCAGACCAGCCTGGGCAACATGGTGAAACCCCAGCTCTACAAGAAATACAAAAATTAGCCAGGTGTGGTGGCATGTTCCTATAGTCCCAGCTACTCAGGATGCTAAGGTGGGAGGATCTCTTGAGCCCAGGAGGTCAAGGGTGCAGTGAGCTGAGATCATGTCATTGTAGTTATTGTAACTATATTCCATATGTTCAAGAAGGTGGAGGAAAGATTAAGCACATTAAAAAGAGACATGAGATCTATTTAAATGACCCAAATAGAACTTCTGGAAATGAAAACTACAACACCTGAAAAAAATACACTGGGTAGGATAAACAGTGGATTCAACACCAAATAAAATAATATTAGTGAACTTGACGGCATAGCCATAGGAACCATGCATAATAAAACTCCTGGAGAAAACACACTGAAAAATGAAGAGAACATCAGACACCTTTAAGCAGTCCAATACACATATAATTGGAGTATTGCAGTCCAATTATATATTATTTTCCTGTTGGAAAATGTGAAGACAGAAAAAATTTTTAAATTAATTTTTTTAGATGTAAATTTGTCTAAAGATATAAACTCACAGATTTGAAGCTCAACCAACACCAAGCTTAGGAAACAAGAAGAAAATTTCATGAAGGCATAATGTTATCAAATTGCTTAAAATAAAGAGAAAATCTTCAAAGCAACCAGAGGAAAAAACCATAAAGTTGTGTTGTCTCCCCCAGATTGTGAAATGTTCAATTCCACACACCCTGGCCTTGGGAAACCACGGGAGGTAGAGCTTGGGACCTGTGGACCTAGAGAACATGGCTTTGCTTTCCAAGTAGAGTTCGGAATGCAAACAATATTTAATATGAACTATAAATATTTTTTCTCATTTATTAATGTTTCCCTTTAGCAGGGCAGGAACTAGCATGAGTTGATGTATCAGGTACAAATTTTAAGGAGCACTAAAAAATTAATCAAATAACATTTTCGTGTAATATTTTAAAGAATTAAAATGAATGCAAGAAAATCATTATCAAAATATCACATTTTTAATGAAGACAGGATCTGACCCTGTGCTTGCATGACTCACTTCCTTCTCCTTGGTCCAAGTCCTACTCTTTAGAAAGAGACCTGACATATCTTTAGGGCAATTTCTTCTTATCTCCCCCACGCACTGCCCATAGTAACTCCAGTCCTCCACCCACTCATCACTGATTTCATTTTGGTGCCAAGACAAGAAACCTTAAGGCCATCTCCTTCTTTCTTTTTTTTTCTTTTTTGAGATGGGGTATCACTATGTTGCCCAGTCTGGTTTCAAACTCCTGGGTTCAAGTGATCCTCCTGCCTCAGCTTCCCAATGTGCTGAGATTACAGGGATGAGTTGCCACACCTGGTCTTTCTTATTAGTTCGTATTTTCTTCATGTTTCTCCCTTCTAGAGTCACAAGAGAATTATCCTCTTCAAGTACAAATTATATTCCTAAAATGTTTGCCTCTGTACTAGAAAGGGTTATCAAGGAATTGGAGTCTTTTAACAGCGGGTTTCTAATCAAATGGATAAAGAGCAAACAAAAATAAACGCCAAGCTTTACTTACTAGCAAAAAGTGGAGTTTTTTAATTCATTGACAGATTTTGTGTGTGTGTTTTAATAGGGCTATTGTGTTGCTATGGTTGCAAGCTTGCATTGGTACTTTCACTAGGAGACGATGTGGTCTGAACATTCCTCCCACTTTTCACATCTGCCCACGTGTTCCACACAGGGATTTGGTAACCTGGCTTCTAGCCCTAGCCTCCTCTGCCACCCCAGGGAGTGCAAATTTTTCAGCCCTTTCTCAGAAAATCTGAATTCCTCTGAGATGTGGTAAAGTTAAACCCTGGCTCCTGCTCAGAATGCAGATTGTCAAACCACAGAATGTTGATCAGCTTCCTGTGTGAGCCTCGATAAATTTTTACCTCTTTGGCATGATATTTATACATGAGATCGCTATGAGATAATTAATTTAATAATGACCTCTTCAAAATGAATTTAGAAATTAATCACTAGAGAAGATATAGAGCTTAAAAATTCTGGGTGTTTTTCTTAAAGCAATCGTTACGAAACATTTTGCAAACTAAGAATGACCTCTTAATGATTCTTCTAAGTTCTAGATATTCATATATCTTTTCTCTTGTCTCTTTTCCTCTCCCTGCTCCTTTTTCTCATCTTTTCTTCTCGTCTCCTTACCAATTTTTCTTACAACACTTACACCCATCGTCCAAGCTTGCCTCTCTGAAATTTGATTCTCAAATCTGATCACAGATGTCTCCTAAGAAGTAAAGAGGCAGTGGGGACAATGGTCCCAAGTATTGTGTCTTCTGGGGACCTGCCCAGTGGTGGCAACTGAAACTGGTTGTCCTCAAGCTTGGGAAGAACTTCTAACCAAGACCTTGGTTCAGGCCCTTATCATTTTTTAGTGGCCTCTGTTCCTGCATCCCTTTTCTAGCTTTTCTCCATACTCCAAACTGAGTGATCCTTCTAAACTGCAATTCCACCTGCATGGCTTGAAATCCTCTAGCGGTTCCCCAATGTCAATTAGATGAGGTCCAAGCTCCATAAAATAGCATTTGAGGCCTTTAGTGATCTGGATCTTCCTCCCACCCTGACCTTGTCTCTCAGGGTTCATGCTCCTCCCTATCCCTAATCTCCCCTTCCCCTGCCTCCCATACACACACACAGACACACAGACACACACACACACACACACACAGCCACACCAAACACACTCCTTACCCAGCCACACTAAACTCTGTATCTCCCAGTCCCCGCAATGCACCATGTTTTCTTATGCCACCATATAAGGTTTTCTCAGCCTAGACTCCCCATTCTATAAAATTATGATATAGTTTCAAGACTAATCTTTTATCTTTGAAGAGTGTTCATAGCACTCTGTCTCATTCCTTTCATTGTCTCTGTTTTTTGTAGCCAAATATATTTATAACTGTTCTGACTATGAATTAGAATTCTCTGCAATGTAATTTCATGGTATTAGGTGCCAGCAGGAAACTGAACACTAAAGTCAGTGATCCACATGTCTGAAAATGTTTGAATGCTTAACACTATGTAGCTCTGGTTTAAAAAGAAATGAGTCATTTGTGGGTCCTTGGGTTGCCACTCTCTGAAATCTCCAAGTACTTTCAAACACGCACATTCTCACATTCACTGGCCTTCCTCGGCTCCCACGTGGCATCACTCACATTCTGATGCTCTGCACAAGATGCTTTTTATATGCAAAAGCAGCAGAAATTCGGGTTGCCTGAGCCATTGGCAAGTGTATAGTGGTTTGAATGCTCCCTGACACAAGTCCACCACTCTCCTGAGCACTCCTGAGTGGTGACCACAGGGCTGTTCTAATCCAACTATGTGAGAAGAGCTGTGGTGGAATGGACAGAGCATGAGACTGCAGGTGACGAGACCTGAATGCAAATTCCCACTCTATACCTCTGCTTCTATCATGTGGCCTCAAGCAAGTCATTTCCCCTCTGTGTGTCTCAATTATCTCATCTAAGACCAGTGAGTTGGGCAATATCAATATTTTTCAACTGGAACCATAGACTGCCTGCATCAGAATCACCAGGGCTGCTTTTTGGCAGTGTCGACACCTCAGCCCCTCTCCTGACCTAGTGAATCACATTCTTTAGCCGAGGAATGAGAAGAGAGTTTAGAGAATAGGAGAGATCCAGAGTCAACATTTCTAATAGCTTCTAAAGTAACTCTTGTGGTTACCAAAATCTGGGACCCACTGAAATAGATGATCTCTTAAGCCAGGCTGTCTACCAGGCTCTTGCCACACAGTGCTAACTTTCTATCTGTTGTGAGATGTACCACAAATAAAAAAAATTATGAATGATTTTTCTAAAATATTATAATTTAGAATTGTATTTAGAATATAAAATTTAGAATTGTATTTAAATTTAATTACAGGGGATTCAATGTAATCACTATAAATTGCACCACTTCTATTCATTCATTTTCCCTTTCATTTGCTTGAGCAGGAAAGCAAGGCACAAATTTACCCCAAAACTCCAGAAATAGCACATAACCTGCAGCTTATTTTACCTATTCACAGGCTATTGGAGCATATCTCTTTGGTGCCAGACATCACCTGCCCTGAATTCACCTGATTTCAGCCATGACAGTGGTGGGGCAGTTCATGGGAGCTCAAATTTGTCTTCAGCTGGCAGTGTCCCACCTCAAGCACTCACCAAGTAGTTTGTTTGATTTTTTAAATAACAGCCTATCAAGATAAAATTCACAGTCTACAAAGTTCACTCTTAAAGTGTTCAATTCAGTGGTTTTAGTATATTCTCAATATTGTGCATTAATCAGTGCTATCTAATACCAGAGCATTTTCGTCATCTCAGAAAATACCCATTAATGGTCAATTTCCATTTCTTTCTCCTCCACCCCTGGCAACCACTAATCTACTTTCTGTCTCTATAGATTTGTCTTTTCCGGACATTTCATATGACTGGAACCATACAGTACATGGTGTTCTGTGACTGAATTCTTCCACTTAGCATAGTTTCCAAGGTTCGTCCATGTTGTAACATGTATCAGAACTTCATTCCTTTTTGTGACCAAATAATATTCTCTTATATGAACGTACCACATTTTGTTTATCCATTCATCCCCTAACGGACATTTGTTTCCACTTTTTGACAGTTATGAATGACGTTGTTATGAGCATCCATAGTATGTGATGAGTGTTTTTCTTGCTTTTTTCAATAGTCTCTTTGTCTTTCAAAAGTTTGACTATAATGCATGTATCTAAGTGTCAATCTTTTTGAGTTCTCCTGCTTGGAGTTTGTTGACCTTTTTGGATGTGCAGATTAATGTTTTTCATCAAAGTTTGGAAGCTTTTAAGCCACGATTTCTTCAAATATTTTATCCCCTTCTATCCCCTTCTCTTTCTCCTGTCCTTGGATTCTGATTATTTGTATGTGGTATGCTTGATGGTGTCACACAGGTCTCTGAGGCTCCATTCATTTTTCTTTATTCTTTTTCTTTCTGTTCCACAAGCTAGGCACTCTCAGTTGACCTGCTTTCAAGTTCACAGATTCTTTCTTCTTCTAGTGCAAAGCTGCTGTTGATACCCTCTAGAGAATTTTTCATTTCAGTTGTTGTACCTTTTTCTTATTCTCTTTGGATTGCTGTAACAAAATACTATAAACTGTGTGGCTTATAAAGAACAGGCCGGGCGCAGTGGCTCATGCCTGTAATCCCAGCACTCTGGGAGGCCAAGGCGGGCAGATCACAAGGTCAGGAGATCGAGACCATCCTGGCTAACATGGTGAATCCTCATCTCTACTAAAAATATAAAAAATTAGTGGGGCGTGGTGGCAGGCACCTGTAGTCCCAGCTACTCGGGAGGGAGCCGAGATTGTGCCACTGCACTCCAGCCTGGGCGACAGAGCAAGACTCCGTCTCAAAAAAATAAATAAATAAATAAATAATAGAAATTTATTTCTCACAGTTCTGGAAGCTGGAAGTCCAAGATAAGATTGCTAGCATGGTCAAGTTCTGGTGTGGGCTCTGCCCTCATGATCTAATCACCTTCCCAAGGCCCCACCTCCAAATACCATCTCACTGGAGATTCAGTTTCAACATATGAATTCGGGGGACATAAACATTCAGTCTATAGCAACTTTCCAAGCCCTGAATTTCTATTTAGTTCTCTTTTTTCTTGTAATTTATAACTCTTTGTTGATATTCTATATTTAATGGGCCAACATTCTTATACTTTCTTTTAATTCTTTAGACATGGTTTCTTTGAGATCCTTGAACATATTTATGATAACTAATTTGGAGTCTTTGTATAGTAAGTATAACATCTGGGTTTCCTCAGAGGCAGTTTCTATTGACTGCTTTTTTTCCCCTGTGTGTGGGCCATACTTATGTGAGGCCTTGTAAACCAACAACCTTGAAACCGAGAATTATGAAAACACAGCTGAAAATAGCAGCTACTGCAGGGTGCAGAACAGGCTCGGAGTTCCCCAAAAGCCCATCCCTGGAGAGCTGTCACTACTTGATCTGTCAGGCTTATCGTTTTTTGCTGAAAACTAGATATTGTAAATTATGTGTCACCTCTGGAAATCAGATTCCCCTTCCTTCCCAGGGTTTGCTGTTATTGCTCTTTGTTGTTTTTTTATTGCTGTTGTTTGTTTAGTGACTTTCCTCGACTAATTCTGTTTAGTCCATATTCTTTGCCCTATGCAGCCACTGGAGTCTCAGCTTGGTTAGCTTAGCGGTCAGCTCATAACTGGACCGAGATTTCCTTAAACTCTTTGAACCAGTGATTCTCCCAGTCTTTGCCTGTGGCATCTGTGTGTGTGTTGGGTCACTCCTTCAACATTTTACTTATTTTATTTTATTTTTTTTGAGATGGAGTTTCACTCTTGTTGCCCAGGCTGGAGTGCAGTGCCGTGATCTTGGCCCACTGCAACCTCTGCCTCCCAGGTTCAAGCGATTCTCCTGCCTCAGCCTCCCGAGTAGCTGGGATTGCAGGCACCCACCACCATGCCCAGCTAATTTTGTATTTTTAGTAGAGATGGGGGTTTCTCCATGTTGGTCAGGCTGGTCTCGAACTCCCGACCTCAGGTGATCCCCCGGCCTTGGCCTTCCAAAGTGCTGGGATTACAGGCGTGAGCCACCGTGCCTTGGCCCACATTTTAGCAGCCATTTCCAATTCTGCCTTTGCTTTCACTTCCTGCATATACAGAGCTTTAAAGTCAGCCACAGGTGAGAGCCTAGGGTCTTCCAGTACTTTCCTGAGCATGTACACAGCCCTATGCATGCATGTGGCCTTCTAGATTTGTAGGAATATGGCAAAGCTTTTCAAAACCCATACAGTTATCTAATTCACCAGTGTTCCTCTTATATTTTGTGCTTAGCCTCTTGTTAGCCTGAATTTGTAATGGCACCTCAGGTAATGCAATGTTAAACAACTGCCTTTTGCTTATTGTTGATAAATGCCCTATGGGTAGGGCTGGTTGCATGGAACAACCTCTGAGTCAAATGAAACAGACGAGCCCTGAGCTGTCAGGTCAAATAGTGACAAATTCTCTAGGGATGGGCTTTTGGGGGACTCCGAGCCTGTTCTGCACCCTGCAGTAGCTGCTAGGCTGTGTTTTCACAACTGCCGGTTTTAAGGTTGTTGATTTGCATGGCCTGACCGAGCTGTGAGAGTGGGATGGAATTAGGGCAATTTGGAATGCCACAGGTCTTGCTCCTCTTACTGAGATTCAGCTGTTTTTCTTGAGTAAGCACCCAGACTGCTGTAAGACTTTAAGTAATTTCCAGAATTCTGAAAAAGTTGATTTGGACAGTTCTCACTGCTTGTATGAAAGAGCAGATTTCTGAAGGTCTTTACTCCACCTTTCTAGAAGATCCCCTCACCCTAATTTGTTGGTTTTGTTTTTGTTTTACCTCATGGCTCTCTCTGAATTCCACCTCACCATGTGCAAGCATAAACACAGAATTTCAGAGCAGTAAAGCTCAGGGAAATCCTCAAGAGCATGTGACTGGAGAACCCTTCAGGTGGATGCTTCTGAGAGGCATTTGGCATGCTTCTCCACGGTCCGGGGAGAATCAAGGCCCCCTTGCTTAATGTGACAAACTCCATCATGTGCCCTTATCTTAGTTTTTCCTCCTTTCCCGCCTTATCTCATCACTCCTTAACTCCTGCTTCATAGAATCACCTCTCAAATAAACTGCCTGGGCCGGAAGCAGTGGTTCACGCCTGTAATCCCAGCACTTTGGAGGTTGAGGCGGGTGGATCATTTGAAGTCAGGAGTTCAAGACTAGCCTGGCCAACATGGTGAAACCCCATCACTACTAAAAATACAAAAATTAGCCGGGCGTGGTGGCACACACCTGTAATCCCAGCTACTCAGGAGGCTGAGGCAGGAAAATCACTTAACGCTGGGAGGCGGGGTTATGGTGGGCCAAGATCATGCCACTGCACTCCAGTCTGGGTGACAGAGTGAGACCCTGTCTCAAAAAAATAATAATAAAATAATAATAATAATAAACTGCCTGCATCCAAGTCCTTGTTTCAGGCTCTGCTTCAGAGAGGGCCCAAACTGAGACAGCTACCAGCTCTGGTGAACTGCATATAGTTCTGTGACTCATGAATAACCGTGGTGCTTTGCTTTACCACAATTTGCTGTTTTTGATCAAATCTGGATACATTCAGTGGAAGTATGTAGCACTCATGTGTATCCCAGCAAAAAAGAGGGGAATGGGCATTAAGAAGAGGTATTCTAAAACACTATGATTTCTAGGACAGAAAAAGAACAGCCCACACATCAAGTTAGGAGGAAAAAACAGGATATCTCCATATGCCACAACTCCTGTTTTCCCTAAACCTGATTTTATAACCAGAAAAGCAGTTTCCCAGGCACTAAGTTCATCCTGCAACCGGCTAGAATGAGGCAAGCTCCTTCTTGGTTGAGCCATCAGATAATTACCACAGAGCCATGAGAATGGTGATTTGGATGCTGACAACAGAAATAATCGTCACTATTACTGACTGCTGACCATGCTAGGCACTGTGCATGCATTTTCTCACAGGGCCCTCATCATAACCACTGAAAGCTTGGACTACTCCAGCTAATGAGTTACCACCTGATGGGAACATGCATCTGGGTTGCCTTGCCTTATTGGGTGCCAGAAGGCCATGGTGTTAGTCTAAATTGAATTTGGATTTACATAAAGTGCATGTGTATCCCCAGACTTCCAAATGTTCTTTTAACTATATAAAGTCTCATTGGCAGCATCCTTCCATCTGGAGATTCTTGTTGCTATTCCAAGTGGCCACAAGATGCATTAGCCACTGAGACACATGGTTACTGTTACCAGGTACTCACAGAAAAACTTGCACCTAGCAGTTTCCACCAAGAAGCCTACCAACGGACTCTGGAAAGATTTAAGGGGTCCATGTCATCACCTCACATAAAGGTAAGGGGTGACTTACTTACCAGCAAGAAGCTTTTCAGCTATCACTAGGCAAGGAGTATGGCCTGTCTCAGTGGCAGAGCTAGTGAAAATACAGGTCAGGCCACCGATTCAGGGAACAAAAGATATCTTTCAACTAAGGATTTAGCACAGATGATAAAAATTAATTTAAAAATTGTAGAGACATACTCAATCTACTTTTAGGGATAAACCACACACAGTTTTCTATGCTGTTAATTGTAAGTAGCATCTAACACGCTGTGGCACCAATTCCTCCTCACCAGAATTATTGTGAAACCCTTCCCCAAGCGTGGTTAGTACTAAGCTGGGCACCTAATGGGAAGAATAATAACAACAACAATGTTCTAATTTTTTTTTAGTATCTGTTAGGTGCCAGGAACTTCACATTCATTATCCCTTACTTTCAGAAGTACCCTCTAAGCAAATTAAGTAGTACCCCTGAATAGTCCCCATTTAACCTGTGAGGAAATTTCCAATCAGAGAGGTTAATTTGCCTTACTATATGATATTTAAATGAATATTTGTGTGAGCAAATAAGTGAGGATGAATGAATGAAATTAAGTAATTAAGTGAAAGGGGAAGCTGGGCTGTTCTAAAGCTGGTCTAGTAACGCTTCTGCTTTTGTCATATTAGTAATGAAATAGTCTAGCTTTTTTTTTCTGCCTTCTCTTCAATATTTCATGTCAGGCTGGCATTTCCTCATAGTGGATCCAAAATACTAATTTCAGAGCATATTCGTATTTTCCTATCTGCAATGCCTTATAGTTCTGTTTTTTGAATACAGAGATTTTTGACCCAAATAAAGATATTGTATTTCTGCCCTTAATAGTCCACATATGGATGAAATGCCATAAATAGTGAAAGAACTCTAAAATACCTTGACAACATGCTTATAAATGTTTTTTGTCAAAGGAAACTTTTGCACTTAAATTTTTTAAGTTTCTCGGGGTTTTTTAGGTTTATTGGTTTCTCTTTTATCATAAAATATTATAAACTCATTACAGAAAGTTTGACAGAACAGAAAATAATAGAAATAACTATTTATAAATACACATAATATCACTTTTGAAAAACAACCATTGTTAGTATTCTGGTGCACTCTATTTCCTTTTGGTCTTCTTTCTGTGCATGAGACTTTTTTCTGCAAGGGCAGGAGATACTTTTATACCTATCACTTCTTGTTTCTCTTAACCTTTAGTGTTGAAAAGGGGTTGGTCACCCTATAGTCTTTTTAAACATCATTTCTAATGACAGCCAAGAAAGATATTTATTGCATTATTATCTGGGCGGCAATATCTATGTCCAACAATTGCAGAATAGTTAAGTATATCTACTTGAATGCATCTAGTACAAAGTATTTTCTAAATTTACATTTATTTCCTTAGAAGGTGGAGATATATACAATTCTTCACCCCAAAATTTATGAGCTCTGCCCCATCTTGCTTTGTGGTATCTCTGACTATTAAATATTAACTTTAACAGGTTTGGTAAAAGCCATCCCTTAGTTTCCTAATAGTTTGCTATTTATCTATTTGATGTCCACAATTGCTTAAACTTGCTGCCTTGAATACGAGAGAAAAGATGGCAGATATTCCTAAAGGCTCTTCCAATTCTCAGGCCTGCCAAAGGACCAAATTGCCAGTTTTCCCTGCTTATTGCAGCAAGTGAAACAATACAGTTCAAAAACATAGAAAGGCAAGGCTAATTATATCCCTCCTACCCCCCACTTCACTTCCACCCCCTGAGGAGACCCATACTAACAATTCAGTGGACATCCTTCCACCTTTTTCCTTCTTCCTGGTTCATAACACCACTACAAGCATGCATAAAGAGACACGTTAGAGATTCTTACTAAGCTATTTCCAGATGAAACTATACAGTGTTTGCGATTTGCTTAAAATTGTTTATTTGCTTAATTTGCTTGAAAATTTATTTATATGTAAATATACACACACATACATCCTTTTACGTAAATAGGATTATATTTCACATGGTGGGCCCTTTTAAAACAGCCTCTGTTTTTCTAACGTTCTTCTATCTCTTACATTCATGTCCATCCAGTTATCCTGACCTACTCTCCACCCTCACACCTCATGTTAACAACCAGTGTGTGCCCTTCTGTACTTTTTATATACACATAGCCACATACAAGCATATTTATGCATATACATATATACACAGATATTCATAAATCATCAGATAAATGGTAGGATTTTGACACTGGTTACTTTACAAGCATGGGATCCTACTATGCTTATCTCTTTACGTATCTGATTTTTCTTCTTCAACAATAATTTGTGGCAATCCCTGTGAGTCAATTGTTTTCATTCTTTTTAATGATTACATGTTATTCTATGATGTAAATGTACTCTTATTTATCTATTTCCTTATCTTTACTCATTTACACTATTTCCAGTCTTTTATCACTAGAGCAATGCCAAATAAACATCTCGTATTCATGTTCTTACCTACTGCTGCTTATATTTCTTTCTTTTTTTTTTTTTTTTTGAGACGGAGTCTCGCTCTGTTGCCCAGGCTGGAGTGCAGTGGCACGATCTTTGCTCACTGCAACCTCTGCCTCCTGAGTTCAAGCGATTCTCCTGCCTCAGCCTCCCAAGTAGCTGGAACTACAGGCATGCACCACCATGCCCAGCTAATTTTTTTGTATTTTTAGTAGAGACGGAGTTTCACCGTGTTAGCCAGAATAGTCTCAATCTCCTGACCTCGTGATCCGCCCGCCTCAGCTTCCAAAAGTGCTGGGATTACAGGCGTGAGCCACCGCGCCCGGCCTACTGCTTATGTTTCTATGACATAGGTCCTCCACAGTTGGGATTGCTGCATTAAAGGATATATGAATTTTTAGTTTTAAAAGATGTAACCAAATTGCTTTCTTCACAGCCTGTAAGAGCTTAACAACATAAATGTATAAGAATTCGCATTTCCGTCTCCATCAACAGTGGGTGTTTCATACCCCTCATGCTAACAACAGTTCAGAAGAGAGATCCCTTATTTCCACTTTAATTTGCATTTTCTGCTAGCTAGTTTAAGCATCTTCTCAACTCTTCTTATATCATATTGACTATTTAGATTTGCTCCTTTAAGAACTATTTACTCACATTATTTGCTCATTTTTTTCCTATGAGTTTTAAATAGCCATCTGAATTACAAATTTTTTCCAACTCTCTCATTTGCCTTTTGAGTTTGTTTATAGTATCTCTTACCTGGTAAAGAGGATTTTTGGTGTCTTGGTTTGTTTGTTGGGTTGTTTGTTTTTGAGCCAGTGGTATAAAACTAGCTCACTCTAACCTTACATTCCTGGGCTCAGGCAATCCTCCCACTTCAGCCTCCAAGTAGTTGGAACCACAGGCGCCTGCCACCACACCCAGCTCATTTAAAAAAAAATTTTTTGGACCAGACGTTGTGGCTCATGCCTGTAATCCCAGCACTTTGGGAGGCTGAGGCGGGCAGATCACAAGGTCAGGAGATGGAGACCATCCTGGCTAACACAGTGAAACCTCATCTCTACTAAAAATACAAAAAAATTAGCCAGGCGTGGTGGTGGGCGCCTGTAGTCCCAGCTATTCAGGAGGCTGAGGCAGGAGAATGGCATGAACCTGAGAGGCGGAGCTTGCAGTGAGCCAAGATCGCGCCACTGCACTCCAGCCTGGGCGACAGAGCGAGACTCCAACTCAAAAAATAAAAAAATTTGTAGAGACATGATGTCGTTATGTTGCCCAGGCTAGTCTTAAACTCCTGGCCTCAAGTGATTTTCTCATCTCTGCCTCCCAAAATGCTATGAATACAGGTGTGAGCTACCTCATCCAGTTGTATTTTGTTTTGTTTTGTTATGCTGCAAATATTTGTCTTTATATATCATATAGTAAAATATTTCTGCCTTTTATAGCTCCTGTGTTGCCTGTCTAGTTAAGAAGTTCTTCCCTCACCTTCCAAGTTATATAGTTAAGTCTCCTAGATTTTTTCCTAATCTTTTATGGTCTTTCTTATCACAAAGTGCTGGAATTACAGGTGTGAGCCACAGTGCCTGGCCAATTTTAGCTACTTTCTACATTAGTTTTCTCTTAGGTTATATGCAGTCAAATAGTATAGTGCATTATCCACTTTTAACTATACATAGTTAAATGGATATAGTTATCCATTTCCATTTAACTATACATATTGCAAGATTCATTTCATACCATTAATTTCTCCCCAAAGTATCTTCTCCTATCTTGAGGTCTTTGGATTTATCTGTTGTTTGCTTAAAATCTTTCCGCAAGTAAATTACTCAGATTTTGTTAAGGTCCTCTTTGATTATTTTATTTACTCTTCCTCTCTATGGCTGCCGGCCCCGGTGGTGAAGTGTTATTTTCTTTGGTCTCGTCTTGAAGATACTTTAGTAGTAGCGGTCTTGAGAGTGTTGGAAGTGCAGCAAGCTCTGATCTTCTGACCCATTGCATCACTGAAAAAGTTTCTAAGCCTCTGCTGAGGAATTGGGAGGATATTCCTCTTCTCCATGGGCCTCTCATGCTCACTCAACCTCAGAAGTGGAGAGAACACAGCCTTCCCCTTCAGCCTCCTGGGAACCAAAAAGACAGGCACACTCCTGCTAACCAATGTTAACCTTCTCCCTGAGTGCCCCATGGTCCAAGCCTTCCTCAGGAACTGCAGCTTTCAAATCTTCCCCAAGGTTTTGCCTGGGTTTTATCTGGCTTTAGGGTAGTAGCAGGATTGGAAGTTTAGCTACAGCTCTCTGGCTGATGCCCTCCAGGCTCCACCTACCTCCCAGCCCCAACTCCTAGTTAGCCAGGAAGAGGTTGGAGGTTGGAGTGTTTAGTAATTAAAGAGAAGGAAAGGTGAGACTTGCTGAGCCATCATCTTTCCAGCATGCCCTGTTCCATGTTTAATATATACCTTGATTATGTAAATATCCACAACGATTTAGTGTTGTCCTTCACTGATGTAGGATGTGCTCCTCCTTCAAGTAGCTCCCTCACCTTACCCAACACCATCTGACCCAACTCCATCTCCTTCAAGAGCTTCCTGCTTAGTTGATGCACCAGTAAATCCAACTCTAAGGGATCTGGTTCAGAAAGCACTGGGGGCATTTATATTCTTTTATTTGAACACCTTTTCTCTAGGGGTTAATTCCCCACTGTGTGTATCTTGAAGTGGAAGCCAGAAGGACCCAATAATTTCCCTCATCCTTAACACATAAAGTAAAGGACATTGGTTTCGCCAATCAGATGCTTTCATCAGACACTTCGACTCTTGTGGTGGTGACACAAAGATCTAGGGATGGCTGAGAAATTGTATGTGTCTCCAGATGATCTGGAGAGTCTTCCATTTGATTAGGTTCATTTGAATTTAATCAATGAGGTCATAGTCAGCAGATCAGTTAGCACAAAGTTGGTTTATTTGTTAGGATTTGGTTTAGCAAATAGTCCCAAAACAATAGTGACTTAAATAAAACAGCTGTTTATCTCCTCCTCATATGAATAAAGTCCAGAGGTAAGAGGTCTTAGGCAGGTATGAGCCCCTCTATGGGGTCAGAAACCCAGGTCCTTCTATCTTTGCTCAGCAGCACTGTAGTTCTGTCCTTGTCTATATTTTCCAAGGTGACTTGCCATTCCATCCACACTACAAGCGCAGGAAAGAGGACCCCAGTAGGACACTCTTTTCCCTTTGAGAACATTTTCACAAAGTTACAAATTAACCTCTGCTCACATATGATTGGCCATTATTTAGTCACATGCCCATACCTCACTGCCTATATCCTAGGTACCTTTGTACCCAGCTACGAATTTTGTCGCTATGGAAGGAGTGAATAAATACTGGTACAACGGAAGTTTCTTCACAGTTGATGAATAAAATCAACTTTCTATGAAAAATGATTTTCTACTTTAACAGCTTTCCTCATTGAACACTCTACAAATGTAATCTTTTATAACAAACATTCAAAGTCCCAAGATTATAAGTCAGCAGGTTTGGAAACTATTAAAACTATTAAAATTCCATTATTTCAGAAAAAGTCTTTGTTCTTTTTATCAAAGAGCAGTAGACAGAAACTCAATATAATAAGAAGAAAGGGAATAGAAACTAACCCAAATTTTATGGTCCCTGGTAGGCAAACATTTTCTAACCTGCTTTCTTATCTCTCACAACAAGATGTCAAGAAGCCAACTCAGAGTTTTGTATTCCCAAACACATGTATCAACAGTTTTTTATTATCTCAAGATTCCTATTACTAAAGATTTTAATTTATGACTTCAGCTTAATTTTAATCATGGCTGAATTAATGAATTTGGGGCTTATGTTTTTTTAGGTCTACAGTCATCCATTCTTCTGTGCTAGGGTCAACTCTAGTTGTTTTATAAGAACATCTAGAAGTGCTGTCTGCTTACTGGGATTCTCCCACAGCACATGATTAGAGAAGGTGGATGACTGTATTTAGATGTAAATTTTCAGTGGATTTCTCAGGTTCCTCACAGCCTTAAAGGCTTATCCAGGAGTATAACCTAGAGTTCACTAGAAGTAATATTTGTGAAGGACTCTTCATTGCATTGGGCACACTAAAAGTTTATCCTCAAATCAAACCATCAGAAATTTGTACACTTGTGTTTTGTGCCTTGTAGAATTAATTTCACTGATGTGAGTTTTGGCATTGCGTCATAGATATTAAAGTGTATTGTAAAGAATGGCCCTGTGAAACTTGTTATTGTACTTGCAGTAAAGATGATGTCAAGGACATTATTCACTGACTTTCCCTGTGATTCATAAAAAAATTACTATTGTCTCATCCTAAAGAGTAGTAGGTGGAATCCAGGGTGGGTTGGCTTCAGCTGCCCTGGCATATAGGCCGAAGGGCAATTGTCAGGATAATGAATTTTAACACTGCCTAGAGAACAGATGTTTGGAAATCAGAGCATTTGCTTGTGACATAAAACTCAGAACACAACTTCTAAACTTTGAAATTACCTCTATGGATAGAGCTCCAAGTGCATTTTCAGGACAGAAGAAGCAGATCATGACCTGAAATAAACATAGACACACACACACACACACACACACACACACACACACACACACACACACCAGTGAAAGAGGAGAAATAGAAAAGCAGATCAGCCCAGGGGAAAAATATATCAAAGAAGTCCATTTCCACCAGAAGCCCTCCTTGCTTTGGCAATCATGGGATACTCAGCCTGCTTTCCTGCTACTGCCAGACAGCCTACAGGAAAAGCTGCTTTTAACAATAATTGTCAGCCTGGAAAAGTTTTCCCCAACCCTTGTTGTTGGCAGCTTGGGGCAGAAATAGGAGCTGGATTGATTTTTGTTTTTTAGCAACTGCTAAACCTGCAGTCTGAAGGTCAATCATGAAAATAGGAGAATCTGCATTCAGACTGACATATAAAAGGAGAAAGGGGATAACAATAATAAATAATAATAGAACCTACTTCCTAGAGCTATGAGGGCTAAATGAGGTAATACACACAAAGCCTTTGCCTAGCACATGGTAAACACTGTGTAAGTGATTATCAATTACAAGGTTCAAGTCTACCTTTAGTATCAGTCAAAATGAATTGGCCTTAATATATTATGTAAATAGGCCAGGCGCGGTGGGTCACTCCTGTAATCCCAGCATTTTGGGAGGCCGAGGCGGACGGATCATGAGGTCAGGAGATCGAGACCATCCTAGCTAACACGGTGAAACCCCGTCTCTACTAAAAAAAATACAAAAAATTAGCCGTGCATGGTGGCAGGCGCCTGTAGTCCCAACTACTCAGGAGGCTGAGGCAGGAGAATGGCGTGAACCCGGGAGGCGGAGCTTGCAGTGAGCCGAGATCGCGCCACTGCACTCCAGCCTGGGCAACACGGCAAGACTCCATCTCAAAAAATATATATATATATGTATATATATAATGTAAATGGTCAAGTCATCCAGCCAGCCGTGGGAAGGGAAAATAAGGAAGGAAACAAAGAAACAAAGTCTAGACCCTAAATTTAAGATTAAAAGATTATCTTTTAAGGTTTGGCATTTTGTCTTGTTACAAGTTAGTCTAAAATTGTACTACATAATTCCACTAAGTTCATTCAAAAAAACTGATATTTTAAATAAACGCTTCCTAATCAAGAGGGCAGAAAACTCCCAAAGAGTTTAGAGGATTATGTCAAAGAGTGAACAAATCCATAGATAACAGATATATTTGCATGTTGGGATCAACAAAAAACAAACTTGTAAAAAATAACCAATCTTAGAGGCTTCTCCTCAAGCAAAACACTATTATGTGGAAAAGTGATAAGGAAATCAGGGCACATGGTGTTCTTTTTTTTTTTTTTTTTTTTTCCAGCCCTTTGGTCAATGTGCAACATGATGTTCTTCAAAGAGATTAATGCTTTTCTATTTCCAATAATGGCAGGCCCGTTTTTCAGACCAATCCTTTCACTGAAAATAAATGAAGGTATGTATCATCTTATGGACTTTCTTCCTAGGCTATTCTTGGCACAAGGCACACAAGCATGAATAAATTGTGATCTCCACATTCAAGGAGTTCATAGGGACTGTGTTCAGAGGCGACACAGAAAAAATCAAAGTGGGGTGAGTGAAAGAAGTTAATTTTGAACTATACTTGAAGGCTAGGAACTGCCAGAGTGGTGTGGGGAAGGTATTGCAGGTAGAAAGCGTAAGCAGTTTCCAGAGGGAGGGATTTAAGTCCTGGGCACAGACAGCAAGTGAACTGGCTATGCTAAAGCAAAAGGACCCTATTGAGGACTGTAAAAATCCAGGTACTTCCATATGACCCCCACAGTACCTAGCACAGGGCATTTGAAGAGTAGGTCATAAATATATTCTTGTTGATTACTTAAGTCCACCTGACTCCAGGGCAATGTGTACTTACTATAGTAGGCAATGAAGTTAAAGAAACATGAAGGGGTAGAGAGGTGAATCATCGTGTGGAGGGAATATTGTTGGCCTTCAATTCTGAAAAACTGGGGAACTGAAACTAAACTAAAAAATCTGAACAAACTCTTCTGGCATCTCGGTTTATTTTGGTCTGTCAAGTAAAGGACAAGAGATGTGCAGAGAAATTCCTCCAAGATTCTGAGTTAGAAAGGTACTAGTGACTTCAGTTGAGACAACCTTCTCCTTTTCCACTTTTTCAATTCCTTGGCCTGCTTAAACAATTTCTTTGGCTCTTCTTTCCATAAGCAACCTTGCTACCTGACAGAAGTGGGTTATGGGGCATATCCATGATTTTAACTAGCTCATGAAGAACCTCCTCTTTTCTTTTATTAAATCTGGAGGTTATTTCTCGAGCAATTAACTCATGGTGATAAAATATCCAGCAATATACTTTTCACCAATCTTTAGAATAAACGTAAAAATATTTAGATTTTGTCATCTGTTTTTGTTGCTCTGTATGAAATAGGATTTTTAAAGGAAGCTTCAACCTGGTAGTCATAAATAAATGACTAAATTAGCTTTGATTTTAGAAGCTTATATTGATGCTTGCTTTTCTGAAAAATTCAGTTTCTAAGAATATGCAAGTTAAACACTTGAATTATAGTGGTCAATATGGATTTACAATCGCAAAGCATAACTAGTTTCATGGCCTACAGAAAGCCTTTTTCTAGTCCTTCCCTTTTGACATAAATGCAGAACCTCTGTGTTGTAATATTAAATGGAAACATCCCAGAAAAATAATCCTCCAAGTTTGTCCAAATTGCTGGTTTGGCTTTAAGATCCAACAATTTTCTTTCAGATGTACCCTAGGGTACAACGAATTGTCATGGGGTTTTCCACATGCAGAAAAGTTTCAAAGTTGCAGATTGAAAACCTCCATTGAAACAAATGCATTATGTCACTTGAAATAAGAGCATCTGTACATACTTCACAAAATAATTTTCTTTGTTCAGCAGAGGAAGGCCAGATGATGCAATATCTAGCTTCCAGCTGCGCCTTCCTCACTGGCAATTCAGCCTCTTTTAGCGCTATTTGAAAGACTCCTGACCACTTACTGTGCAATTTTGATGTGCTTACACTCAATTCTTCATCTCATCACTGACAAGGAATAGGGAACAGAAATTGTATGAGAATGCATGTGTCCACAAAGCAACAGAACGATGGTTATCTTTCCCTCAGGCATTATTTTTTAAACACAAACAGCACCAAAGGAAGAGGGAAATCAGTCAGAGGCCTTGGGGATTCAAATGGAGGAAATCCTCCTACAGGATGAAGCTACACATCCTATAGAAAGTACACAAACAGCATTGTAAGCTGGATGTTGTTATATTTCTCTGAAGTTTTACCTTTTCCAAACTCTTTAAACCATGAATTGTTTTATTCTGCCAAAATAGATGAGCTAATAATTTGGCTGCCTGCTATTAAGGGAGGTTAAAAGACAAGCAGAGAAAAGTCCCGTAAATAAAACATAACCAAAATATTTCCGTTGATTTAAATATAGTCTTAGCACTTTAGAATTGACAATACTATCAGGGCCAAATGTTGAATAACAAATAATCAAAATAAGAGTGTTGAGTTGAAACAGCTGTCAAATCGGCCATTTAATGAAGGAGAAAAAAATGTTACAATTGTTTCATAATGTGAAGACATCTGCATGTCTGATAAAATTTTTAACTTTTCAAATTGGTATGGAGGGGAGCATTATTATTGATTGCCATTGTCTAGCCTTTGATAGTTCTGAATCTAGAAAACTGGACTTTTACTTATTTTCTGAAACTTTGCCCCAAGATAGATCTCTATGCTCCGGTATAACAAAAAAAAATTTTAATAAACAAACAAGATTCATGGCTTCGAAATGTCTTATATGGACCTTCAAATGCTTCATGGTGCACCACCACTGGTGGGATGTGTCCTTCGTTTAGACTCTTAGAAGCAATCAGGTGTTTTTCCCTCTTACCCCTGCCCTCTGACCTGCATCCTATTGAGAGATGACAGCGTGCTGGCAGTCCTCACAGCCCTCGTTCGCTCTCGGCGCCTCCTCTGCCTGGGCTCCCACTTTGGTGGCACTTGAGGAGCCCTTCAGCCCACCACTGCACTGTGGGAGCCCCTTTCTGGGCTGGCCAAGGCCGGTGCCGGCTCCCTCAGCTTGCAGGGAGGTGTGGAGGGAGAGACGCAAGCGGAAACCGGGGCTGCGCGCGCGGCGCTTGTGGGCCAGCTGGAGTTCCGGGTGGGCGTGGGCTTGGCGAGCCCTGCACTCGGAGCAGCCGGCCGGCCCTGCGGGCCTGGGCAATGAAGGGCTTAGCACCCAGGCCAGTGGCTGCGGAGAGTGTACTGGGTCCCCCAGCAGTGCCGGCCCACCGGCACTGCGCTCGATTTCTCACCGGGCCTTAGCTGCCTTCCCGCGGGGCAGGGCTTGGGACCTGCAGCCCGCCATGCCTGAGCCTCCCACCCCCTCCGTGGGCTCCTGTGCGGCCCGAGCCTCCCCGATGAGCGCCACCCCCTGCTCCACGGTGCCCAGTCCCATCGACCAGCCAAGGGCTGAGGAGTGCCGGCGGACGACACCTGGACTGGCAGGCAGCTCCACCTGCAGCCCCGGTGCGGGATCCACTGGGTGAAGCCAGCTGGGCTCCTGAATCTGGTGGGGAAGTGGAGAACCTTTATGTCTAGTTCGGAGATTGTAAATACACCAATCAGCACCCTGTGTCTAGCTCAGGGTCTGTGAATGCACCAATCGACACTCTGTATCTAGCCACTCTGGTGGGGCCTTGGAGAACCTTTATGTCTAGCTCAGGGATTGTAAATACACCAATGGGCACTCTGTATCTAGCTCAAGGTTTGTAAACACACCAATCAGCACCCTGTGTCTAGCTCAGGGTTTGTGAATGCACCAATCAACACTCTGTATCTAGCTACTCTGGTGGGGCCTTGGAGAACCTTTGTGTCTAGCTCAGGGATTGTAAATACACCAGTCAGCACCCTGTCAAAACAGACCACTGGGCTCTACCAATCAGCAGGATGTGGGTAGAGCCAGATAAGAGAATAAAAGCAGGCTGCCCAAGCCAGCAGTGGCAACCCACTCGGGTCTCCTTCCACACTGGGGAAGCTTTGTTCTTTCGCTCTTTGCAATAAATCTTGTTACTGCTCACTCTTTGGGTCCACGCTGCTTTTATGAGCTGTAACACTCACCGTGAAGGTCTGCCGCTTTACTCCTGAAGCCAGCGAGACCAGGAGCCCACCAGGAGGAACAAACAACTCCAGACGCGCTGCCTTAAGAGCTGTAACACTCACTGCGAAGGTCTGCAGATTCACTCCTGAGCCAGCGAGACCACAAACCCACCAGAAGGAAGAAACTCCAAACACATCCAAACACCAGAAGGAACAAACTCCAGACAAGCCACCTTAAGAGCTGTAACACCGCGAGGGTCCGCGGCTTCATTCTTGAAGTCAGTGAGACCAAGAACTCACCAATTCCGGACACACTATCATGACTAGAGATGTGCACCGACGCCAAACCCAAAAAGTTAACTTTTTTTTTTTTTTTTTTTAAGATGGAGTCTCGCTCTGTTGCCCAGGCTGAAGTGCAGTGGCGCGATCTCGGCTCACTGCAAGCTCCTCCTCCCGGGTTCAGGCGATTCTCCTGCCTCAGCCTCTGGAGTAGCAGGGACTTCAGGTGCCCGCCACCACGCCTGGCTAATTTTTTGTATTTTTAGTAGAGACGGGGTTTCACCGTGTTAGCCAGGATGGTCTCGATCTCCTGACCTTGTGATCCGTCCGCCTCAGCCTCCCAAAGTGCTGGGATTACAGGCATGAGCCACCGCGCCCGGCCCCAAAGTTAACCATTCTTTAACCCAAAAAGCTAGGTGGGTTTTTGCTTGTTTGTTTTGTTTCTGTTTTCAAACCAGCACGACCTGTGGTGACCAGTAATGGGAAAAATGGAAGAAGCTCTCTAATCCTGTCCGCAGCTTCCCTGCCCATCACTCGTGCACACCCACATCCCCCTCAGGCCCACAGGGTTACTTTATGATGACCACTGGCATGTTTAGATTTCTCAGATGTAGGAAGAACTTCAAAGCACAAATTCCTTTCATGGGGACACAAGTTTTAAACTATGTTTCATAACTGTGAGCAATAGAAAAAATGGGGCCATCTAGGGATACACACTTAACATTCCTGGGACTCTGGACATACCACAATGCTCACATAATTCTGTAACTAGAATGTTATAGTAAGCTTTTTGCTCTAAGCAATTCATGGCAGATAATTTAAATAGACATCAAATCTAATGTGTTGTGAAGAGAAATGCTGCCTGTGGCTTCTTGGTTCTTTATGAGAGTCAGTGTATGCAAGCATCTAGTGTAGTTCCTGGCCCACGTTAGACCTTGAGCCCTTCTTCCAAATGAGCCTCAGCTGCACAGAGGCTGTGAAATGCTTCCAGCTAGTTTCCCTCCCATTGCAAACAGATCTTGGCCTAACACCTGCTCAAAGTCCACTTATGTCACCCCATCTGTGTTTCTCAAAATCGGATCTACAGCCCACCTCCATCTCAAGCACTTGGTGGGGTGAGAGTTAAAAATGCAGATTTCTAGGCCCTTCTCCAGGCCTACAGAATCCAAAGCTCTGGGAAAGGGGCCTAAGGATCCACCTTTTTATCAAGCTCCCAAAGTCATTCACTAAAGCTTGAGAATCCCTGATATAGAGCTTCACAGTTCTATCCCTCTATTAACTTAAACCCTGGAAAAAGAATTTCTGCACAATGTCAACAGAGCCTGTTACAAAAATGACTTCATTGTTACTTAAAGTTATGCTCTCTGTCTTTATGGATGTCTAATTCAAGAGCCATCTGAGGGCTCATTTCAGTATCTTTTATACTGAAGTTAAGATTCTGTTCACTCCATAAATCTCTGTATTTTATACAAGAACCCATACCATTCATTGGTCATTTCATTTATTTGCATGGAGAAAAAAAAATTATCTGCTGATGGATTTATTTGCTTCCTGTTGTCAGAAAATGAAAAATATATAACTGTGTTTCTCTTACAGCTTTAGCTACTGGAAATCGTGTAGCAATTTTCTTACCTAAGTGTGGCAGTCTGTTCAATTCTGTGCTCCATATATATTTACTGTTTCTTCTCCTTTGGGGTGAACTCTGTTTTGTTTCACATTTAAATGGCATAGGCAGTGACTTCTGAACCACTTTAGACAGGGTATAAATTTTTACAAACTAGAGAGCATTTTCTTGCAGTGTTGTATTCTTGGCATGCAGCAATTCCTGAATAGCCACTTGAGTCCAGATAAGAACTTGCTTGTTGTAGGATGCAGGACTAGTAGTACTGTGTTCTGTGCAATGGGTCTCTTCATAGGTTTGGATACTTGGGTCCGATTATATTTGTTTTGCTCATCTGCTTTTACAAATGCAAGCCAGAGACAGGGAATTATGATGCGCTTCCAATGCTTTCAGAATCCACTCGCCCTTTGTAGACCATGAATTTCTGAAGCAACATAGAGTCTCCATGGCTACCTGACAAAATTACTAAGGCTGCCAGCGCCTGCTTCTATGTGACTGAGTGTGAACTAAACAAATTACTACAGCCAACACAAGTAGAGGATTTGCATCTCTGACTCCTGTAGGGGGAGATGTTGAGCATCCAGCTGAAGCCCAGCAATATTCCTGGCAGTGGCTGTATCAAGATTTGCTTTGGTGGTAGCCAAACCCTCATGCATAGGACGTAGCCCCATGAGTCATTTTCACCCCCAAACCTCCTACTGTTTATTAATCACTTATGGCAACCACATACTCATGGTGAAGTTTTAGTTGGAACAGCAATGAATTTTGCTTAACTTTGCTTCCCTGTATGAGTCCTGCGCTTCCCTCAGCACCCAACACCAAAGCACTAGTTACTTAACTGACTCTTTCAATGTCCCCAGAAGTTTCTTTTTAAATTATTTTATTTATTTTATTTTTACAAAAATTCAGGTGGTAAAAATATGGAATGCTTCAGGAATTTGCGTGTCATCCTTGCACAGAGACCATGCTAATCTTCTCTGTATCATTCCAATGTTAATATATGTGCTTCTGAAGTGAGTACTCAGAAGTTTCTTTATACATACCTATCATGAGACAGCTTCCATTTCAGTCCAACTCAAATACAATGAAGAAATCCTCTTTGAAATATCCCTGCTGAACTGTTATTATCCACACCACCTAATAACAAAATTCCTTAAGGGCAGTATGGCCTAGGGTTTAAGTGCACACACTTTGGGTTCAAAAAGACCAGGATTCAAATCCTGGTCCTGCCTCTTACTATATGTGTGTCATTGGGCAACTTACACAATCTCTCTAAGACCAGTTTCTTCATCTGCAAAGTATGGATATTAGTAGTACTATTTCAAGAGTAGTTATTATAACCAAATGATTTAAGAATTTAGCACATAGTAAGCACTTAATAAAATAGTATTTATTAGTACTCACAGAGTAATCTGCTCTGAGATGAACAGCTCTATTGATAGCAAGTTCTTTCTTATATTAAACAGATAAAACTTTGTCCCATTTGTCTCACTCTTTCTTCCTAGTTCTGCCTTCAGAAGCTATCCAGAATAAGTATATTCCTTATTCCACACAACAGCACTTTGAATATTTGAGGGAGGTATATTTGAGAACAGGTATCATTTTTTTCCAGTTTGACTTTATCTAGTTCCTTCAACTGTGTCCCACATGACTTTGGATCTGTCACCATCTGTGGCAGAGCTAGCTAGATGCTCCCCAATCCCATTTCCTCTTCTTGGGCATACAAGAATACCCTAGCCATTGGGTTGGGGCATGTGACTGGGTTTCGGCCAATAAAGCAAGATTAAACGTATGTGTGCTATTTCTATGCCAGGCCATGTGTCTTATGAGATCTTCCTTGATCTCTTTCACTCATTGACTTGCTTAGTGCAGAGGATCCAGTGGAAAATTCTCAGGACACATAAGAGGCATGGAATCTGTGAGATGGAAGACGCTTGAATCCCTGCGTCAGCACATAGAAGGCTACCTCTCGTGCACCTGTCAGACTGTGGCATGAGTGTTGTATTAAGCCATTAAGACTTGAGAGTTGGGCCAGGTGCAGTGGCCCATACCTGTAATCCCAGCACTTTGAGAAGCTAAGGTGGGAGGACTCCTTGAGTCCAGGCATTTGAGACCAGCCTGGGCAACATAGCAAGACCCCCATCTCTACAGAAAACTTAAAAATTAGCTGGGTGTGGTGGCTCTCTTGTAGTCCCAGCTACTTAGGAGGCTGAGGTGGGAGGATAGGTTGAGCCCAGGAGGTCGAGGCTGCAGTGAGCCATGATCACGACACTGCACTCCAGCCTGGGTGAAAGAGCAAGACCTTGTCTTAAAAAAGAAAAAAAAAGCTTGAGTGTTTATTTATCACTGCAATATATCCTAGCCTGCCATGGCTAATGTATCTTTGTAGTTACCATTCTCTGGACATGCACTAGCCTGTCAATATCACTTTTAAAAGGTGATATCCAGAAATGAACACAATTTTTCAAATGTGACCTGATCCTGATGGAATAAAACTGGAAAACTACTTTCTTCTTTTGTTGTTGTTGTTTTTTTCCTGAGTACCATATTTATTTTTTTTAGTGCTTTCCAAAGTTGCCTTATGCTTAGCAACCACATTACACATACACAGGTGGCACAAGCTACATTTGTAGTTAACTAAAAACACTGCAGTATTTTTCAAGCCAACTGCCATCAAGCTAAGTGTGGCACAGTCAGTGTTCACCAAATATCCCATTTGCTTTCCTGCACTTCCCAGCCTCCCTCACAGTTTGGTTGGGGCCATCCATGTTTATAGTTTCAGGAGCAGAAATAAAGTGTCACTCCTGGGCCAAGGCAGTTAAAAGCCAGTATGCCTCTTCCATTCCTCTCTTCCCCTGCTGCAGATACCTTGGAGGACACATTCCACGTGAAGGTAGGCTTCCCATCAGACTTTGCATCAATGAGAAATAAATGTCTACTCTTTAAAATACTGAAATTTCACAGTCTGTTTGTTGTGGTATCTAACATTAGTTAACCTGACTCCTCAGTGAGAGGTGAAGCCAGCTGGACTTCCTGGGTCGAGTGGGGACTTGGGGAACTTTTCTGTCTTACAAGAGGTTTGTAAAATGCACCAATCAATGCTCTGTAAAAATGCACCAATCAGTGCTCTGTAGCTAGCTAGAGGTTTGTAAAATGCACCAATCAGCACTCTGTAAAATGGACCAATCAGCAGGACATGGGTGGGGACAAATAAGGGAATAAAAGCTGGCCACTCCAACCAGCAGTGGCAACCTGCTTGGGTCCCCTTCCGCGCTGTGGATCCTTTGTTTTTTTGCTTTTCACAATAAATCTTGCTGCTGCTCACTCTTTGTGTCCCTGCCACCTTTAAGAGCTGTAACACTGTGAAGGTCTGTGGATTCATTCTTGAAGTGAGTGAGACCATGAACCCACAGGAAGGAACCAACTCCAGACACACCAGGCTGCTACTTGTGCACTTTAATTTTTGCACTTTTGCACTTTAATTCAAAACGTTGTATTTATTTTTATTAACTTTTAAATTTTTTACTCATGAATTACATACCTACAGAAAAGTGCCATTATCATAAGTGAATTAATTCAATACATTTTAACACACCCACCGAATGCCCATGTGTAACTAACAAAAAAAAAATTACCAAACCTCAGAAGCCCCTTCACACCCTCTGGCAGCTACTGTCTGCCCAAGAGTAACCACTCCCCTGCCTTCTAGCAGCCAGATTATTTTTGTGTTTTGCGTTTTATATACACGGAATCATACTGTGTGTACTCTCTTGCCCAGTATCACATTTGTAAGTTTCATCCACAATGTCTTTTTTTTTTTTTTTTTTTTTTTTTTGAGACAGGAGTCTCACTCTGTCGCCCAGGCTGGAGTGCAGTGGGGCGATCTCGGCTCACTGCAAACTCCGCCTCCTGGGTTCACGCCATTCTCCTGTCTCAGCCTCCCAAGTAACTGGGACTACAGACGCCTGCCACCATGCCCCGCTATTTTTTTGTATTTTTAGTAGAGACGGGGTTTCACCGTGTTAGCCAGGATGGTCTCGATCTCCTGACCTCGTGATCCGCCCGCCTCGGCCTCCCAAAGTGCCTGGATTACAGGCGTGAGCCACTGCGCCCAGGTTTTTGGGGTTTTTTTTTGAGACGGAGTCTCGCTCTTTTGCCCAGGCTGGAGTGCAGTGGCGCGATCTCGGCTCACTGCAAGCTCCGCCTCCCAGGTTCACGCCATTCTCCTGCCTCGGCCTCCCGAGTAGCTGGGACTACAGGCGCCCACCACCGCACCCAGCTAATTTTTTGTATTTTTAGTAGAGACGGGGTTTCACCATGTTAGCCAGGATGGCCTTGACCTGACCTCGTTATCTGCCCGCCTCGGCCTCCCAAAGTGCTGGGATTACAGGCGTGAGCCACTGCGCCCAGCCCCATCCACAGTGTCTTGTATGGCTATTGTTGGTTCATTTTTGTTGTTAGAACTACTCCATTATGTAATTATACTGCCTCTTCATTCTCTTAATGGTATATTTGATAAAACAAAATTTCTTAATTTTAATATAGTCTAATTAACCAATTTTTTTCTTTATAATTAGCACATTTCATGTCCTGTTTAAGCTATCCTTGCCTACTCCAGAATCATGGACTCGTTCTACTACATTTCCTTTTAAAAACTTTATTGTTTTACTTTTAAAATTTAGATTGACAACTCACCTGGAATAAAATTTTGGGGCATGGTATGAGGCAGAAATCAAAATACACTTTTTTCGTTTGGATATCCAGCTGACCCAACACCTTGTATTGACAAGACCATCGTTTCTGTTAAAGGATGCATTGAAGGACTTTTTTTTTTTTAATCATAAGTCAGGCAAAATGCATGTGCGGATTCTGTTTCTAGACTTTCTATTCCGTTTCTTTTGGTCATTTTGCTTTTCCTTTGCCAATACTACATGTTTTAATCAGCCTTGAGATATCTGATGATGTATATCCTTTAATTTGGTTCTGCTTCTAAAATACTTTTACTATTGTAGGTTCTTTGTATTTCCACACGTATTTTGAACTACCTGGGCAATCTCTGCAAAATAATCTGTAGTGTTTTGACCGGAATTTTGTTGAATCTATTTATTTATTTGTGTAGAACTCACTTCTTCCCCTCCCCGCCCTGCCCCCTGCCCCCTGAGATGAAGTCTCGCTCGCTGTGTCGCCCGGGCTGGAGTGCGGTGGCGTGATCTCGGCTTGCTGCAACTTCTACCTCCTAGGTTCAAGCAGTTCTCCCTGCCTCAGCCTCCTGAGTAGCTGGGATTACAGGCACCTGCCATCACGCCTGGCTAATTTGTGTATTTTTTAGTAGAGATGGAGTTTCATCATGTTGGCCAGGCTGGTCTTGAACTCCTGACCTCAGGTGATCCACCCGCCTTGGCCTCCCAAAGTGCTGGGATTATAGGCTTGAACCACCGCACCTGGCCAGAACTCACTTTTTTATAATACTGAGTCTTCCAACCCATTAGTCTGGTCTCTTCCTCTGCTTGTTTAGGCGTTCTTTTAATTTCTCCCAATAATGTTTTGTAATGTTTAGAGTAAAAGTCTTGCATGTGTCTTTTGTTACATGTATATCTAGGTAGTTAATAGTTTTTTTGCTGTTGCAATTGGCATTTTATTTTCTATTTGTTTGTTGCTGGTATATAAAAATACAATGATTTTTGTATATATGTCTTGTATCCAGAGACCTTGCCAAATTCATATATCAATATAATTTGTCTGTCGTTTCTTTTAGACTTTCTACATATGCAGTCATGTTATCTGTGAGTGATGACACTTTGTTTCCTCCCTTCCGATCCTTATGCCTCTCTCTAGTGCATTTTATCTTTCATTTTTAAGTCTAAAATTCCAACTGGTTGAGATAATTTCAAATCATGATTTTATAACCCAGAATATTATCCGCTTCCCCACAATTTGTCAAATTTGTGAATAACAAAGGTGCATTCTGTGTGCTCATTCAAATCAGTGTCCAATAAAATTTTTTTTTTTTTTTTGAGACGGAGTCTCGCTCTTTCGCCCAGGCCGGAATGCAGTGGCGCGATCTTGGCTCACTGCAAGCTCTGCCTCCTGGGTTCACGCCATTCTCCTGCCTCAGCCTCCCAAGTAGCTGGGACTACAGGCGCCAGCCACCGCGCCCGGCTAATTTTTTGTATTTTTAGTAGAGACAGGGTTTCATCGTGTTAGCCAGGATGGTCTCCATCTCCTGACCTCGTGATCCGCCCGCCTCGGCCTCCCAAAGTGCTGGGATTATAGGCACGTGCCACCGCGCCCAGCCAAAAATTTTTAAATAAGGCTGAAAACAAAGCCATGGAGAAGACCCCAGGAGATTTACTTCCAGGTTGAAACTAATCAATTAGTTCTCTTTGGATGCAAGTATTCAGACTATCACTTGATCCATCTAAATGCGCCTCAGTCAGTATCCATTTCTTCTCTAAAATAGCATGAGCTATTTCATCAAATTTTACTTGAAATCAATGTATATTATGGGCTGACAATTCTCTTATCTCTTTAGACTGAAGATCTTATGAAAGATGTAAAATCTTTACTCCTCTCTTAATGAATAACTATAATGACCTCTTGGTGATGACTACTTCTCTTTCTAAGTAATCATAAAATATCTGCTTAAGAATTTATTCTGGCATTTTACTAGGAACCTATGTTTTCATGGATATGAATTTGCTGGAAGCCACTTTTCTCTCCTTTGGGGGGACTTCATGTACCAAGCTGCTCATTTCTAGTTTCCTATCATGTTTCCTAGCCTCTACAGCTTTTAAGAAATTATTAATAATGATTTGAGAGTGCAAATAATGCAAGTGACTTCAGTTCTGTGAGTTATAATCTGTCTGTGGTTGAGAATGTAAATTCCCTCAATGCAGCAAGTAAATATCTAATCATGTCCTCATTTAGTGTATCGCTCAGGGTCCCGGCAGGACATAGAATCCCCTCCTCACCCCCCAGAGGGATAATGTGAAGAGACTTTAATAGAAGGACAACTTACAGGGATGTGGGCAGAGTTAAGGAAACAGACAGGGATGGTGCAGCCCCCAGAGATAATGGAAAGCTGGTTAAGACTCTGAATGAGTCAGGGTGGCAGAAAGAACTAGATGACCCACTTAAACTAGGTAATTGAGGGAAGGGACCACTTACAAAGCTGTGGGCAGTGTTTAAGATATACAAGAAGTGATGATTCAATATCTTGGGGGCTAGTAAGGACAGGGGAAGTGAATATCCCTGGGTCTGAATGAATAAGTGGAGGAAACTATTGTTAGAATCCACAGAGATTGTAGTATAGGACAGCCCTGACAGCAGCACTGTGTGGCCTTTCGTAGAGGCCCACTGTCCACAGCCAACCCAGCATTGTTGGGGAGGGGGTGTCAGAGGTATATGAGGACAGGGGAGTGAATGCCCCAATCTCACCCTCCTCACTCTGAAATCCAGCTAATGCCTCTTATTGGCCGAGCCCACTTGGATGCCAGAGGAAAGGGAAGCTTTTAGTGAAGTCCATACAGGAGAGCCACCTGGGGACAGAGCAAGCTGGAGGATGGGGGTGAGTGGATTCAGAAGAGCAAAGAATAGCCAGCACAGCCCCTTAAGCCCAAAGGGCAAGAGAAGGAAGTGTTGTTGCTAGAACTGTCTGCAAACAAACTGGAACAGGAGGGTCCATTGGTGTGAAGGAATGAGACACCAAAGCCGGGGAGGGTGCTAGGAAGAAACACCCCAGCTTCTCTCTCACCCAGCTCCGAACTGTCCACCAGTGCTTCCCACTGGCCAAACCCAACAAGAAGGCAATTAGCAAGAGAGCCCGTGTGACACAGAGAAGGGTAGAGATGAAGACGAACCAGCGCCCTTAGCCTGAAGAATCCTCTTAGCCATGTTTACTTCACATGCCTCAGTTGAGAGGTTAGTTTATTTCACATGCCCCGGTTCTAAAAAACAGGGAAATAAAATCAGAATTGAGTGACTCTCTCTTTTTAGTGTCATCTGATATACCAACCTGGCCAAATAGTAGGCTCTCCTTCCTTTTTCTCCTATTAGGAAGCTCTTCAAAAGTTCTTTGTGTTATCCTTAGAATTCCTCACGAGTCATTGCATTCCATGTTTCAGACGCTCACACATTTAAAAAATACTTATGAGCTTTTGCCTAGTGGTAAAGTCTGTGCTAGAAAATCACGGGATATGGCTTTGAACAAGCACAGCCAGAGTGCAGTGCACGGGTGACCTCGACTCAAGGACCCTACAGACCACTCTTCCTCCGACCGTCCTACGGACAATCTCTTTCTAACCTGGGAAAGTCCTGTGCTCCCTAGACACTCTGCCCCTACCCAAGAAAGCTGTCTTCCTTTTTGCTTAAGGAAGCCTCAAATTCTTGGAAACAAAAGATAGAAAGTCTTAGATATTTTACCACACTACAAATCTCTTCCAAGACAAGGAAGCTTAGGGTCGCTTTCTTTCTCAAACAGGGATAATTGGAAAAGAGAAAACATCATGAGAAAAAAATATAAGAACTGATGACCCAGTGACATTTGGCTGCTTTCTCACCTTCCATTGCTTGGGTGTGTCCTTTTAAACTCTGCGCTCGCCAGCAAACTCCTCTACCACTTCGCTGTCTCTGTTCGTTGTTTCCGCTTCTTCCTCACTATAATCATTTTCAACACATTCTCAAGATTTCATTTTAAGAAATGCCCATCACTTTGTATCATCAATCCTTTTGGAGTCTCTGGTCATAAGAAAACCCCAAAAAACATTGTGAAATGAGTTTTCATATATAGGACAAACCCAATGTTGGCCTCATTGACTATTCAATGGCCTGTAAAATTGGTATAATCACTTTTTCCCCCAATGTTGGCTTAACTTTCACAGCAACTATCTATTCATTGCTGATCAATTATTTCAGAGATATGGTTCTTCTCATTTTATCCTCTGTATCCTGGAGGATTGAATCATCAATAAATCTGTTTTTTAAAAGAGAAAACACATAAAGTGTTTATTTTGGGAGATTGAGACTTCCAACAAAAGTCCAGTGGTGCTATTCGGTGCGTAAGAATAAAGAAACTTAAATATATACCTGACAATAAATAATAGCACATTAAACATGCCAATGTGGAGTTCGCAAGCCAAAGTTGCCCACGAGGGAGTCCTGTGTCTTGTGGAAATAGTCCTGCATGAGTACTTTCACCCTGGTTCACCAATGGCTGGAAGCAGCCCACAGGAAGTTTGGCCTCAGTGTGAACACAGTGCTATCCAGTAGGATAGCAGCCGGGGTCATCAGGCAATTGTGTTCCCTGCATCAGGATGTCTGATTAACGTGTTTGCATGGCCATCACAACCATATTAATAGATTAAAATTAGAAAAGCCATAAGATTAGCTTTTAAAATAAAAAGATGAAAAAATACTTGTTTTAGTCCAATGTTCATTGTTATTTTTAAAGAATGCTTAGCAAACTGGTGTGATTCCATCCTGCGTGGCTGTTCTCTTGAGCAGCGGTTGTTTATCTCCATCTGCCTTTTCTCCCATCTAAGTGCATGCTGCCACGCGATGGAAGATTTGATGGACATGGACATGAGCCTCCTGAGGCCCCAGAACTATCTTTTCGGTTGTGAACTAAAGGCCGACAAAGATGATCACTTTAAGGTGGATAATGATGAAAATGAGACCAGTTATCTTTAAGAATAGTCAGTTTAGGGGCTGGTGCAAGGGATGAATTGCACATTGTTGAAGCAGAGGCCATGAATGATGAAGGCAGTCCAATTAAAGTCACACTGGCAACTTTGAAAATGTCTGTACAGCCAACTGCTTCCCTTGGGGGCTTTGAAATCACACCACCAGTGGTCTTACAGTTGAAGTGTGGTTCAGGGCCAGTGCATATTAGTAGACAGTGCTTAGTAGCTGTGGAGGAAGATGCAGAGTCAGAAGATGAAGAGGAGGAGGATGTGAACCTCTTAAGCATATCTGGAAAGCGGTCTGCCTCTGGAGGTGGTAGCAAGGTTCCACAGAAAAAAGGAAAACTTGCTGCTGATGAAGATGATGATGATGATGATGATGATGATGATGATGAAAATGATAATGATTTTGATGATGAGGAAGCTGAAGAAAAGCACGAGTAATCTATATGAGATACTCGAGCCAAAGATGCACAAAAGTCAAATCAGAATGGAAAAGGCTCAAAACCATCATCAACACCAAGATCAAAAGGACAAGAATCCTTCAAAAAACAAGAAAAAACTCCCAAAACACCAAAAGGACCTAGTTCTGTAGAAGACATTATAGCAAAAATGCAAGTAAGTATAGAAAAAGGTGGTTCTCTTCCCAAAGTGGAAGCCAAGTTCATCAATTATGTGAAGAATTACTTCCAGATGACTGAGCAGGAGGCTACTCAAGATCTCTGGCAATGGAGGAAGTCTTTTTAAGAAAATAGTTTAAACAATTTGTTAAAAATTTTCCGTCTTATTTCATTTCTGTAACAGATGATATCTGGCTGTCCTTTTTATAATGCAGAGTAAGAACTTTCCCTACCATGTTTGATAAATGTTGTCCAAGTTCCATTGCCAAGAATATGTTGCCCAAAATGCCTGTTTAGTTTTTAAAGATGGAACTCCACCCTTTGCTTGGTATGGAATGTTATGATAGGACATAGTAGTAGCAGTGGTCAGACATGGAAATGGTGGGGAGACAAAAATATACACGTGAAATAAAACTCAGTATTTAAAAAAAAATACTTAGCAAATAGGACCCGAAGTGAACATACTTCACTGGAAAAGCTCATCTACAAAAAAAAAATCCAAAAGAATATGCCGAAAAACTATCATAATTAAAAAGAGGGTTTGGCAAGAATGTTAGATATAAAATCAATATATAAAAGTCAGTTGTGTTACGGTACAACATAAACAAAATATTAAGAAATGTATCTTCAATAAGGTTTTTTAAACTTTCTTCTTGAAGTTATTGCATATATTTTCCAAATTTATTCCTAGATACCTTATTTTAATTCTTTTTAAAGTGGTATAGTTTTAGAACACTAAATATATGCAGCAGTATGCTATGTATTTAGATGTGAAAATTTAATGTATAAATATATGTAAGTACATAAATACTTTCTCCCCAAATTGACCTTTAAAGTTAATGAAATTCCAATCCTAATACCAATAAGATTTTTCACAGAACTTGGTAAGTTAACTCTAAAATTTACATAAAACAAATAGCCAAGGTACTCCTGAAGAGGACCATCAGAAAGCAAGATTTATTATAGAGCCATAGTTATCAGGGGAAGTCAATTTTAGGTCAACAAAATGGAGTTAACTGAAACAAAATAGAGAGTCCATAAATAGACCCACATCCACATGTGGGTGGCATTACACATCAGTAAAATGGTGGAACAAATGAAGATCTACATTGAAAAAATAAAAGTGTATCCCAACTTCATACTATCTTCAAAAAAATCAATTTCAAATACATTGTGGACTTATATGTGAAAGACAAACTTAAAAACCTTTAGAGAAAATATGTTTATGATCTCAGGTAAGAGATTTTTAAAAATGGAACCCAAACACACAAACTTAAAAGGAAAACACTTTAGGCAGAAATTATCAATTTTATCTCAGCCAAGACGACATCGTAAAGGTCATGTAAAGATAAAACACAAAATGGAAATATGCGCTTGTAACACATAAATAACAAAGAACCAGAATTCAGAAAATATGAAGAACTCCTTAAAGTAGAGGAAAAATAGGGAGAAAAAAAAAGCACAGAAAAAAATGGATAGAAGGCTTATACTGGAATTTTACATAAGAGAAAACATAAATAGCCAAAAAACATAAAATGTACTCAACCTGATTTGTAACCTGAAAAATACGAAGTAAAACATATCGAGATACTTTTTTTTTTTTTTTTTAGATGGAGTCTCACTCTTGTCGCCCAGGCTGGAGTGCAGTGGCACAATCTTGGCTCACTGCAACCTTTGCCTCTTGGGTTCAAGCAATTCTCCTGCCTCAGCCTCCTGAGTAGCTGGGATTACAGGAGCCTGCCACCACGCCCGGCTAATTTTTGTACTTTTAGTAGAGACGGGGTTTTGCCATGTTGGCCAGGCTGGTCTCAAACTCCTGACCTCAGGTGATCCGCCCGCCTTGTCCTCCCAAAGCGCTGGGAGAGATACTGTTTTATACCCATCAGGCTAATAAAAATTAAATGAGTCATGTTGGCAATGATGTGGGGAAAAGGAAATCTTTAACAACTCTATTGAGGTATAATTGATATACAAAGAACCAGACATATTTAATGTAGGCAAGTTGATGGGTTTAAATAAATACAAACACCTGTGATATCATCACAATTAAGATAATAGACATATCAAACACTTGCCCAAAGTTTTCTTGTGCCCTTTTGTTTTTTTGTTTTGTTTATTCGTTTTGTTTTGTTTTGGTTTTAGCAGTACAAACACTTGAGATCTATCGTCTTCACCAATTGTTTTTTGTTTGTTTGTTTGTTTGTTTGTTTGTTTTTTGAGACGGAGTCTCTCTGTCGTCCAGGATGGAGTGCAGTGGCAGCAACCTCGGCTCACTGCAAGCTCCGCCTCCCAGGTTCACGCCATTCTTCTGCCTCAGCCTCCTGAGTAGCTGGGGCTACAGGTGCCCGCCACCATGCCCAGCTAATTTTTTGTATTTTTAGTACAGACGGGTTTTCACCATATTAGCCAGGATGGTCTCCCTCTCCTGACCTCATGATCTGCCCGCCTCGGCCTTCCAAAGTGCTGAGATTACAGGCGTGAGCCACCACGCCCGGCCCCTTTTAACCAATTTTTAAGTGCGCAAGACTGTATTGTTAACTATAGGCACCATATTGTGCAGATCTCTAGAACTTACTTGTCTAGCATAACCCAAACTTTATACACTTTGACAACAGCTCCCCACTTCTCCCATGCCCTAGTCCCTAAACCACTATTGTATTCTCTGCTTCTATGAGTTTGACTATTACAAATACCTTATACAGCTAGAATCATGCAGGATTTGTCCTTCTGTGACTGGTTTATTTCACTTAGCGTACTGTCCTCCAGGTTGAACCGTGTCACAAATGACAGGATTTCCTTCTTTTTTTAAGGCTGAACTGTATTCCATGGTATGTACATACCACATTTCCTTCATCCGTTCATCTGTTCATGGATATTTGTGTTGCTTCTGGTTATCCTGGTTGTATCCTGGTTATGGTGGGAAAAAAAACTGCAATGAAAGTGGGAGTGCTATGATCGCTTCAAGATCTTGATTTCAATTATTTTGGATGTAAACCCAGAAGTAGGATTGCTGGATCATATGGTTCTATTTTTAATGTTTGAAGGATTCTCCATACTGTTTTCTATAGTGGCTGCACCATTTGATATTCCCATCAACAATTTTTTTTATAATAACCATTCTTACAGGTATGAAGTGATATCTCATTGTAGTTTTGATTTGTATTTCCCTCATAATTAATGATGTTGACCATCTTTTCATATATTTGTTGGCAATTTGCATGTCTTCTTTAAATAAATGTCTGCTCAAATCTTTTGCCTATTTTTTGTTGTTATTGAGTTGTAAGAGTTTCTGGCCGGGCACGGTGGCTCAAGCCTGTAATCTCAGCACTTTGGGAGGCCAAGGCGGGCGGATCACAAGGTCAGCAGATCGAGACCATCCTGGCTAACACGGTGAAACCCCGTCTCTACTAAAAATACAGAAAATTACCCGGGCGTGGTGGCAGGCGCCTGTAGTCCCAGCTACTCGGGAGGCTGGGGCAGGAGAATGGCGTGAGCCCGGGAGGCGGAGCTTGCAGTGAGCGGAGATCGCGCCACTGCACTCCAGCCTGGGCTAAAGAGCAAGACTCCGTCTCAAAAAAAAAAAAAAGAGTTTCTTATATATCTTAGAAATTAACTCCTTGGCAGATATATATATGGTTTAAAAATATTTTCTCTGACATGGATGAAATTGGAAATCATCATTCTCAGTAAACTATCGCAAGAACAAAAAACCAAACACCGCATATTCTCACTCATAGGTGGGAATTGAACAATGAGATCACATGGACACAGGAAGGGGAATATCACACTCTGGGGACTGTGGTGGGGTGGGGGGAGGGGGGAGGGATAGCATTGGGAGATATACCTAAAGCTAGATGACGAGTTAGTGGGTGCAGCACACCAGCATGGCACATGTATACATATGTAACTAACCTGCACAATGTGCACATGCACCCTAAAACTTAAAGTAAAATTAAAAAAAAAAAATTTTCTCTCATTCTTTTTGTTACCTTTTCATTCTGTTGTTTCCTTTACTGTGAAGATTTTAACTTGATGTAGTCCCACTTGTCTGTTTTTGCTTTTGTTGCCTATGCTTTTGGAGTCATGTCCAAGAAATCAACACCAAGACCAACGTCAACAAGCTGTTCTTTTATGTGTTCTTCTAGGAGTTTTACAGTTTCAGATAATCCTAAACATTGCTAATGGTAAAGAGGATTGACACAATAACTGGAAAACAATTTGCCATTATCTAGAAAAGTTGAAATTTAACACAACCTAAAATGCAGCAATTCCATTCCTAGATATATGTCCTTTAAAGAAAATCTTCCACTCATGCACAAGGAGACATATAATAGCCTGATTCCTTAAAATAGAAAAGAAAAAGAAAAGGAAAACAACTAAAATTGGAAGGATATGTTCAAACAATGGAAAAACTGTGAGAGTGGAAATGAATAGCATCAGTATGGATAACTATCTCAAATCTAATACTGAGCAAAAAAGCAAGTTGCAGAAGAAAACATAGAATATGATTCTACATAAAGGTCAAAACATGCAAAACTAAAAAACATATTGCTTTAAAATGCATACATATATGTTAAAATTAAAGAAAAGCAAGAAAATGATAAAAACACAAATCAATGTTTATCTCTGATAAGGAGAGAGGGAGATGGAATAGAGGAGGGATGCAAGGAACTTCCCATGTAGGCAATCTTCCATGCAATAGAAAATAAATATTTTCTATTTCTTATTCTAGGACAGGTGGATACAGGTTTTCATTACATCATCATACTTTGAACCACATATATATGTGTGGACACATATTATACATTTATTATTTGAACTCTTTTTATGGATGGTGTATTTTGCCAAAAAATAATAACACTTTTAAGAAAAAAAGAAAAGCTCATGAAGGCTTTTGACCCTTTACCTTTCTTCCCAAATTGCACATAGATATGATTCCTGAAATGAAGCAGATGCCTTGCAAGTTTGAAGACAATAGCCAAACCCTAAAATGGTGGCATCTGAAGAAAGAAAAAGCCTGGGCTTTGATCATGTGATTCAGCTCCTGTACCAGTCATGGACAACCTACCAAACTTCTTGTGATGCTATTACCAAAACTCCAAGGGTCTGTGGTCTACGTCCTGCTGCTTGCTGCACAGAAAGCCAATTGCTGAGATGCCAATTACTGCCAGGGAAGAAGGCTTTAATCAGGTGCTGCAGCTGAGAAGGTGGAAGAGCAGTCTCAAATCCATTTCCTTGACCAACTGAAATTAGGGGTTTACCTAGCAGGGAAGAAATGTACCTTTGTGTGGGAAAACAGGAACTACTGAGAGGTAAGGAAGCAATTATGACAAGTGAGGGGTCTGGCACCTCATTGTCTAGATGGATAATCTGGTGAGTTTCAGTTATTTGATATTTTTTCAGAATCCTGAGGGTTGTTTCCTAAGTTAGGAACTCAGATAAAACAAATGTTAAGTTTTAAGCTTTAAGACCAGAAGGGTTAATTGCTATGTTTATCGACAACAACAACAAAAAAACCTGTCTATGGGACTATTGGGTCAATTTCTATGGAGGAATTTGTTACTAAAGTAGAGCTGTATTTTATACTCATCTGAATGAAATCTTTAAGAATAAAGTGTTAATGAAATTCTTAGAATTCTAGTCCCAACTGTAGTCTTCTCTCATGATCTTCAGATCACATTCTTGTCAATGACAGGTTTTTGGTTTTGGGTTTTTTTTTTTTTTTTTTTTTTTTGAGACAGAGTCTCACACTGTTGCCCAGGCTAGGGTACAAGGGTGCAATCTCAGCTCACTAGCTCACTCCAATCTCTGCCTCCCGGGCTCACATGATACTCCTGCCTCAGCCTCCCAAGTAGCTGGAGCTACAGACATGCACCACACAATTTTTGCATTTTTTGTAGAGACAGGGTTTCACCATGTTGCCCGTGCTGGTCTCAAACTCCTGGACTCAAGGGATCCACCCGCCTTGGCCTTTCAAAGTGCTGGGAGTACAGCCTTGAGCCACCACACCTGGTGATATGTTGATTCTTGAATCAGGCCTAACACAACAGACCAACAACAAAGCATTCAAATTCCTCTGGTGCTAGTAATTCCATTTTAAATTACACTTTCTATTTCAACCACATGCTTCGTTAACTACACATCTATTGGTGTAGCTCATTGTGCTCCTAACTCATTACTACATAGATCCATGCAAATTCTGAAATATCAGGAAATGCAAAGCTCCTATGGAGAAATATGTTCTGGAACATTATCTGCAAATGTCTCCTATAAAAGACCACTACAAGAAATGTTTTGTGTCTGGACACAGTGGTTCGCACCTGTAATCCCAGCACTTAGGGAGGGTGAGGCGGGCAGATCACAGGAGGCCAGAAGTTTAACACCAGCCTGGCAAACACGGTGAAACCCTGTCTTCACTAAAAATACAAAAATTAGCTGAGCATGGTGGTGTATGCCTGTGATCCAAGCTACTGGAGAGGCTGAGGCACAAGAATTGCTTGAACCTGGGAGGCGGAGGTTGCAGTGAGCCAGGATTGTGCCACTGCACTCCAGCCTGGGCAACAGAGTAAGATTCTGTCTCGAAAGAAAAAGAAAAAAGAAAAAAGAAAAAGAAAGAAAGATGTTTTCTGTATCTATGAAGAATATATGTTTAGAGATCTCCTTACTTGAGATAGAAAAAAAGTATGGCTTCTGGGCATAGTGTGACCTGAATTTCTCCTCTCCATTATTCATAAGCCTTTTCCTTTTTATGGTTGTTTTTGTTTAAGACTCACACTATGAAAATATCTACTTGAATCCAATAGCTTGACCTAAAAATTATGTTTCTTGACTCATCAAAGTCTAGTAGTCTAACGATATCATGCTTGATGTGGCTATACAAACACACACACACACACACACACACACACACACACACTAGAGATTAAACCTTTTGTCCTTGAGAACATTATTGTGGAATTTTTAATTTCACATGCCAGAACCATTAAGCGAACTCTGCTTTCACTGTTGGTCTTTATGATAGCACTCTGAGGTAGACAATATTGTTCTAATTTCACAGATAAGGAAACTGAACCGTAGGAGTGAAACTCCATCTCAAAACAACCAACAACAGAGCCTTCAGCCAAGCCTGATCTGTCCTGTCACTCTACCCCCTGCCGGCACAGTATGCGCTTCACCACTTGTTTCCCCACCAACTTGGTTCTGTCCAGGCGCCCAGCTACCGCGCCCACTGGTCAGAAGTGTGGCCAGCGTCTATGCAGGCCCTGGGAGCTCAGGTTCCCGGATCTCCATGTCCCGCTCCACCAGCTTCCAGGGTGGCTTGGGGTCCAGGAGCATGGCCGCAGGTATGGCCGGGGGTCTGGCAGGAATGGGAGGCATCCAGAACGAGAAGGAGACCATGCAAAGCCTGAATGACCGCCTGGCCTCCTACCTGGACAGAGTGAGGAGCCTGGAGATGGGAAACTGGAAGCTGGAGAGCAAAATCTGGGAGAAGCTGGAGAGCAAAATCTGGGAGCACCTGGAGAAGAAGGGACCCCAGGTCAGAGACTGGGGCCACTACTTCAAGACCATCGAGGAGGACCTGACTCAGATCTTCACAAGTACTGTGGACAATACCTGCATCATTCTGCAGATCGACAATGCCCATCTTGCTGCTGATGACTTTAGAGTCAAGTATGAGACAGAGCCGGCCACGTGCCAGTCTGTGGAGAACGACATCCATGGGCTCCACAAGGTCATTGATGACACCAGTGTCACTCAGCTGCAGCTAGAGACAGAGATCGAGGCTCTCAAGGAGGAGCTGCTCTTCCTGAAGAAGAACCACGAAGAGGAAGTAAAAGGCCTACAAGCCCAGATTGCCAGCTCTGTTGACCATGGAGGTAGATGCCCCCAAATCTCAGGACCTCGCCAAGATCATGGCAGACATCCAGGCCCAATACAACAAGCTGACTCAGAAGAACTGAGAGGGGCTAGATAAGTACTGGTCTCAGCAGATTGAGGAGAGCACCACAGTGGTCACCACCCAGTCCGCTGAGGTTGGAGCTGCTGTGATGATGCTCACGGAGCTGAGACATACAGTCCAGGCCTTGGAGATCGACCTGGACTGGATGAAAAATCTGGAGGCCAGCTTGGAGAACAGCCTGAAGGGGGGGTGGAGGCCTGCTACACCCTGCAGATGGAACAACTCAATGGGATCCTGCTGCACCTGGAGTCAGAGCTGGCACAGACCTGGGCAGAGGGACAGGGCCAGGCCCAGGAGTACCAGGCCCTGCCAAACATCAAGGTCAAGCTGGAGGCTGAGATCGCCACCTACCGCCGCCTGCTGGAAGATGGCGAGGACTTCAATTTTGGTGATGCTCTGGACAGCAGCAACTCCACGCAAACCACCCAAAAGACTCCCACCTGCCAACAGTGGATGGCAAAGTGGTGTCTGAGACCAATGACACCAAAGTTCTGAGACATTAAGCCAACAGAAGCAGGGTGCCCTTTGGGGAACAGGAGGCCAATAAAAATTTCAGAGGTCAAAATAAAAAGAAAAAAAAAGCACAAGGTCGGTGTTTTCACTTAGCACATTTTAGGCCTTAGAAAAGCCCAAGTAACACTCACGTCCTTATTTAGGGTATGCAAATGTTCCAGTACACTCTCAAAGTGACAGATGTACTGTCCTATGTGCGTGCACTCATATCCTCCCAAAGCACACACCTTCCTCCCCTTCTCTCGAATGTTTTCAGGTCTCTCTGAGTCAGATCATAAGCTCTTACGCCAAACCCAACTCCCTTGCCCCCCTTTTTTCCTTTTATATTATATTTAGTACTTATAATCCTTCCCAAACACCCAGAGGTCACCCAGGTGTAGGATATCTCTGACTGTGGTAGTTGTCCTTGTAAACATCACCTATACCTCCCCCAGCACGACCTCCACACTCCCACAGACCTTCATGGCTCATTTTCTCCACTCCATCCAGAATAGTCAAGCACAAGCCTCACCTAATTTATAAATGACTACATTCTGCAAAAACCTGTCTGGAATCAGAAAACAACCTTGGGTTTGATTTGAGTGTGAAAACCACTACACTCACTTGTTTGTTTGAAAAGTTATGATGTGTTAATCTTTTCAATTTTAAATGAAGAAAAACAGGTGGGAAGGAAACCTCATACAGTATTATATCATCTCCTTTTGCTACTGTGCTTTGTTGCAGAAGTTAGTAGACTTGTAGAGTCTCTGAAATAGAAGAGATCTTAAGGTCAAGTTGATTTAATCCCCTAGCCCATAGTTAAAATGTCATGTGTACTTGCAAGAAGAGAATAGGCTTGGAAGCAGGACAAACTGGGTTGGCCTTGTCATTTCCTAGTCACAGACCTTAAACAAGTTACTTAACCTCCCAGAGTCTCAATTCCCTCAGCTGAAAAAATGAAGAAAATAGTGTGGAGGGTTATTGTGAGGACTTGAGCTAGTATACTTAAGATATTTAACATTGTGCCTAGCACTAAATAAATGATAGCTATGATTTTTATTTACTTACTTAATTCGTACATAGTTCACAAATGATCACCCAGCTTCCTTAACTCCTCTTCAGTGATGAGGAACTCCTTGCTTCCCTAGTTAGTCCATTCCATCTTTGGAAAATTATCCAAGAGTTACAGAGTACATCCTTATTGCTGGGATTGCTATTTGTCTAAGAAGAAAGAGATTCGGGGTAGGCGATAGCAAGGGCTCTGTTGATGACTGACAGAGGAGGCTTTGGATTCAGATAGATAGGAAGGTAAAATAAAATTTAGTCTCAAATCAGGTCAACATCTTCTCATTAGCCCTCCTACACATTCCCTGAAGCCCCCTAGGCTTGTTCAAGGAAGATCTAAAGAATGTGACTGTCTAATTGCTGGCAAAAGTGTGGGAGGTTGGGGTGGTGAACACTTTGGAACCTCCAATATCCGAACAATGTATATAAACTTGTAATTAATGAAAATTAGAAGTAAACATACAGTGTCTTAGCTTGGGTTCCTCAGAAAGCAAAGTGGGAAACAAAGATGTCTATATGAATACTTTATTGGGGAGTGAATCCAGGAGGCAGTACTCGTAGCAAGGTGACACAAAACCTGGACGAAGGGAAAGCCAAGTCAAGGGTGAGTTATTCAATTAGTCACCACTATATGTGACTGGTTGTTCAACCCTACAGGACTATATGGGAACCTATGAAATCTGGGAGTAGAGAGGGGGAAGCATTTAACCATTGTCTCCCAATTCTCATTGGTTCAGAGTTTACCCCACAGGACATTGACACCCCACATTTCTAGGTTGCACATATATGTTACCCAACTGTATTAGTCTATTCTCACACTGCTATACAGAAATACCTGAGACTGGGTAATTTATAAAGAAAAGAGGTTTCATTGACTCATGCAAGATATACAGGTAACATGGCTGGGGAGGCCTCAGGAAACTTTCAATAATGGCAAAAGGTGAAGATGAAGCAGGCACATCTTAGGTGGCCAGAGTAGAAGGAAAAGAATGAAGGGGGAGGTGCTACACACTTTTACACAGCCAGATCTTGTGAAAACTCACTATCACAAGAACAGCAAGGGAGAAATCCGCCCCCGTGACCCAATCACCTTCCACAAAGCCTCTCCTCCAACACTGGGGATTACAATTTGACATGAGATTTGGGCAGGGACACAGATCCAAACCGTATCACCACCTATTAATGCAACAATACTACATAACAAATAACCCCAAATTTTATAAGCTTACAAAACAAATGTCAATTTTTCACTCCTGGGTCTGTAGGTCAGCTGGCCATGCTCCATTCCAGTCTGTGAGTGGGTTGGGTTCAATTCTACTCCATATGTATCTTCTCTTTGGACCAGAAACTTCCTGGTCCATGCTTTCTCATGGTGAATGGCAGAAACATGAGACCAAGTCAAACAACACAGACATTTACAGCTTCTGCCTGCATCCCATGCACTCCATATTCCATTGGCCAAAGTCATATAGCCAAACCCAAAGTCAAGGAGGCAGAGATAAAATCTCCATCTCTTCCACTGGGAGGTACTAAAAATAAAAACACTTGACAATGAGTTTCAATGTATAATTCTATTACAGGGAGGGAATGAAGATTGAAAGTCATAATCTAATCTGCCAAGCATATGTGGGCACCAACTGTGTTTCTAAGGAATCTACACAAAGGTATCAGCTCAGAAGCTCCAGAGCAGGTGAGCAGCATTCAGAGGGCGTCTGAGATGAGGTACTGTCAGGTTGAAACTGCATGAAGCTGCTTGCCTCAATAGAAGGAGCAAAAAGAGACAGGCAAGGTTGAGATTTGCAGTGATACGTAAGAGATGTCCAAGGCATATAGTCAACTCTTCATCCTACTTCATCTTACTTCAATTACTTCATCCTACTATGTAAGAAGGAAGTGCCAGTTCTACTGCACTCTCCTGCCTTTCCTGTGTAGGTGGAAGGGAAATAGGCAGTATAAATTAAAGCAAGGAATCATCATTTCCCCACACTGCTCTCTTAGGAAGTTTGGAAGTGGAGTTAAGAAGTTGTTTCTGTCCCTTTTAGAAGAAATGTGTTGTTAACCAAGGCCCTGATGTTAGATAGGGGAATACCTTTGGGAACCATGTACCCATTAGTAGACCAGGCCTCTTTCCCTAACACTTTGACCTGGGGTAAGGAATTTGAGGACAATACGCACTATTGCCATATTTTAAACAGATGACGCCTCTTGAGCCCAACCAAAGCCCTTTATTCTTGCTTTCAACATACATCTCTTGCCATTTTGGAATGAAACAGAGAGGAGCTTCAACTGTTTTAATTTGGTTCTCCTGAGAAATCAAGTCATTGGTCTTTATTCTATACCTCTGGGCCTCATAAAATGAAACTCACTTATCTCTCTTCTACACAGAAGGCTTTCAAGACTGAAAACAAATTCACAAACATTATATCCAAGTGTCTCGTTGATGTTTGACATCACAGATGCACAACAACTAACTGAATTTTTTTGTTTGTTTGAACAGAAATGACGTTAGATTTGTGTATCTTTCTGTGGATTGATTCAACATGAGAATGGATTCAAAAATACACATTCCTTCACAGTGCATGGTTTTAACATCATATCAAGGAAAGGGACACTGAAGAAGGTAATAAAGACTGTCTTGAATCACTGACATCACCCCTCCCCCATAGCCTGGCAGCAGCAGAGAGAAAATGTGTGTGCTTGGAGGAGAAAGAGTGCAGTGATTGCAGGACTTTACGTTGGAACTCAGTACTGTCCTGCCACAGCAGAAAGCAACACAGGGCAGAATTCAGCCAGAACCCACAGAGGGAGCATCTAGACCAACCCTAGCCAGAGGAGAATTGCCCATCCCAGTGGTCAGAACCTGAGTTCCAGCAAGCCCCACCACTTCAGGCTAAAGTACTCTGGGGTCCTAAATAAACTTGAAAGGTAGTCTAGGCCACAAGGACTGTAATTCCTAAGCAACTACTGATGCCATGTGGCTTGAAACCAGTGGACTTGGGGGGCATGCGACATAGTGAGACACCAGCCAGAGCAGCCAAGAGAGTGTTTGCATCACCCCTCCCCAGCCCAAGGCAGCACAGCTCGCAGCTCCAGGAGAGGCTCCTTCCTTCTGTTTGAGGAGAGGAGTGGGGAGCGTGAAGAGGACCTTTTCTTGCAACTTGGATACCAACTCACCCACAGTAGGTTAGGGCACCAGGCAGAGTCCTGAGGCCCCCATTCCAGGCACTAGCTCCTGAAAAACATTTCTAGACACATTTAGGTCCAGAAGGGAACCTGCTGCCTTGAAGGAAAGGACCCAGTCCTGGCAGGATTAATCACCTGCTGACTAAAGAGCCCTTTGGCCTTGAATAAATATCAGTGGTAGCCAGGCAGTACTTGCCACAGGCCTTGGGTGAGACTCAGAGCCATGCTGGCTTCTGCTGTGACTCAGTGCATTCCAAGCTGTGGTGGCCTCAGGGAGAGACTCCTTCTGCTCGAGGAAAGGAGAGGGAAAATTAAAGGGGACTTTGTTTTGCAGCTTGGGGACCAGCTCAGCTACAGTAGGGTAGAGCACTGAGCAGGCTCTTGGGGTCCCAGATTCCAGGCCTTGGTTCCTGGAAGGCATTTCTAGACCTGCCCCAGGCTAGAGGGGAGCCCACTGCCCTGAAAGGAGAGACCCAAGCATGGCAGCACTCACCACAAGCTGACTGAAAAGCCCTTGGGCTTTGTGTGAACTTCAGCCATAGCCTGACAGTATTTGTCATGGGCCTAGGGCAGTGGTGGACAGGGAGAGAAACTCCTTCTGCATAAGGAAAGGAAAAGGAAGAGTGGGAAAGACTTTATCTTGTGGCTTGGGTGTCAGCTCAGCTGCAGGAGGATAGAGCACCAAGTACATTCCTCAGGTTCCTGACTCCAGGCCCTGGCTGCCCGATGGCATTTCTGGACCTGCCCTGGGCCAGGGGAAGCTCACCTCCCTGAAGAAAAAGACACAAGCCTGGATGGATTCACCACCTGCTGACTGAAGAGCCCTTGGCCTTGAGTGAACATTTGCAGTAGCCAGGCAGTAGTCACTGCAGGCCTTGCGTAAGACTCAGTGTGCTGTGCTACACTTTGAGTCTGACTCAGTGTAGCCCAGTGCTGATGGCCACAACGGTGCTTGTGCCACCCCTCCCCCAATTCCAGGAAGCTCAGCATGGACAATGGGACTTCATTTGTTTAGGGGAAAGTAAGGGAAGAGAACAAGAATCTCTGCCTGGTAATCTAGGGATTCTCCTGGATCTTATCTAAGGCCACCAAGATGGTACCTGTATGAATCTGCAAGAGTCACGGCATTACTGGGCTTATGGTGCCTGCTAATGCAGGTATGGTTATAGTGATCAAAGATTTAAATCACAACACTCAATTTTCTTTGAATACTTGGAAAGCCTTCCCAAAAAGGACAGGTACAAACAAGCCCAGACTGTGAAAACTACAATAAATACCGAACTCCTCAATGCCCAAACAATGATAAATTTCCACAAGCATCAAGACCATCCAAGAAAACATGACCACTCCAAATCAACTAAATCAGGCACCAGTGGACCAATCCCGGAGTGACAGAAATATGTGACCTTTCAGATAGATAATTCAAAATATGTGTTTTGGGGAAGCTCAGTGAAATTCATGAAAACATAAAGAAGGAATTCAAAATCCTATCAGATAAATTTAACAAGGAGATTGAAATAATTTTTAAAAATCCAGGCCAGGCGTGGTGGCTCACGCCTGTAATCCCAGCACTTTGGGAGGTCAAGGCGGGTGGATCACGAGGTCAGGAGATCGAGACCATCCTGGCTAACATGGTGAAACCCCGTCTCTACTAAAAAATACAAAAAAATTAGCTGGGCGTGGTGGCAGGCACATGTAATCCCAGCTACTGAGGAGGCTGAGACAGGAGAATGGCATGAACCCGGGAGGCGAAGCTTGCAGTGAGCCGAGATTGCGCCACTGCACTCCAGCCTGGGGCCACAGAGCAAGACTCCGTCTCAAAAAAAAAAAAAAATCCAGTAGAAATTCTGGAGCTGAAAAATACAGTTGACATATTAAGGAATGCATCAGTCTTTCAACAGCAGAATTGATCAAGCAGAAGAAAGAATTCATGAGCTTGAAGATAGGCTACTTGAAAATACACAGTGAGAGGAGAAAACAGAATGAAGCACACCTACAAGATCTAGAAAACAGCTTTGGAAGGGCAAATCTAAGAGTTATTGGCCTTAAAGAAGAGATAGAGATAGAGATTGGAGTAGAAAATTTATTCAAAGGGATAAAAAAAAAAGAGAACTTTCCAAACCTAGAGAAATATATCAATATTCAAGTACAAGAGGATTATAGAACACCAAGCAGATTTAACCCAAATGAGACTATTTCAAGACATTTAATAATCAAACTCCCAAAGGTCAAGGATAAAGAAAGTATCCCAAAAGCAGCAAGAAATAAATTGCATATAATGGAGCTTCAATATGTCTGGCAGCAGACTCTTCAGTGTAAAACATACAGGCCAGGATAGAGTGGCATGACATATTTAAAATGCTGAAAGAAAAAAACTTTTATCCTAGAATAGTATATCTGGTGGAAATATCCTTCAAACATGGTGGAGAAATAAAGACTTTTCCAGACAAACAAAAGCTGAGGGACTTCATCAACATCAGAACTGTCCTATAAGAAATGCTAAAGGGAGTTTTTAATCTGAAAGAAAAGAACATTAATGTGCAATAAAAAATCATCTGAAGGTACAAAACTCACTGGTAATAGTAAGTACACAGAATATTACAACATTGTGGCCATGCACGGTGGCTCATGCCTGTAATCCTGGCACTTTGGGAGGCCAAGGTGGGCAGATCACAAGGTCAGGAGATCGAGACCATCCTGGCTAACACAGTGAAACCCTGTCTCTACTAAAAATACAAAAAACAAAAAAAATTAGCTGGGCGTGGTGGCTGTAGTCCTAGCTACTCGAGAGGCTGAGGCAGGAGAATGGCATGAACCCAGGAGGCAGAGCTTGCAGTGAGCCGAGATCAGCCACTGCACTCCAGCCTGGGCGACAGAGCAAGACTCTGTCTAAAAAAAAAGAAAAGAAAAGAAAAGGAAACACTTCAAATAAACAACCTAATAATACATGTTAAAGAACTAGAAAAGTAAGAGCACACCAAACCCAAAATTAGCTGAAAAAAAGAAATAATAAAGATCAGAGCAGACACAAATGTAATTAAAACAAAAATAAAATACAAAAGATAACTGAAATGAATAGTTGGTTTTTTGAAAAGATAAACAAAATTGACAAATCTTTAGTGATACTAAGAAGAAAAGAGAGAAGACCCAAATAAATATAATCAGAGATGAAAAAGGAGACATTACAACTGATACTGCAGAAATTCAAAGGATCATTAGAGACTACTATGAGCAACTATAGGCCAATAAATTGGGAAAACTAGAATAAATGAATAAATTCCTAGATACATACAACCTACCAAGATTGAACCATGAAGAAATCCGGAACCTGAATAGACCAATAAGAAGTAATGAGATTGAAGTCATAATAAAAAATCTCCCAGCAAAGAAAAGCCCAGGACCGAATGGCTTCATTGCTGAATTTTATCAAACATTTAAACAAGAACTAATACGAATCCTACTTAAACTATTCCAAAAAATAGAAGAAGAGGAAACACTTCCATACCCATTCTATGAGGCCAGTATTACCATGATACCAAAACCAGACAAAGATACATCAAGAAAAGAAAACTACAGGCCAATATCCCTGATAAACCTTAATGTAAAAATCCTCAACAAAATACTAGCAAACCAAATTCAACAACACATTAAAGAAATCATTCATCACGACCAAGTGTGATTTCTCCCAGGAATGCAAGGATGGTTCAGCATATGCAAATCAATCAATGTGATACATTGTATCAACAGAATGAAGAACAAAAACCAGATAATTTCACTTGATGCTGAAAAAAGCATTTGATAAAATTCAACATCCCTTTAAATAAAAAACTAAGGATAGTAGGAATGTATCTCAACACAATAAAAGCCATACATGGCATACAACTAGCATACTGAATGGGGAAAAACTGAAAGCTTTTCCTCTAAGACCTGGAACACGACAAGGATGCCCACTTTCACCACTGTTATTCAGCGCAATACTGGAACTTCTAGCTAGAGCAAACAGACAAAAAAAAAAGAAAGAAAGGGGATCCAAATTAAAGAGGGAAAAAGTCCAGTTATTCTTGTTTGCAGATGATATGATTTTATATTTAGAAAAACCTAAAGACTCTACCAAAAAAACTATTTGAATTAATAAACAAAATTCAGTAAAGTTGCAGGATACAAAATCAACATACAAAACTCAGCATTTCTATATACCAAGAGCAAGCAATCTGTAAAAGACATTTTTTAAAAATCCATTTATAATAGCTACAAATATTCATAAAATAAGATACCTAGGAATAAACTTAACTTACAGTGAAAAATCTCTACAATTAAAACTATAAAACATTGATGCAAGAAATTGAAGAGGACAGGAAAAAATGAACAGATATTCCATGTTGATGAATTGGAAGAACCAATCTTGTTAAAATGTCCATACTACCCAAGCAATCTACAGACTAAATGCAAACCCTATTGAAATACCAATTGCGTTCTTCACAGAAATAGAAAAAAAATTCTAAAATCTATTTGGGACCACAGAAGACCCAGAATAGCCAAAGCCATCCTGAGCAAAAAGAACAAACCTGGAGGAATCACATTACTTGACTTCAAATTATACTACAGAGTCATAGTATCCAAATAGCATGGTACTAGCATAAAAACAGACACATAGACCAATGGAACAGAATAGGGAACCCAGAAATAGATCCATATATCTACAGTGAACTCATTTTCAACAAAGATGCCAAGAATATACATGGGGGAAAAGACAGTCTTTTCAATAAATGGTGCTGGGAAAACAGGATACCATATACAGAAGAACGTAACTAGACTCCTGTCTCTCACCATATACAAAAATCACATCAAAATGGATTAAAGACTTAAATCTAAGACTCAAACTATGAAACTACTAAAAGAAAACACTGGGGAAAATCTCCAGGACGTTGGTCTGGGCAAAGATTTATTGAATGACACCCCAAAAGTACAGACAACCAAAGCAAAAATGAACAAATGGGATCACATCAAGATAAAAAGCTCTGCACAGCAAAGAGAACAATCAACAAAGCAAAGCGACACCCCACAGAATGGGAGAAAATATGTGCATACTATCCATCAGACAAGAGATTAATAACAAGACTATATAAGGAGCTCAAAAAACTCAATAGGAAAAAATACAATAATCCAATTTAAACATGGACAAAGATCTGAATAGACATTTCTCAAAAGAAGACCTACACTTTGGGAGGCCAAGGTGGGTGGATCACGAGGGCAAGAGTTCAAGACCAGCCTGACCAACACAGTGAAACCCCGTCTCTACTAAAAATACAAAAATTAGCCTGGTGTGGTGGCACGCACCTGTAATCCCACCTACTCAGGAGGCTGAGGCAGGAGAATCACTTGAATCCGGGAGGCGGAGGTTGCAGTGAGCTGAGATCATACCACTGCACTTCAGCCTGGGTGACAGAGCAAGACTCCATCTCAAAAAAAAAAAAAAAAAAAAAAAGAAGAAGACCTACAAATGGCAAACAGGTATAGGAAAGGGTGGTCAACATAACTTATCATCAGAGAAAAGCAAATCAAAATACAGTAAGATATCATCTCACCCTAGTTAAAATGCTTTTATCCAAAAGACAGGCAATAACAAATGCTGGTGAAAATATGGAGAAAAGGGAACTCTCATATGCTGTTGGTGGGAATATAAATTAGTACAACCATTGTGTAGAACAGTTTGGAGGTTCCTCAAAAAACTAAAAATTGAATTACCATATGATTCAGCAATCCCACTGTTAATTATATACCTAAAAGAAAGGAAATCAATATATCAAAGAGATCTCTGCACTCCCATGTTTATTATAGCACTGTTCACAATAGCCAAGATTTGGAAGCAACCTAAGTGTCCATCAACAGATGAATACATAAAGAAAATGTGATACATATACACAGTGGAGTACTATTCAACCATACAAAAGAATAAGATCCAGTCATTTGCGACAACATGGATGGAACGGGATGACATCATGTTAAGTGAAATAAGCCAGGCACAGAAAGACAAACTTCACACCTTTTCACTGATTTGTAGAAGCTAAAAATTAAAACAGTTGAACTCATGGAGGTAGAGAATAGAATGATGCTGGGAAGGGTATGGGGTAGGGGGATGAATTGGAGATGGTTGATGGAAATAAAAATATAGTTAGAATGAATAAGATCAAGTATTCAATAGCACAAGATGAGTACAGTCAACAATAACTTATTGTACATTTTATAGTAACTGAAAGAGTATAATTGAAATGTTTATAACACAGAGAAAGGATAAATGCTTAAGGTGATAGATACCCAATTTACCCTGATGTGATTATTACACATTGCATGCCTATATTAAAATATCTCATGTACTCCATAAATGCATACACCTATGTACCCATAAAAATAAATAAATAAAATTATTTTTAAAAATACACATTCCTAGAGCAACCAAAGGTAGATCTCTTGATATCTTTTAAGATGTCCAAATTCACAACATCATAATGACACACAATTTCCTTCTTAAAATATGACCTTCCCTGGGTATGGTGGCTCACGCCTGTAATCCCAGCCACTCAGGAGGCTGAGGCAGGAGAATAGCTTGAACCCACAGTTGGAGGTTGCAGTGAGCTGAGATCGCACCACTGCACTCCAGCCTGGGTGACAGAGTGAGTGAAATTCCATCTCAAAAAAAAAAAAAAAGTGACCTTTGCATGAGCTTGTTCAGGAATACTTCACAAGTTTAAGAATTTTAATAAATACCATGAAACAGGCCAGGTGCAGTGGCTCACGCCTGTAATCCCAGCACTTTGGGAAGCCGAGGTCGGTGGATCACCTGAGGTCAGGAGTTCAAGACCAGCCTGGCTAACATGGCGAAGCCCTGTCTCTACTGAAAATACAAAAATTAGCCAGGCATGGTGGCGGGTGCCCGTAATCCCAGCTACTCAGGAGGCTGAGGCAGGAGAATTGCTTGAACCAGGGAGGCAGAGGTTTCAGTGAGCCAAGGTCGCACCGTTGCACTTCAGCCTGGGCAACAAGACCAAAACTCCATCTCAAAAGAATAAATAAGTAAATAAATACCATGAAACAATAGAAAAAAATTATGTTTATATGCTTTTTTCCCTGGAAGAAGTTCCATAACTTTTAAAATATTCCCAAAAGGGTCCATGTTCCATCAAAAGGTTATGACCAATTGAATTTAGTGGTGATTCAGATATATAATAGGAACAAGCCCAGAATATACCCATAAGGAAAAAAACATGGAGCCGGATTCATGAAACCTTGCCAGTGAATGAAACAGTATGACACTCCAAAACCTCCATTTTCTTATTTTCTTATGAAGAACTACACCTGTCTTAGACCTATCTTAGACAAAAATGGGGCAGCAGCTCAGCAGACAGTTATTTTTCCAGAAATCATGTCTGTACGCTTCTCCCCTTCTTCCATAAAAGAGTCCTCCCCATTGGCATTTGATCTAAGGTGAACAAGTCAGAACAGTTCCCTGAGACTTTTCAGGCTGAAGCTGAGAGAAATGATCCTCTTTTTTCTATTCGATCACTCTCCCAAGTAGCTGGGAATACAGGCGCCCGCCAACAAGCCCGGCTAATTTTTGTATTTTTAGTAGAGACGGGGTTTCACCATGTTGGCCAGGCTGGTCTTGAACTCCTGACCTCAGGTGAGCCACCCGCCTCGGCCTCCCAAAGTGCTGGGATTACAGGCATGAGCCACCACGCCTGGCCTTTTAATGTTTTTTGTTTTGTTTTGTTTTGTTTTTTAATTATCAAAGGAAAGCCTATGAGAATGGCACTACCACGGTTGGAAAGAATGTACATAAAAATGCACATAAGTCAGAATTTTGGCCAAAAATACAGAAGTCACATATGACTCATCATTTATATTTGGCACTAGGAGACATGACTTCAAATGTGCTGATAATGACAATGTTCTTTAGAAAAATTCAAAGATTACACACAATATTTTATGAATCTGCCAACAGATAGAAATCTTGATGAAACACATCAAATTTGTCCTTACAACTGCTTTTGAAAACATGACTGTTACAGACCACATGTTTGTGTCCCACAGAATTCATATGTTGAAACCTTAACCCCCAGTGGAGTGCTATTAGGAGGTGAGGACTTTAGGAAGTCGGTAGGTCATTTGGGTGAGGCTCTCATGATGCAATTAGTGCTCTTCTAAGAAGAGACTCAAAAGAGCTTGCTTCCTCTCTCTATTTCATACCCTATAAAGGTACCACAAGAAGATGACCATCTGCAAAACAGGAAACAGGCCTTCACCAGACACTGGATCTTGGACTTCCCAGCCTCCAGAACTATGAGAAATAAATCTCTGTTGTTTAAGCAACTAGCATATGGTAATTTGTTATGGCAGTCCAAACTGACTAAGGCGAGGTGGGCGAGTGGATCCCCTGAGGTCAGGAGTTCAAGACCATCTTGGCCAACACAGCAAAACCCTGTCTTTACTAAAAAGTACAAAACTAGACGGGCATGGTGGCAGGTGCCTATAATCCTAGCTACTTGGGAGGCTGAGGCAGGATAATTGCTAGAACCTGAGAGGCAGAGGTTGCAGTGACCCGAGATCATGCCACTGCACTCCAGCATGGTCAACAAGAATGAAACTCTGTCTCAAAAAAACTGAAAAATAGGCCAGGCGTGGTGGCTCATGCCTGTAATCCCAGCACTTTGGGAGGCCGAAGTGGGCAGATCACGAGGTCAGGAGATCGAGATCATCCTGGCTAATATGGTGAAAACCCGTCTCTACTAAAAATACAAAAAATTAGCTGGGTGCGGTGGCGTGCGCCTGTAGTCCCAGCTACTCGGGAGGCTGAGGTAGGAGAATGGCGTGAACCTGGGAGGCAGAGCTTGCAGTGAGCTGGGATTGTGCCACTGCACTCCAGTCTGGGCAACAGAGCGAGACGCTGTCTCAAAAAAAATAAATTAATTAAATAAATAAATAAATAAATAAATAAATAATGTTATGACGTAAGTATTTGATAAATCCTTTAAATTTTCTGCTATGGAATAGTAAATACAGAAAAGTACACAAGTCATACATATATAGCTCAGAAAATTTGCAGAGTGAATAGTAATTAGCACCCAGTTCAAGAAACTGAATATTGTATCTGTCTTAATTTTATTGCTCATACAATCATCTCAACCCATAACAGAAGACCCGGACGTGTGCGATAATAACTAAATTTGGTTGTCATTGATATTTTGCCAACTTTCAGTTTTACTTTACGTGTATTTTTCTATTTGTCATCATAAAGATATATTTGTCAAGAGAGGGGGATAGAACATATGTAATATCACTTAGCTCTCTTGATTGATGATGTCTAGATATTTAGTGGGTCTCCGTTGATTGGACTTTATCCTAAGCTCCACAAAGATTATGGCTGGTCCTGACCATGACTTCCACTTCAAAATGTCCTCTGCACATGGCTTCTTTAACTCTTCTGCACCTGGCAGATCTAGGTATAAAGAAGCTTTGCCTGCCCATCTGTTTCCCTCCCAGGCCCCAGTCTAAATTTGGTGCATGCTGTTATTCTATCACATAAGCCTGTATTCTTTTTTGTAGCACCTACCACAGTCCATAATTGCATATGTATTTGTGAGTTTCTGTGTTAATGTTTGTCTCCTCTGCCAGCTTAAAAGCTCCATGAGGTGAGGAAATTTGTCTCTTCTCTCATCATTTTATACCCAGCATTTAGCTCTTAGATGGTATTCAATAAATATTTATTAAATGAATGAGAAAATGAATAAACTATACATTGAGGGCTGGCTCATAGATCTATCTCCCTAGCCTCTGCTCACTCCTGACCGCCGCAACTCTATTAGTTGTCCAGCTGCATCATAAGGCATCTCCACCTGGATTCTCACAAACACGCCAAATTCAACATGTCCAAAGTGAAATTCAACATCATGCCCCCTACTAAAATTAATTCCTCCTCCTGCATCTCTAGCTCACAGAGTGTAAGTACCACCTGCACCAGTCTAAAACCAGGGAGTGGCCGGGTACGGTGGCTCACGCCTGTTATCCCACCACTTTGGAAGGCTGAGGCAGGTGGATCATGAGGTCAGGAGATCAAGACCATCCTGGCTAACATGGTGAAACCCCGTCTCTACTAAAAATACAAAAAAAATTAGCCAGATCTGGTGGCGGGCACCTGTAGTCCCAGCTACTTGGGAGGCTGAGGCAGGAGAATTGCTTTAACCCAGGAGGCGGAGGTTGCAGTGAGCTGAGATCGTGCCACTGCACTCCAGCCTGGGCGACAGAGCAAGACTCCATCTCCAAAAATAAATAAATAAATAAAACCAAGGAGTGACCTTCTCCTTCCCTCTATCTTCTAGTCTTCCAATAGTCCTCACCTTTCTGTCCTCTAGGTACCTTCCACTAATGCATCCCTCCAACTTATGTTCTTTGATTTACTGCAACAGCTGTTGAACCACTCCTCACATTGCTAGCAAAATAATCTTTCCAAAATGCAAATTTAATCAGGTCCCTCTTGTGCTTAAAACCTTCCAAAAAATTGGAAGGGTGGGAGTTAGTAGAAGTGAGCTGAATTCTTCATCTTCATAGTGGAGAGTCTGTAAATACTGTTCGGTTTGACAAATCAAGAAACAGGGAGATAAACATATTGAGAGTTATGGAGGTAAATGGAAACTGTTAAAAAAAAAATGGTAACCTCTGAAAAATAGAACTGTGGGACAGGGGACAAGGAGGAGGAAGACATTTAGTTTTCATTTTATAGCTTTCTGCAATGTAAGATTATAGGTTATATATTATAAATAATAATTTTAAGCAAATTTTTAAAATTATATATTTTATTAGCTTTCCCTTGCCCTTGGGATAAGCCCCAAATTCCTAGGAATAAAGAGTTTGTCTTAATAGAGGTGGTCTCATCTCTTATACTCTCTTGGACTTAACCTATTCTCCAGCCACCCTGAATTCACACATTGAACTCCTCAAAGGCACCGTGCTTGTGTTTTTGCACAAGTTAGTCTCTCTACCTGAAATGTAATTCCCCGCTTCGTCACTTGCCTAAGCCTCCCTTGTTCTTTAAGATTCAGCTGCTGTCATCTACAAATACTTTCCTGAGCCTCCCCAACTCCTTGCATGGTTAGGTGATGCCCCACCTTTGAGCCACAATAACTCCCTATGTATAGCTCTATTATAGACCTGAAAACCATGTGAAAAGCTTTGTGTCTCCCATAGCCTGGGAGCTTCTTGAGGACAGGATCTATATCTAATTCCTGTGACAAGTGCAGTGCCTGGCATGGAATGGATACTTAATAAAAGCTGATGAATAAACAAAGAAACAATAAGCTTACCTCTTACATCTATTCATCTCTAAAATGAAGGAGTTACAAGCAAAGGAATAGTTTCTTTGAAGTGATTCTACATTAAAAAGCTGACAATACAACTGAAAAAAAAATGGGCAGAGGATATGAGTAGACAGTTCACAGAAAAAAAAAAGACTCTTATGAGAAATGAAAAGATGATGAATCTGATTCATAAAAATGAAACACAAATCAACTCAATGATAAAATATCATTTCAAACTATCAAACTGGCAAAGATCAAACATGTTAACACTGTGCTAATGAGAATAAATAGGGTAAAAGGCTCTCTCATACGTGACTGATGGGACTGTATATCAATATAACCTCTGTGCAAAGCAAATTGGCAATATTTCTAAAAATTAAAAATGCAAGTACTCCTTCTCAAAGCTATTCTATTTCCCACAAGTTTGAAAAGCTGTGTATTGCTTTTCAGGGCCAGATTGGAATTCCAGTCCACAATAGTCTTTCACCTCTGAACTTGAATTGTATATCATTTAATTAGAGCTTAGTATATACTACCTTTATGACGAGTTATTTCCCCAACCAAGTAGTAAATTGCTAAGGTCAAAACTCTGTCAAATCTCTTTCTGTCCTTCTCAGTCCCCATCACTAGACTGAACACATGTGTGGCCAGTTTGTGTCCTTTTCATAGGACACAAGCAGGAAATCCCCAAGCCATTCTAGAAGCTAATGTGTTATCCCAGGGCCCCCAGAGAAGATCAATGTTGCTGGAGGTGCCACTGTCAGAATCAAAGACAGACTGAAAGGATGAAGATCCAGGCCCAGTACATCTACTTTGGTCTTATGATAACATTTCATTATTAGAAAATTTTAAATATAAGTATACTTTGAATTTTTAAACGTGACTTTTTTTTTTTTTGAGACAGAGTCTCGCTCTGTTGCCCAGGCTGGAGTGCAGTGGCGCCATCTCGGCTCACTGCAACCTCCGCCTCCCAGGTTCAAGCGATTCTCCTGCCTCAGCCTCCCAAGTAGCTGGGATTACAGGCACGCACCATCACGCCCAGCTAATTTTTGTATTTTTAGTAGAGACAGGGTTTCACCATGTTGGCCTCCATCTCCTGACCTCGTGATCTGCCCGCCTCAGCCTCCCAAAGTACTGGGATTACAGGCATGAGGCACCACACCCAGCCTAAAATATTATTTTACAACTACAAAAACCAATCTCCTCTACAGGCCGCTGGAGTTTAGGCCAGCATTAGGTAACACAGGGGTAGAAAGAGATCACTGAACTAGGAGAATCATGGAAGATTTTACTGATATGTTGTATTTTATATTACCAGGAAGTGAGCCAGTGTTCTCATTTTTCACATACATACTTTAATTCAAAATACAAATATTGGCTGGACTTGGTGGCTCATGCCTGTAAACTCAGCACTTTGGAAGGCTGAGGCGGGCAGATCACTTGAGGTCAGGAGTTCGAGACCAGCCCGGCCACATGATGAAACCCCATCTCTACTGAAAACATACAAAAATTAGCTGGGCGTGCTGGTGGGCACCTGTAATCCCAGCTACTTGGGAGGCTGATGCAGGAGAATTGCTTGAACCTGGGAGGCAGAGGTTGCAGTGAGCCACTGTACCACTGCACTCCGGCCTGGGTGACAGAGTGAGACCGGGTCTCAAAACTAAAAATAACAGAAAAATACAAATAATTTGGTTCCTTCCTGGAGGTGCTCCTTCTCAGCAATGTGTATGACAAAAAGAAGGGAAGAAGAAAATCTTGATGATCTCTTGTGGGGGTCTTTGTATCCTCTGCTGTTCTGTGATTTATAATGCTTCCCAAAGAAGCAAATTGCCCAAATTTCATATGTCAGTGGACGTGGATATTGTCCTAAATGTGGTAATAACATTTAGTTATTCAGGGTTATCAGTGATTAATAATTGAACATGTCAATAGAACAAGATACTATTGAGTCAAATTCTTTGTATCCCCCAAATAATAGAATATATTAGTATTTATACACATCAATAAACATGAAGTTATCAGAATGCTTTAAACTTCATGTAATAGAAAATCTAACCCAAAAGGGCTTAAACAATAAAGTTATTTACTGTCTCACATGACAAGAACTGGAAGGAAGGAAGGGAGGAAGGAAGGAAGGAAGGAAGGAAGGAAGCAAGGAGAATTCAAGTCGGCTCAATCTGCAGCTCAATAATGTCACCAAGATCCAGGTTCCTCCCCTCTTTCTGCTCTTCCTGCCTCAGCATGTTCTCAGGCCAATTCCTCCCCTGGTCGCAAAGAGGCTATATCAGATGCTGCTTGCAGACATAACATTCTATAGCAGAAAGGAAACTTTGTTTCCAAACATCTCTTTTTAAAGAGCAAGGAGAGGCTGAGCACGGTGGCTCACACCTGTAATCCCAGCACTTTGGAGGCCGAGGCAAGTAGATCACTTGAGGTCAGGAGTTCGGGACCAGCCTGGCGAACATGGTGAAATCCTGTCTCTACTAAAAATACAAAAATTAGCCAGGCATGGTGGTACATGCCTGTAGTCCCAGCTACTCAGGAGACTGAGGCACAAGAATTGCTTGAACCCAGGAAGCTGGAGGTTGCAGTGAGGTTGCAGTTAGCCAAGATGGCACCACTGCACTCCAGCCTGGGCAACAGAGTGAGACTGTCTCAAAATAAAAAAAAGAGCAAAAAGAAACTTTATCAGAGACCCGTCAGGCTATTGGTCAGAATTTTATCATGTGTCCATGCCTAAACCAATCACTGATGAGAAGGTTAGGACTACCATTCTGGCTTAAACTAATCCTTATCCACTCCCTGGAACTCCCCAGAGCACATGGAGAGTAGATAACTGAACACAATTAGAGTTCTGTTTGTTGCCAAGGAAGGATAAACAGTTTTTGCTTCTGAATGCCTAAACAATGTCTTAAAATGCATATTAATTAATACATTTCAATAATTTTAAAAATATGAATTTCCCAAGTCTTTTCATAGTATCTAGTTAACTAATTTGTCCTCAATTTTCCCAAGTCTTTTCATAATACCTGTTTCGTCTAATTTGTCAAAAACCAAAATAGCTTGCGGATATTTATCAAATGAAAGATAGTCATTCATTTATCCATCCATCCATTGATTCACTCATTAAGATATTCTGAGCACCCATCACATGCAAGATGTAGTTCACTATGAAGACTTCAATAATGTATAAGAAGTTTATTTGGAAAATGACAAGCTTTAAAAAATGATGTAATAGTTTACATAGTATTTACATAGTAAACTATTACATCATTTTTTAAACCTTAAACTTCATTAAACTTTAAAATTCATTATTTTAACTTTAAACTAAACTTTAGAATTCATTATTTTCTCCAGAAAAAGTGATGGAAACAATTTTGATAAATTAGTAAACTTAACTGTTGTAGAGAATTATACATTTATTCAAATAATCCTGGTTGACAAATCTCAAACATAAAATATTTATATCTGTAAGACTTAGAAATGTGATAGTGGAGAAACCCAAAACAATGGTATTCATGATGGGAAGATAATTCTAGGAGAGTTATAATATGGAGTATGAAAACAATTATAGGAATGAGCTCTGAGGTTATTTAGTCTGGTCCCCTCATGTACTGATAACTAAGAAATAAGAGTAGACTACATTAACTGAAGAGTTCTAGGTACATCCCCAAAACTAACCCCAAACCCAGTGTCTTAGTCCATTTGCATTGCTATAAAGGAATACCTGAGGCTGGGTAATTTATAACAAAAAGAGGTTTATTTGGAACATAGTTCTGCAGGCTGTACAAGAAGTATAGCACTCTATTCTGCTTCTAGCAGGGACTTCAGGAAGCTTCCAGTCATGGCAGAAGGGGGAAGGGGAGCTGGTATGTAAAGATCACATGGCAGGAAGTGAGAGATAGAGAGAGAGAAAGAGTGAGAAAGAGAGAGAAATAGGCAGGGGAGAAGGGAGGCACTGAATAGGATGCCAGACTCTTTTTGACAACCAGATCTCCCCAAAACTAAGAGCAAGAACTCAATCCCATACGAATGGCACCAAGCCATTCATGAGGGATCCGCCCCTAAGACCCAAACACCTCCCACTAGACCCCATCTCCAACACTGGGGATCAAATTTCAAAATGAGATTTGGAGAGGACAAATATCCAAGCTATATTACCTAGTATTCCTCAGGTCACAAAAACATTTTTTGTTTTTCTTCTAAGAGCCAAACTAGGACACGAACTAGGAAGTTTCTTCTCTCATTACTCTCCAAAGACATACCCACCCAGTGTAAGTCAAGAAAAACCAACCAACTAAATTAAAACATGCAGAGCTAAGGTGAAGGGAAGACTAAAGAAGGGACCGAGGAGATAAATTTTTGTGATATTTAGAACCATTCCATTTTGTGGGGGAGGGGTAGTTTTATTTTGTTTTAACTATTACTCATCCTAGAAAATTCCTGCTTTGAGAATGGGGATATAATTTCTATAAAGCTCAGTAACCAAATGGCAGAAAGGCTAGCATTCTATCAGGGCCTCAATAGCCCATACATGCGGGCATTAGAGAAGGCGCCCTCTCCTTCATTAAGCAGGTGCAGAGCTTGATAAGGGGAGCTTGACTAGATTTCAGCCCTCTTCATTCCCTTCACTAGGGGCCTTTGTGCAAGGCACACAGTGCATAAATGTACATAGTAGCACTATTTTCTGGAGTAGAAAAATCTTGGGATTTCCCAAAGCTGTTCACCCCAACTCAGAACTGGAACACCATGTGTAAAGTCAGGAAAATTCATTCTGCCAGAAGCTTTTTTTCATTACTGACATCCTAGACTGTTGGTACAATAATCTTAATCATCTGACCTTTTAGAGGCAATTTCCTGATCTTGGCTGGACAGACCAGTCTAAATGCTCCATTTGGCCCTATTTTTAAATTGCCCAGATGGTGTGACTGGGTGTGTGGCTTAGGGTGCCCCCATATGCTGGGCTGCTTCCAGGAACGATTTGTACCTTGGGTATAACAAGACTGGAGTGAGGAATGGGGGCAAGGGATGGTAAGGGTTAGGTCGGTGCCTTTCTGATCTGAGTAATACTGATTTCATCAGCTACTTGTGAAATGCTGAGCCTTAATGTAGATTCATGAGGGGTTACTCTTGGCCACTCATAAATGGCAGCCAAATGCAGACTGGAAACATGAGATAGGTAGAAAGTAGGAGGCCAATTCTGAGACAGCTGCTTCTGATCTCTACCCACCCAGAGTTGGATTTGGATGTACTACATAGGGAAGAATTAGCAGGGAAGTCAAGCCTGTTCATCACATTGGACACAGACCATTTTCTGCCCCCTTCCTTCTGTGCATTTGTTTCCTGGCCGGGCGCGGTGGCTCATGCCTATAATCCCAGCACTTTGGGAGGCCAAGGTGGGCGGATCACGAGGTCAGGAGATCGAGACCATCCTGGCTAACATGGTGAAACCCTGTCTCTACTAAAAATACAAAAAATTAGCCAGGCGTGGTGGTGGGTGGCGGATGCCTGTAGTCCCATCTACTCGGGAGGCTGAGGCAGGAGAATGGCATGAACCAGGAGGCAGAGCTTGCAGTGAGCGGAGATAGTGCCACTGCACTCCAGCCTGGGCGATAGATCGAGACTCCATCTCAAAAAAAAAAAAAAGAAAGAAAGAAATTTGTTTCCTTGGAGATTACAAGGATGTGATGCCTAGAAAAGAGGGAAAAGAGTAGAAAGGACTTGAGAAAAGAGTAACAAGAGCTCCCAAGATGTTTAGGCTTTCATCAATAATATAGGCCAGGCACAGTGGCTCATGCCTGTAATCCCAACACTTTGGGAGGCCGTGGTGGGTGGATCACTTGAGGCCAGGCGTTCGAGACCAGCCTCGCCAACATGGTGAAACCCCATCTCTACTAAAAATAAAAATAAAAAATAAAAAAATTAGCCGGGAGTGGTGGCGTGTGCCTATCATCCCAGCTACTGAGGAGACTGAGGCATGAGAATCGCTTGACCCCGAGAGGCAGAGGATGTAGTGAGCTGAGATCATGCTACTGTACTCCAGCCTGGGTGACAGAGCAAGACTCTGTCAAAATTAATAATAATAATATACAGAAGACTCTGTCTTCCTGAAACAGCTTCTCATTCCCTTTGCTTATAACTTCCCATTTCTTCTACCTCAAATGGCTTTCCTTAGATGAAAGCTCTTCCTTCTTCTTTATTGATCCATGTCCTTCTTTCAAAAGAGATGCTTGACTCTCAGCACTCCCAAGAAGCCTTTACACACATTCAAACCAATTCCTTCTGGCCCTAAAAATGTAGAAGGTGGCTGGAACTCAAAAATAAGCCTATAGCTAAGGTTGCAGCTTAGATCTAAGTCAAGGATCAGCAAACCGTAGCCCATAAGCCATGTCCAGCCCACTACCTGCCTTTGTACAGCCCATGAACTAAAAATGGATTTTCCATCTATAAATGGTTGGGGGAAAAAAACAAAGGAAAAGTAATATTGCATGACATGAAAATCACACGAACTTCACATATCAATATCCATAAATAAAGGTTTATTGGAATGCAGCCATGCTTATTTGTTTATATATTGTTTATGGCTGCTTTCACACTACAGTGGCAAAACTTATTATCTATAAGAGACAGTATAGTCACAAAGCCTAAAATATTTACTATCTGGCCCTTAACAGAAAAAAATTTGCTGATTCCTGATCTATGACATTGAAAGAGTTAGAGATGTTAAATAGGAACATGTCAAAGAAATGAATTTCAGGCAAACCAACAAAGGCTATCAAGTAGCCACATTAAGATCTAAGTCCCAAAATCAAGACTAAGTGGTTACCCCTAGAAGCAGGATATAGGGGGCAGGAAAAGAAAAAAAAAACTGAAGTAATATACAAAGCAGACACTCTACACTTCGGAAGTGTGGAGGTAATATCTGTGCTGCACACTGCCACATCCCTGTACCTAGCCCACATCTTAGTGCTGGGCAGGTGCCCATTAACTAGTTCTAGAATGAATGAAGTAGAAGAGAGGAAGGAGAAACATAAAGCAAATGAAACAAGCATTGCATAGGGTTGGGGATAAAAGAGGGTCCCCAACAACCACCTGAAGTTTGTCTTCCCTGTGTAATATGTCACAGGTTCTCAAAAGTTAGCAGAAACCTCCATTTGGGAAGCTAAGTGTGTGCCCAAGAGACTGAAGAAATGACTAAATAACTATGGTAACTACCCCGATGCCCATTCAAGGTCACCTTTTCCACCCCTTCCTCAGTCACCAGATGCAAATATATTTAGTCCAGAGAATAAATTCAGACGAGATTAGCAAGGGGAAGGAAATCACATATAAAGCTCATGAAATAAACAGCGCCACTTGTCACTGCTGATCTTTGATTAACTGGCTCTTCTTTCCGAAACAGGGCCTCCTTTTCTTCTTTTTCTCTCTCTGTCTTTCTCTTTGTTTTCAGGTGACACCCACACATATCCTTCAGTGTTGGCAGAGATGCTCACTCAGATAACAACTGGAGTTCATGCTGCACATTTTCATCTTCGTGTGTCATCATCACCATGTAAAACCACAACTATAGGAAAACAAAGCTGTTTGCTGCTCTTCTTCTCAACTGACATTTCCACCCAGCTCATGATTTGTTCTTTGGAGCCAGAGGAGAGTTTCAATTTATCACTGAGATAGCTCTGCCTGATGAAGTGAGAGTAAAATCCAGTCCACTTCCACCCTGAAATCCATTCACCTTTCTTCAACTTTTTGTCCCTTCAAATTCCTAGCATTCAAGGGTCTTTCACAGAGTTTCAACAGGCAAATCAGATAGGAAAATGAGCTTCGGGAAGCACACATTCTGGCCCTGAGAGTTGCACCAAGAATGAGGTCAGCTTTGAAGAGCTGATATATTCTTTGATCACCTCAAGCAATTTATCATCTCAAGCAATTTTCAAGTGTTGGGCCCGGTGTCAACACCCTGAAATGAACAAAAGTCACTCTGAGAAATTGTGTGACCTTCTGCTCTGGACAGTGGCCTAGGTTTCCAAGTGCTAGGATCCTGTGAATCTTCAAAGAGAAAGCACATATTTCTTCTGGGTTGCCAAATCAGAGAAAGCTGAGAGGCCCCACCATTCACATGTGTTCTTGAAGGGGTATGATCCCAGTTCACTGCAGCCTCAGCCTCCTAAGTAGCTGGGACTACAGGCCTGCACCATCACGTCTGGCTAATTTTTTTTTTTAATACAGACAGGGTCTCCCTATGTTGTTCAAGCTGGTCTTGAACTCCTAGACTCAAGTGATCCTCCTGCATTAGCCTCCCAAAGTGCTGACATTACAGGCATGAGTGACCGTGCCCAGCCCCAAACTTTCTTATGAGCACCACTGTCAAAAAGTCAAGAGTTAGGCCTCAGTTTAGGAAACACAGACAGACATTAGAAGCAAAGTTACCAGACAAGGTTCTGGTCTGCTTTCCAGACCATCCCATTTGCTGCTGCATAGTGTGATGGTTAGGTCCCCATTACAATGAATCCAGAAGCTTCTTTAATTTTTTCTCACCTATCCATTATCTCTGATACCGACAAGATGGGAGAGAAGAAAGGGTATTGCTTTAAAAGGGAATCAATCTGTTTTATCATACTGGAGGGAAAAAGTGAATTCGGGGTTGTGGGCAATTACAATATTCACCCAGTTGGGTAGCTAGAATGTTGTGGGAGGTGTTAGGTGAAGCGAAGTTTGCATTTTATTTTGTTTTGAACTTGAGTTTCAAAGTACTAGAACCTTTTTACAGAACTGGGTTACATTATTTTTATTAGCATGGTAAAGGAGTGCTTATTGAGCAGATTCATTTAATGGCTTTTTTTTTTTTACCCATCTCGTTCCTTTCCAATTGATTTGATTTGTCTTATTGAACTATCCATGAGTAACCAGCTGAGTTCAGTCTTTCTTGGAGTAGTAAGAGACATATAAGCTCATCTTTTTCAAGTTTAATTACCTTTATTAAGTTTAATAAGCTTCATTTCACCAAAGAAAAGAATCAGTTTAGAGATGAACTCATTGCACACCAATTTAATTGACTCTGAGTCACCTTCAGAGTAAAATTTCAACGAAGGAAACAGAAGGTGCTACATGAATTATTAGACCAGCTCTTGTGTCTGTTGTTCAAGCGCCTTTCCCTTCCCCTACCCAGAAGATGATAGGGGTGTGTGTGTGTGTGTGTGGGTCTGTGTGTGTGTGTGTGTGTGTGTGTGTGTGTGCTATTAGAGTGTTCAGCTATGATATGAGTATGACAGGTGAAGAAGTTGAAATTTTCTGTCCCCAGCATTTCCATTTGTGAGCACTTTTTGAATCAGAGCCAGAGAAGGCATTTATAGAATTTGTTGGGGGTAAAATCACCCCAGAAAAAAGAGTAGCAGGTCAGTAGTAGGATGGGATTTTAACATTTTAGACAAAGACAACATTTTCAGAAGTCTTAAACTAAAGATATGTTTAAGATATAGCCAATACTCCATTAAGAGGGAATTTGGGGACTTCAATGGAAAATCAACTTACTCCTGACAGTGGCTGAGTTGGCATGACTTTTCTAACAGTACTGGTTTTCCTCACTGCACAAAAATTTCTAAAACGTAAATGAACTTATATTCATCAGATTTTCTTTCACTAGATTTGGCTGTGTATATATTTTACCTCCTGTTTTTTTAATAAAATGAATTTTTGAACTTCTTAAGAGGAAAGTAGAAAATAGAACTGGCTTTCTCCCTCTCAAAGTATGATTATAACATTTAGACTCACCGTTAATTCATAAGGCCATGTAAAACTCATTCACTCAGTCAATAAATATTTATTATATACCAGGCACTGCTCTGGGCACTGGAGATACAGCAAGAAACAAAGCAAAGTTACTTGCCTCATGAAGCTTATAAACTACAAATAAATAAGAAAAATGTCTAATGTAAGAGATGGTAAAATGCTATGGAGAAAAATAAGCAAGGAAAGCAGACAGGGTGTGGGGTAGTTTAACTAGGGGAGAAGATGACACTTGAGCAAGGACCTGAAGGGTGACGAGGCAAGCCAGGTCATCTACAGAAGGACATTCTAGACAGAGTAAACAGGACATGTAAAGGCCCTGAGGTAGGAACATGCCTGTGATGGTTGAGTATTCCTGATACATTCCTATATGTCAGAAAGTATGCATATATCTATAGGAAAGAGAGACTTTCTGAGCCTCAAATGGCCTTGCAGATAACACAGACTCCCTCACCCCAGGTCTTGAGAGAGTGTGTGTCACTCTCTTTGACCTGGATTATTAATAAGTCTATAGCAATCAAGATCCTGGTTCTGGGTCCTTTATTGGCACCATCTCTAATCTCCAGCATGTAGTTGAATTTAACACTTTGGGATCAGTATCCAGGTCTGGTATAGTTCCCAGCTGGCAGTGCAAATGGCTGGGATAAGGGATCAGACATGCATTTAACCATCAATACCCTCATTAAAATAGCCATGAGGACCGGTGGCTCAGTTAGTTAACCCGAGGGACTGATGGGGTCAAGGCTGAAGTTGGATCTCTGTCAAACTTCTCAGCATTCACATGACACAGAACACATAGGTAAGCCTAGCCTGACATCTCAAAGAGGTCAGCCATTGGTCTGATAAGAAATTGTGACTGAAGTCAAGCAAACAAACCAGAAACGTACCCTGCTTGAAGTGAAATTAGTATTTGAAAGTCTAGCTTTTTCAAAAAAGGCTAAACTGGAGATTTATACAAGGATTTACCCCACACCTCTTTTAAATAGCAAGTTCTATCCAAATTCCTTGCCAAAGCGAAGCATATCTATTCTGAAAGCATATCTTTCTTAATACCAAAAGACAATATTAAAGTACAAATTTAAAGCAGACATATAGTAGTTTAGTAATTTTATCACTGAATATGTAGAACATAATGTACATACACTTGGTCTCTTTAAATTGGCATGCTTAACCCAAATAGGTGAGCTCACAATCAAAAATTATAGGAGTACCATTAATTATAAGACTCTTACAATAATAGCAGCAAATGACATTGTTTTCTTCATAACTACCATATCTGAAACTATGAAAGCATTGCTCCTACCACTGTTTTTGAACCATTTCTTGGTTCATACTAATAGTGAAAACGGACTTCCCTGTATAACATTTCTTCTTTGTTTCTGTGCAGAGTGAGTAAGAAACATCTCAAGTGTGATTCATCTTTAGTAGGCCTATTTTTCCAGTCAGAAAACAAAATCATTTATTACCATAGATCAAGTCTTTCCATTTAAAAAAAAGTATTTATTTATTTGCCACTGCCATTTCAAAAAACTCTCCAGCTCTGTCATTTTCAAATACAATCTGATAACTTGGATTGAAGAACTCTGTGTGCCCAAGAAGCTGGCAAGTGGCACACGTGCCAGGGTAAATCCAACAGTTCTTCAGCACCCAAGTACTGCTGAGTTTGATCTTCTTGGGACTGATTAAATCCATGGAATGGAAGCCCACTTAAAAATCAACCAAAGTACAGTATTTTCGATCTGGAATCTCAAGATTCCTACTCCTCCCTTCCTTCTCACATTAAAAAAAAATTAAAAGACCTCTTTCTATACATAAAAGTGGGAGGTGCCTTATATTTCATTACAAGATAAACTATTTCAAGAAACAGGAAAATGATGGAAGTTAAAAGGTCCTCATATTATAGCACCTCATCCCTGCGTAGTGGGTTTAAATTTGTGTTACAATATTCCCCCCTTCTTAGGCTATTGCCCAGTTTAATTTTTATACATAATTTATCTATATGGCAATAATACCAATAGCTAACATTGTATGTCGGGCATGCTACTAAATGTCAGGGATAGGCAGAGTCAAAGACAGACTTGGGCCATGCCCTTATGGAGATTATACTATAGGAAGAGACATTTGTAACCATTATCTCCATTTTATAGTTGAAGAACCATCATCTTAGGTGGGCAGTGACTTGCCTGAGGCTATTCAACTACTAACGAGACTTGAACCAAGTCTACGTGCCTCTAAAACCTAAGCTCCTTCAACACCTGAATTAACTGAAGCATGAACAAATGGTGAGGGCCACTGAAGGGCCATTCTTCAAGGTCCCCAGGCATATTCTAGTTGACTCAAACTGTAGGTAGAAAAATATCCATGGTCATTTCAGGGTCAGGCCTTACCCAGTCCCTTAAGAACTCTGATGCTCTCTTCAAAAGACACATTCCAAAATACTTTCCCATGTGAATGGACCTCCAAGGTACAGGAGCAGCTGAGCCCAGAGTTTTGGAGCTCTGAGCCCTAAACCACATAAAGTCCCTGTAAAGGAGCTCTCACCAGGGCACCTTCTGCCTGACCACTTCTGGAAGATTGTCACCTAATGCTGGCTATCTCCTCAGCACATGGCAAGAATTTCATTACTCCATTCTATTCGTCCTCCTTCCAAAGAACCTTCTTGGGACTCATCCTCATACTCTAATGAATGCTAACATCCCTTTTTCACAGTATTCTCACTTCTCCTATGGACGCTCTTTCCACAACCCACTTTGGATCTCCACACCGACATTAAAGAGACCAACTGTGCAACCCTGAAACATATGAAACAGGAAAGCTCCTACCTGGTCTGATTGGAATGAACTGTTAGACAAATAATCCTTCACAGTACTCAAATAATTTTGTGGTTTGTTGTTGTTGTTGTTGTTGTTGTTGTTGTTTGAGATGGAGTCTCACTCTGTCGCCCAGGCTGGAGAGCTGTGGCACTATCTCGGCTCACTGCAACCTCCGCCTGCCAGGTTCAAGCGATTCTCATGCCTCAGCCTCTTGGGCAGCTGGGATTACAGGTGCCTGCCACCAGGCCAAGCTAAATTTTGTATTTTTAGTACAGACGGAGTTTCACCATCTTGACCAGGCTGGTCCTGATCTCAAGTGATCTGCCCACCTCGGCCTCCCAAAGTGCTGGGATTACAAGCATGAGCCACTGCGCCAGGTCCCATAGTACTCAAATAATTTTGACATAAAGTGACCTTATTTCCTGACATATTCTTTCTTCATGTAGGAGAACTATTTTATTCTTTCGAAAGTATATTGTGAACATTAACACTGAAGTCTCATGACAGGGAGTGAGGAAAGCAACTTGGTTTACCTGATATTGCTTTGAGGGAATCCCTCATTTGACCAAATCCCTCATTTGGTCAAAATGACTAAATATGATCAGAATTCATAAAAGACAATGTCTATGTATTTCTAAACTAAAGGAAAACAGCATTAAATAGGAACTACGTGGCTCATTTCATGAGTGGGAGACAGTGTTTTAATGGTTTTTAAATATGTCTTCCTATCCCTCCCCCTACTCTAACTTACCCCGTTTAACCCACTAACCAAAAGATTAAACACCCATTTAACCAAAAGGAATGATTTCCTAGCCTTTCTTCTGCAACTAAAATGTCTGTGGATACCACACTTTGCTTGACTGAGATGTGCAGGTGAGTGAGAAAGGGAAGAGGCTCCCAGAATCCACTCCCTTTTTGTTTTCTACCCTAACTTCTCAGTCAAGTCACTAAGTACATGGTAAGTTGGAATGTGGGCCATGGCACTGTAAGACTTGGCCTGTCACAGGAAATCTCTTTTACTTCATTTCAGAGTCTCAAAATGATCTTGATATTTGGTCTAGTCACTCGAGAAAAATTGGCATTGGTGGCCCAACAGGGGCCTGAGGTGGCCGGCTGGAGATGGCGGTCATTTCCTATCCAGAGCAGTGATATTGAGCAGATGGGGGCTGCCAGCCGGCTGGCTTCTGGATAGGCGTCCGTGTCAGGAGCGATAGGCTGCGAAGTCGCGTGGTGGGGCATAGGGCTGGTAATGCTTGCGGGTGGGCCCGGGGCGGCGGGGAGTCATGTTCATGTAGTCACTGTGCAGGAGCCTGCTCCTCTTACTCCTCACCTGCAGGAAAGAGAAGTGTCAGTATGGAGGGACAATGTCATGGAAGGAGTTCTAAGACTGTGGGCACAACTATTCATAATATTAACTGTCAAATGACAGAGACACTAAAACACTAACCTTTTTTGAGCACCTTGGACTTGGGTAATGACTAATCACACCCAACTACTGACTCTTCACATTGAACTTGAAAAATCTCAAAGAAAGTATTTTAGAGAAATGCATCCCTGTTACTCTCAATGCTGTCATCTGACCTGAATTAAAAATGCACACTAATTAACATATCCACTGTTGATATGTAAATACACTTGAAGGCCCTTCCTCCTTTGACTAGGTTAAGCCTACCCACATTGTGATCTTCTTACATTAGCATTTGCTTAACAAGCTGTTTTTCCATAATTAACCGAAGAGGACTTTCAACTCCTCCAGAGTCTGTAATAATCACAAATTTGTAAAGGTGGAGTCCAAACTAATGGCAATTTACAGTTCTAGACAACTAGTACATTCCTATGTCTTTATGGGTATGTATTTCTACACTCATCTCTCTTTCATAGGCTTGGCTCCATCAGGATGAATTTCCACCAGAAGTGAGGGAAGTAAGGGCAATAGTTTCACCCACCATGAATCTTAGCAAAATTTTTGACTAAGGGTTAGGAACATCATTTCTGAATCAATGTGATAGTAAAATTCTACATTTCTTAACAAATGACCCAGAAAACATCTAAAAACAGAAAGCCATCAGATTTCTGGATTCAGAATTCTCTATTATGAAAAAAGTGCCTAGTTCCTGGCACACAGGCTGATACCTAAGTAGATAATGCTGTACATGAATGACATGATACCTGAATGAATAAATAAGTGAATGATTTCAGCCCTGGTTTTGTTTCCATACACTCCTGCCTGAGCACTTCACACCTTCCTTGTCAAAGGGGCATGAGTAAGTGCTAAAGAAAGGTTTGAAAAACGCTGACTTCCATGTTACTAAACACAGCTAACATGTTTTAAGTCCTCATCTTCTTCAACTCTCAGCAGTATTCTATACTATTGATAACTCTCTTCTTTTTGTGATACTATTTCTCTTTGCCATCTATGACATCCCAGTTTTTATCCTACCTGTCTTGTCACTCCTTCCCTGCCTCCTTTGCAAGCTCATCCTTCTCTAACCAGCCGTTAGAATTTCTCACTGCTTGGTCCTAGGCCTTCTTCTCTATCCTCTTTCCCTAGGCAATCTTATCCACATTCACAGCTTCAATTACCACCTACTCACCCAAATTTATATCTCTGGACTAAACCTCAAAGCCACTCTAAACTCAACATGTCTAAAATAAAACTCAAGATTTCCCCCAAATGCTGTTTTTTTTTTACCAGTGTTTCTCATCTGAGTGAATGACACTACCATATATACAGCTGCCCAAGACAGACCTCCTAACCTCATCCTTGACACCTCAAGCTCCCTTAATCCCTGTCCCAGGAGACATTTAGTGAAGTCTAAAAACATTTTGGATCATCACAACGGGGAGGGATGCTACTGGCATCTACTGGGTAGAGGTCAGAGATGCTGCTAAACATCCTACAATGCAATGAAGAATTGTTTTGGTTCTACATCCTTTCTGTAAATGAAAGACTAGAGCTGTCTTGAGCACAAGATCACAGCAGGGCAGGGGTGAGGCCGAGGAAATGTCTGTCCCCAGATGAGTGTAGAAAACAGCTGATAACCTGGGAAGCATTTTTAGTACTTACTCCAACCCTGAGGACTCCCTTTGCCAAACCTCCAAGTGTCAGCCTCTGCCTCCGGACACCCAAACCAAATCATAGCTGGTAGAGAGGCCACAGCAATAAAGGTGTCTTGATTCTCAGGTTCTTTACATTGCACATAAAATAATGAAAGGTCTGTTGCAGTCAGCTCCCATGCTTATCCTCAAGTGATTGTCAGATGGCAGACTTACTTATTATCACCCTAACTCTAAACACAGCAGTGGGATGAAAATGACAGATGCATGGCTGGGAACAAACACCACGCAGAACCTACAGCACCCATGTGCATTGAGTATGTGTGCATATGTGTGCAGGAAGTACCTACCCTATGTGTCTGTGTCATCTCCACCCCTTCAACAGTGAATGTCAGCTAATGATATGTAATTTCTGGACCATTCCTCCTTTGCCCTTCTCCCCATGCCAGCCTTACCCACTTGTTTCCTGGGAACAGCAGCAATACACAGGGCATATGCAAGGTAATCTACTTAAGTACGTGGTCTTCAAGAATCTACTGGATTATTATAAAAAGCAGACACTACCTGTACACACACTATCTACATTCCTCACATTATGATCTGCAGTGGGGAACATAATGTTTTTTAAAAAGATTTCTTTAGGAAAACGGGCAGCTTTACCAGCACAGCTGCATGAATGGAGAATTGAAAGACAGTGACAGGTGCTGGCCTGTGACAGCTTGACCAAAGGGAGCTCTTTATTTACTCAAATGTCAACATCAGGTCAAGAACTGAGATAGAATCTGCAGCTGCTCCCAGAAACCCGCTCAGCCTAGAAACCCACTCAACCCAGAACTGCCTACAGTAGCATATCAGGCCCTCAGGAAGTTCCGGAAAACAGCAACTTACATCAAGGCACGCTGCAGACCAGCCAAAAATAGGATCTCAGAAAATTACCCAGGAAACAGCTAAACTCCAGGGATCCATAATGGCCTAGATGCCCAACTCAGCAAGGTACTTGTTGCTTAAATACCAACAGCAGGAAAAGATGAGCCCAGAGTAAAAATACTATGTTATTCTACGAAATATAGACAAACTTGTATTTATACTCTTTTGGTAAGAGAGTACAAAGACCCAGGTTTGAGATGCAGATAAGTGGTAGTTTTTATTGGGTAACCGAATTGACTACAAGAGGCCACAAATGACAGGACTGCCCAATTCACAGGGGGTCTGTAAGACAAAGTAAAACAAAAATAAAATTTTTTTAAAACAAAGCAAGATGAATCTCACTAGGAATTAGTAGTACTGCCAAGGAAAAACCCAGTGTGTCTATGATGTGTCTGAGTTGAAAGTGAACGGTTTAAATTCATTGAAAGTGAGAAGCTGCTTTTGTCCCTTTGGGTGACTCAAGTCACTCAACAAATTGATGTCTCATTATAGTAACTGACATTCTAATGAATATTTATAATAAGTTTTCAATAATGAGCAGTGTCCTCTGGCCATTGAAGGTTAAAGTAATTCCCAAAACTACTTTCTGCAGAGCTAGTAAATTACTTTGACCTAGGTCAGCATATCACAGGGGAATGCCTTTCCTGGAGGGGTATCCAAAGGGCCACTGCACCTGGCCTTTAAGTTAGAAAGTTGAGATTCCCAATAAGAGGATTGAAAAGCCATATGGTAGGCATAAAAGCCAATGGCCAGAGATTAAGAAGAAACAAGAACTAAGAATTCTAAAAACTCGAAAATTATCAGCAAACACCAGAGGATCAAAGTTAGAAGGTAAGTTGGATGAAGATACCAAGATCTGGAAAGGTGAAAGTAGTCAACTAACATCAGAGGCAGAATTCAGGCAACATTTTACAATACCAAAGCCCCACCTTCAGGGTTGGGCAACTTGCAGAAGGCAAGCCAGGCAAATTCTTAAGATGATACCTAGTATAAAGAATTTCCAGGAACAAGCAACCACTTTGTTTCCTACCCTGCGGCAAGTACAGAGTAAGCAACAGGCAGCCTGACAAATGTCCATCTGAGCCCTAGGGTCTTCTGAACTGCAAGGAGCATGTGGGGAACAACTGAAAGGTAAGCTTTGGCAATAGGCCAAGAAGAGTCTAAAAGAATCTAAGACTGGATAATAGGAAGGCATGGCTGTGGATCCAGGTCTGTACCCGCAGTCACCAAGCTGACAGTAAACAGAATGACTTCATATGATATGGCTTTCAGAAATCACTGACCCATCTATGAATTAGGTACATATACAGATTATGCCTTAAAGATGAGTATCATACTTCAGGCAGACTCATTTAAATCCTTAATTTGACCTCTCTGGAGGTTATCAATTCATCAATCCAATAAGCATTCATTAAGCACCAAATGTACTTAATATCAAATGGAGAATATCAAGAGAAATAGTCTTTTGGAGACTATCAAGAGAAATAGTCTTTTATGTTTGAGAATACATTTCTCATTGAAGAAATGACTCATCCATGCATGTAACTTCTAGAAAAAAATTCAAAGACAACATGGAGTCAATACATTCTGTACCATACTATGTACCTAAGAAGTTTCTGAGTAAGAACAAGGGTCACTCAGGGGTACGTTCTTAACTGTAGGTGCGTTCATCAAAATGTGTTCAAACCCAGGCCAAAAATTCAATGTTGAGGAAGGTAAAGAAAAATACACCACATTTATTACGTAAACATTTGCAAAAGTTAGTACTTCAATTCAGTGGTGAGAGCTCAGAAAATTCTAACTCCCATTATAGTTTCATAATGACAGCACCATACTTGGCCTCACACAATTCAACTGCTTCAGAGGAGAAAAAAAAATATGACTCAGATAAACAGATCTAGTTTCTTTGCTAGGTTTGAATACACAATTTCAGTAGCCAAGTTTCTCATGATTTTTGATCAAGCCAACATTGTCCATTGGCTTCAGTTGCCTAGCTTCCCAAGTTGCCTAGGTGTTTATACATATATACGCATTAAAACTGTTTTATGTGTCATAATTATATTGCAAAATGGGGAGAAGAAAGGCAACTGCTCCTAATCCCTCCACCCTAATTTACCCATTTAGCTTCTTATTTTGCCTCACCACCTACTCAATGCCTTCTGGGAAATCTAACTCATATCAGATTTTTATCTCAGATAGAGTTGAACAAGCTAAAAGAGAACCTACTCAAGCATGGGGAAAAGAAAATCATCATCCTATATTAAACAGAAAATAAACCACATAGGCAAAATTCTTGAATGTGTTCAGATTTCATGTGCAGTGGAAAAGTTACATAAAAGCAGTGCTGCTTCTCTTACCCAGAAAATAATAAAGGCCACTGTTACTAGCAAGCTATAGCAAGCCAGGACTCCACCAACCACCACCAGCACCCAAAAGGGCTTAGAAGGTCCGGGAAATAGGGGACTTGGACAAAGGTGTTTCCCTGAAAAACAAAATAGAGTGGATTAAATGATACAGGAATAGCAATTGAGTGCATTTCCTTCCTTGTGAACATCAGAGAAAAATGTGAAAGAAATAAAAATATTAAACATATCACCAGCTTAGAGTGAATAGATTTCCTCTTTGAGACTTACCCAACCCCACCACTGACCATGATCTGGTCAGTTTTCACGACCACAGTTGAAAGCCATTACGTTAGGATGGTACACTGGTAGACTTGTATTCACTTGACTTTGTGGATTCTACTGTGTGATTCAAAACGGTGACTTCCAATGGCCTTAACCTAACTTTATCCGTTTCTCCCATCAGAAGATAGTTAATCTAGACCCTAAACTGCATCCTTGGAATAAGTTAAATAATATGCATGTTTTCAAGCCTTAAGAAAATCATCAGCCTAATATGGCAGTCAGAACACTGGACTGCTAATCAGAGGATAAATTTCTAGTTCCAACCCTGTCTCATAGATTATATAATGACAAACAAATCACTTTGTATCTTTAGGAATCAAAAGGGGATGAGAAGGAACCTATAGAATTCTATTCAAAATTAGAGAAAATTAGAACTAGAAAGCATACCAAAAATCCTCTAGTCCATTGATTTTCCATCCTAGCTGCACAATAAATTATCCGAGAAAGTTTGAAAATATACTGATGTCCAGCACCCCTTCCTCAACCCATATCAATTACATCAGAATCTCAGGGCTGGAACTAGGCATTGGTATTTCTTTTAAAACCTACTCAGATTTATAATATACAGATAGGATTGAAAATTACTAAGTACAGGATCATTGGTGTCCTTCTCAGTTCTAACATAAATGATATGTGTATATGTGTGTATACATATATATAAAATACTATCCTAAAGTAGCATGCCTTTCATATAGGAAAAAATATTTCACTCTTAGCTACAAGCAAAATAGCATAATTTTTTAACCTTTGACTTGATACAATTAAAATATTCTGTTTGGATATTACAGATATTAGAAATCTAAATAGGACTCAGCAAACAAAATATTCACACATTAATTGTCTCTATTTTGCCAGAACACAAAAGCTTATCTGCCACATTAACAATTCTTTCCTTATTTAGTATCCTATTTTTCATCAGCATGGCTCTGTTCCAGCATTGAAGAAAAACCATTCATTGGCATTATGCTAGGATTCAGTACAAAACTGAACATATGTGTTTCTTATTATCATTCCACAAAAATGAAAAGCTATGATATATCCACAAAGTATACCAAAAAATCAAACTTTACTTGTTGCTACCAATACTGTATTCTTCTGAGTTGGGGAATCATGATTTTTCTCCCTAACATTTAGGCAGAACATAACATCAACAAAAGTTCAGTAGACTTATTTTCACTAATTCACAAATACTGCTTAACAGTTGTACTGAGTTTTTGACTATGAAAAAGTTAGGTGACTTATCCAAGATCACACAGTTGATTAATAGCAAATTTTATGTCCCCCGGTTTCTAGTCCAGCATTCTTTGTATATTTTAGAAAATGGAAAGGTACGGGCTGGGCGCGGTGGCTTACGCCTGTAATCACAGCACTTTGGGAGGCCCAGGTGGGCAGATCACGAGGTCAGGAGATTGAGACCATCCTTGCTAACACGGTGAAACCCCGTCTCTACTAAAAGTACAAAAAATGGCTGGGCGCGGTGGCTCACGCCTGTAATCCCAGCACTTTGGGAGGCCAACACGGGCGGGTCACGAGGTCAGGAAATCGAGACCATCCTGGCTAACAAGGTGAAACCCTGTCTACTAAAAATACAAAAAATTAGCCGGGCATGGTGGCAGGTACCTGTAGTCCCAGCTACTCAGGAGGCTGAGGCAGGAGAATGGCATGAACCTGGGAGGCGGAGCTTGCAGTGAGCCGAGATCGCGCCACCGCATTCCAGCCTGGGCGACAGAGCAAGACTCCCTCTCAAAAAAAAAAATTAATTAATTAAAATAAATAAATAAATAAATATACAAAAAATAAGCCAGGCGTGGTGGCGGGCCCTGTAGTCCCAGCTGATCGGGAGGCTGAGGCAGGAGAATGACGTGAACCCGGGAGGCAGAGCTTGCAGTGAACTGAGATCCCGCCACTGCACTCCAGCCTGGGCGACAGAGCGAGAGTCCGTCTCAAAAAAAAAGAAAAAGAAAAAGAAAAGAAAAGGAAGGAAGGAAGGAAGGAAGGAAGGAAGGAAGGAAAAAGAAAATGGAAAGGTACTTTTACAGAGGAAGATTATGGAGCACAAAAAAAGAATTAATTAGAAATAGAAGTGAGTCTTCCTGAGTCTTAACCCATTAGACCCAGCTGTTACTTGAGGGCACCTGGGCTTACATTTTAATGGTAACCTCTTTTCTGCCATGATCCACTGGAATGGAGAAAAATGATCTGTTCCCACATGCGGTAACTTCATCACTTACTCTCCCGCTCAATGTCAGCAAAGGAAAATAAAGATATTCAAAATATAACCTTGAATCTCCTCTACAGTAAAGGGAAAAATTTTTCTGAAAACATTATTTGTCTTTGTTAGTATCAAATCACTTAGGCCTTATTCAACCCCACCACTGACCACAACCCAGTTTTCAGGACTGCATTTGAAAACCATTACTTTAGGGTGGTACACTGGTAAAGTTGTATGTTACCTTTCACATGGATAATGGTTCCATTGCTCTTCTCATTGTCTAGGTAAGGAGGAGGATACATAACTTCAATTTTGCAGAAGTAAATATCTGTTTGGTTAACATACAAATTCTGGAGGTAGAATGTCACTGATTCATTGCCCAATTTCCCATCACAGTTGAACCCCGTTTTTGAGTAAACCTGAAGCTGCTGGGAGTAATTCCCATATACAACACAGACTTCCACAGCACTATCCAGTCCTTTGTGAAGGGATGCCCGGAACTCCCTTGAGAAGAGATTGTAGGAATACTTGCAGCTAAGGTTGACCGCATTGTCGTACGCTACAAGCATGGGCGACTGCTTCACCAAAATCTTGTTTCCTGGGGGAAAAAAAAATCATTTGCTTAGAACAAGAATATAAGGATAATTTTTCTTCCTGAGAGCAAAATATATTAATTAACTAAATGAACAGATCTCCAGCAAAGGTTTTCTCTTGGCAGAAGATGTAGGACCTCTTCAGGGGATAATTATACTGAGAGTTCAAAAGTTAACATTTCAATATTATTTTCATCCTCTTTTGAATGGAACAATGGAGCATGTTTTCACCCAGAAGGCAGTACATGGCTTTCTGTTAGCATTGAGCACCACAGCTAGGCACTCACAATTTTTAAATCTATATTCCTGAGACATTAATATTAATCATGCATTGGGCCAATTTCCTGACTGAGTGATATATTTGGAGGTGGCTTTAGTGCCTGACACAGACACAAAAATAGATCTGTTTCTTTGTTTGTTTGTTTTTGAGACAGAGTCTTGCTCTGTTGCCCAGGCTGAAGTGCAGTGGTGCAATCTCAGCTCACTGCAACCTCCACCCACCGAGTTCAAACAATTCTCCTGCCTCAGTCTCTTAAGTAGCTGGGATTACAGGTATGCACCACCACGCCCAGCTAATTTTTCTATTTTTTTAGTATAGACGGGGTTTCACCATGTTGGCTAGCCTGGTCTCAAACTCCTGGCCTCAAGTGATCTGACCACCTTGGCCTCCCAAAGTGCTGGGATTACAAGCATGAGCCACCATGCCCAACCTACAAATAGATTTGTTTTTAAGTTGTGATACAGGTTTTTGTAAAGGAATTAAAATATTTTGAAACATTTTTACTTTGTTTATTGCCCATTGCAAGAGTGGGATGAAGAGATAAGAAAAAATATAACCCAAGAGTTTGCTTTAATGTGTTTTCTGCACCAAATTCAGAGAATAGCCTCCCCAAGAAATTCATAGATCTATTCCCTTATATCATGAAAGGTGAAAGACTCCAGAGGGGAGTTATCTCTCTGGTCCATCATCTACCTTTACTGCTATCCCAATAAAAGATCAAAGAATCTGGAGAGCATTTAGTTCAATCTTTAAAAGCAAAGAACCTGAAACTAGTTTATCAACTCCATAAGTGAAGAGAACACATTGATCTCATTTCCCATGGTATCCTCATTGTTGGCACAGGACAATATTATTTCTTTTTTTTTTTCTTTTCTAATGATTGTATAAGGCCTAGAAACATTAGCTGGTTTGTCTGAAGTCACCAAACAAATGGTGAGCAAAGCCAGAACTAAAACCCAAGTTGGCTATGACCACCTGAGAAATAGACCACTGAAGCACTGAGAAACTGGGAATCAACTTTGCAACCAAGACACCTTCCAAAATTTTTCTTTTTTTTTTTTTTTCTGGAGACGGAGTTTCGCTCTTGTTGCCCAGGCTGGAGTGCAATGGTGCGATCTCAGCTGACTGCAACCTCCGCCCTCTGGGTTCAGGTGATTCTCCTGCCTCAGCCTCCCGAGTAGCTGGGATTAACAGGTATGCACCACCATGCCCGGCTAATTTTCTATTTTTAGTAGAGACGGGGTTTCTCCATGTTGGTCAGGCTTGTCTCGAACTCCCAACCTCAGGTGATCCACCGCCTCGGCCTCCCAAAGTGCTGGGATTACAGGTGTGAGCCACTGCGCCTGGCCCTCAAGAATTTTTCTAAAACAACAAACCACTTTGTGTCTTTGATTCAAATTTCAATGCAAACAAAAGCATTTTTTTGCTCTTGTTTTGGGGTATGTTAATAATTATTTACCTACTTGCATTTCTTTTAAGTTTATTTGAAGCAACATCCCGTATACCCACACTGAAGAGCCAAATAAAATCAGATTCATTTTTAAATGAAATTTACAATTTAACTGAATTTGAATTCATATACACAGGTGTTTTGTTTTGGTTTTGGTAAGAAGGAAATGGCATAGAACTAAATTAATAGTAGCTTTTTGTCTCCTATATAATCAATAATGCTGGCTGGGGATGATGGCTCACACCTTTGTGATCCTAGCACTTTGGGAGGCCAAGGCGGGATGAATGCTTGAGCCCAGGAGTTCAAGACCAGCCTGGGCAACATAGAAAGAACCCATCTCTACAAAATTCTTTTTAAAAAATCATTGCTGGCTTTATATCAAGAACTTTAAAATGAAAAAATATCTGTGCCCAAGTCCTCCCACTTCCGGAAATTCTGATTTAATTGGTCTAGGCTGGGGGGAAGGATTGATACTAAGTTTTTTTTCTTTATTTTAGATAATAACTTTATTGAGATATAATTCAGGTACTATAAAGTTTGCTGTTTTAAAGTGTAAAATTCAGAGATTTTTTAGTATATTCACAAAGTTATGAATGAATCACCACTATCTGATTCCAGAACATTTTCATTACTCCATAAAGAAATACCATACCCATTTACCATCACCCTGCTTCCTCCCTCCCTTAAATCCCTGGAAACCACTGATCTACTTTGGCCCTATGAATTTGCCTATTCTGGACTTTTTTTATAAGTAGAATCATACGATATGTGGCTTTTTGTGTCTCGTTTCTTTCACTTAGCATAATGTTTTCAAGTTTCATCCATGTTTCAAGTTTCATCCATGTTGTTGCATGCACCAGAACTTCACTCTTCATGGCCAAATAATATTCCATTGTATGGCTATACTACATTTTGTTTTTCTATTCATCACTTTTTGGCTATTATGAATAATGCTACTATGAGCATTTGCATACAGATTTTTGTGTGGACGTATGTTTTCAACTCTCTTAGGTATTTGCCAGCAGTAAAATTGCTGGGTCATATGGTAACTCTATGTTTAACTTTTTGAGGAATCGTCAAACTGTTGCCAAAGCAACTGCACCATTGTACATTCTCACCAGCAGTGAATGAGGGCTCCAATTTATCCTCACCCTTGCCGACACTTGTTATTGTTCATCTTTTCTATTATAGCCATCCTGGTGGACGTGAAGTGATATCTCATCATGGTTTGATTTGCTATTTCTCTAATAACTAATGATGCTAAGCATCTTTTCATGTGCTTATTAGCCATTGGTCTATTCTTTTTAGAGAACTCTCTATTCAGATCATTTGCCCATTTATTAACTGGTTAGGCTATTTATCTTTTTATTATTGAATTATTGGAGTTCTGTATGCATTTTTTATACTTTTTTTTTTTTATTTTTACAGAGTCTCACTCTGTCACCCAGGCTGGAGTGCAGTGGCATGATCTTGGCTCACTGCAGCCTCTGCCACCCAGAATCAAGCAATCCTCCTGCCTCAGCCTCCCGAGTAGCTGGAATTGGAGGTGACCACCACCACCCCCAGCTAATTTTTATATTTTTAGTAGAGATGGGGTTTCTCCATGTGGGCCAGGCTGGTCTCAAACTCCTGACCTCAGATGATCTGCCTGCCTCAGCCTTGATACAAGTTTCTTATCAGATATGTGATTTGTAAATGTTTTCTCTCATTCTGTGGATTGTCTTTCATATTATCTTAAAAGTTCCCCCACTTGATTCTAATATTCAATTGGGTTGAAAGCCACTATGGCCTAGTGGAATTCACCTGACAACATATTTAGAATCACCTGGAAAAATCTAAAAGCCTTTGGTTTTCCAAGGCCAATTAAATCAGAATCTCTAGGTATAGGACCCAGGCATCCATTCATATTTTTTAAGTTTCTCTAGTAATTCTAGATGGCAGTCAAATTTGAGAACCAGTGGCCTAACAGAGGAAAACTAACTTCTTATCCTCAAATCGGCCTCCACAGGTTTTTCCAACCTCATTTCCTCAAACCGAAGCCCTCCTAATTAGACCATTTAAGCCAACATCCCAAGAACAGACTGTGAGCATTCCTACCTCCATGCCTTGTCTACTAACTCCTTGGCACAGAGCACCACTCCCTTCTCAGGTCTCAAAATGATTACTATCTGTATCGCTCACTTGACATTTGAGTTCTACCTTTTAAACAACTCTTGTTTCACATGCTTCAATTTGCTTAGCTTTGGATTCATGTGCATTTCCCTTAGGCCCCTGGTTTCCAAGTCTCTTGACAGAAAGGACCACATGTTATGCTTCTTTACATAACACAGTATGACTAATAGACTCTCATAAAATAATTGTGGAGTGAAAGATGGTGATTCGGCTGTATTGTTGTTATCAGCAGCTAGGTTTGACTACCATCTCATTAAATCCTTTTTGGAAACCTGTGTCAACAACTTTAACTTCACCTATTATTTGTTCCACAAATATTTTGCAAAAGCACTGAAAAATAAACATGCAAAGAATCAAAAAGTTCGACCTGTCTTAATACAAACATCCAATTTGTTTTTTTGTTTTTGATTTATTTTGTTTGTTTCCTTTTTTTACTTAGAAGGAGTCATTAGGTCAGTTCTAATTGGAAGAGCAACCAACTCCAGCAAGCAATGCCTGCATCTCTCCTCCTTTTCAGAGAGTGAGTGCAGGTTAGGCATTTGTATTCTGCTTGCTCACCGCCCTGGGAATTGTGTTTCTATTGCTAATTATTTGGATTCTGTTTTAATGCACATTCAAATTCTTCCTGATCTGCCTTTGTGAGCTGATTTAAAGAAAAAGATGGGAATGAGAATAGGACTTCTTTGTGGAGACAAAAAAAGGGAGTGTGGGTGGGCTGGAGAGAAACCCCAGATGGCTCCCCAGTTTGACTCCCTCTCCCAGCACACACAGTGAGGTGGAGAGAGGGAAGGGAGAGAGAGGAAGGAAGAAAAGCTGTGGCATCTAGAGTCCAGTGGTTTGCTGAATATGTCCTGTCTAACTCAGGGTGTGACATGTTCCTAAGATGCACATGGGAGAGAAGAATTGATTTCCCAAAAATGAATGCCACTCAATTCCCGTCCTACGGCAGCTCATGATCTGATGGGGAAGAAAGATATAAATAGACCCTACTTTAAACATAGTGACACAGTGATCTGCACAAAACTTCCGGGGGCAACAGGGAAACCAGCTAAGGATCTCAGGAGATGACGGCTGACCTGAGTCCTGAAGGAGTATGCATACATGGATTTGACCAACTTTTACTAAGTAAAAGTTAGCCTGGCTAAGACGTGTCTTTGTGTTGGGGACTGGGGTGAGGTGGGAGAGTGTGTGTTTGGGCTGGGGTGAGTTAGGGGACTGTGGGGAGGATAAGACAAAGAGAGAAAAAGAGTAGTCTGGGCAAGGGAGATGAGGAGGGTAAGAGTGTGGCCGACTTGGGGAATTACAGCTACCTTCTTTTTGCTGGGCCATGAGTTACAAAAGACAAGATTGTCAGAGCAAGCATAGTTCACTCCATTAGAGAGCTTGGGCTCTCTTCTGAAGGTGATGAAGATCTACTGAAGGCTTTTATGCAGAAAAGTGCTAAGATTTTGCTGGAAAAGAGCTTGAAAACTATTTGTTTTCGATAAGGCCATTTGAGGAAAAGCCATCCAATTTATTGCTCATGTTTACTTTCCTCCCTCTTCTTTGTCAACATAGATCATTTTTAAATTAGCTGGCTCTCAAACACAGATACTGTGCTTGAAATCGTTTGCTTACTATGTGTTAACATGTAGCTAACAGCCTCCTAGTTTAGAGTTCAAGCTGAGTTCAAGGTTGGCTGATAAAATCTCGTTTCTCAATATTTATATCCTCATAGCATTTGGTCCCACCTTGGTTCATGTCAATAATTCAGAGAAGCCTAAATAGGAAACTATCTCACAGGACCTCAAAATCTCTATATGCTTTGCAAGACAGTAAATGAGAGAAATTTACTTTTGGTGCTAGAAAAAGATAACCAGTGACTCTAAGTGATACTGAATATGTGTGATCATTGTGACTTTGAGTAAACACAATAATTCTGATTTCTCTTATTTTCTTTTAAAATGGGGCATGTGTAAAAATGCACACCCCTTGCTCTATGAAGTAAAAACATGGAGAAATCAAAGTAGCTGATAATCAGAATATCAGATGACATTTGGCTTTGATATGTATTTTCGGTCTCTGAGTTTCTGAAAATCCACAGTACTTCAAATAATGTAAGGACATATTACAAATGTAAGGACATATCTAGACTCAGAAGAAACCCAAATATGTAGCTCCCTCGTCCTAACTTGTGTTTGATTTCTTTTTGCTTTCCAGTTCATGCTAGGAGTGGAAGGCATTCTTCTTAGGCTACTTGGGTATCAGGAGACCCAGCCCTTTCCCTGTGAATATTTGATTTTACTTCTTGTGAGTGTTCAGGTAAGGTCTACCTAGGTCAAACCTACTAGGTTAAAAGAAACATTGTCAACCCATCCATTTTCTTTGCTTACGTTATCAAAAGATTGGTCTGACTGACATTTCTCTAACTGAATTGACAAGTTGTTTTGAAGGTGAATTTAGTGCTTTGCTTTTCAAAGCCTTTCCTAGCAGCTAAACCAGCTAAAGGTGTGGAGACAGGAAGCACTAACCTCAAACCTCTTTCCCTCACAGCTCCTGCTTAACAACAGGCAACATGAAGAGTGAGATTGGAGGTGAGAAGGTACTTATCTGCTGCTTGTGAGCAAGGTACTGAGAGCTAAAAGATTTCCCACAGATAATCTGTGAATCTTGTGAAACAGCCGACTTCAGGAAAATTGAAAGTTGCTTGAACTTCCATGAGAATGGCAGTGGGTGGTGGGGAAGCTTGGTTACAAAAAAAAACAACTCTTGCCGTTTACACCTATTATAAACGGGTCAATTACCATATTTAGTAATGAGGTCAACCCTCTGCATAGGTGGGGTGGTAACCACCTCTAAGGTGTGGCTCCCAGCATCAAAGAACCCTGACCTTAAAAGGACCCTCCCACCAGCTCAGTTAATGCTTAGATTTCCAAAGAAAATGAAGCCCAAAATGCAATATGGGAAACACATTGGCTTAATTTAGTATCTATGGCTTACATTCACAGGGCTATAAAATGCTGTCTCTTATCTCATCTGAACTCTATATTCAACTGTGAAGTAAATAGGCAGGACAGTCATCTTTATGCCCATCTTACACATGGGGAAACTGAGGTCAAAGAGGTAGATGAGTTGTCCAAGGTTACAGGAAACATAAGTGATCCTTGAAATTTAAGCTCATAACTTATGACTTCTAATCTATTGTTCATTTCCTTCTGCCATGTTGCATCAAAATTTCAACACAATTGCAGTGATTGGTTCTAGATCCTCTCAAAGTTGGACTTGATAGGGAGGATGGTACCAGATGTCTGGAGTGAGGGTTAGGGAGGAGATTACCATTAAGTAGGGGAGTGAATGGAATGGGAAGAGGACCAGAACAAAATACATTTCATTTTCCCCACTATTTTATTAGAGTCTTATCCTGCAAAAAACCACACTCAACTGGAAGGGAACTTGGAGATGATCTATGCCAATTCCTTATTTTAAAGAAGAGGCTATTGGGGGGAAAAAAAGAGAAGAAGTAAATGACTTTTCAAACAAGGTCACACAAATAATGGAAGAGCTAAGATGTAATTTATTTATTTAGACATCTAGGAGTAATGTTTTAAATCATAAATGGACAGAAAAACAACTTTGTTCATTCAGCAAGACTGAATTTATTTCATGCTCATATCTAGAAAAAAATACATTTCCAAATTTTTTGCCTCTAATGCACATATACAAAACATTTTGCTTACAATTTTGAAGATTTCCTGAAGGTCATAGATGGATCCCAGATAAGGCTTACAGACAGTATGATCACATCAAATAATCTTATAAATTATTTCTGATGCACAAGTAATAATTATACCATTGAGATCTTCCATTCTAGCTTACCCAAGTATACAAAAGGGATTGAACATAGACATGAGTCAACACATGAAATCACATTTCAGTCTGAACTTCACTAGGAAAATCCTTAACTTCAGGGCTTTTGTGAATTACATTTGTTTGTCATAGTTTTTCCTTTTCTTTATCGTAGCACCATAGAGAAATAAAACGTACTGGGAAGCTAAAGAAGCAGTTAGAGAGCTGGAATACATGATTAATTAGCAAAATGTGATTTTCCTCCAGAATCTTTAAGAACTTTATCAGGTTCCATTTATGCACATCATAGTCTGACTTTCTTTTGCAGTTGAAAAATCAGGTTGTAAGATTCTAATTATCTTGTTTCCTTTTAAAAATTCGGACTGAACAGAATTTCACATGTTAGGTAGGAACCAAAAACAATGAAAGCTTCTACTTTCAGCCATTTTGCCCTGTGATATTTGTGAGCACACTGTGAAGGTGATGCTGATTTCCCTGGCATAGAAGAGCACCTCCCTCCTGACCACAGAGCTAGTTAAGTTACTGTAACTTTCCTCTGAGTATATTTCCTGTTCAGGCCCAGGATGCCCTTCAACACGTGACCATCTGACCACTGGCTCCTTTTCAGGCTCTGTAAGGGGTAGGCTCCCCCACAAGACAACCCGGTGGTTGCTCAGGAAACTGTGAGACAAACCGTGCTCCCTGAGAAGAAAGGGGGACTCAACAGTCTATGGCTCTGATAACCTTAGCTGGTGGCCTGGCTTCCTTCTGATAAGAGAAAGAGAAGTACAAAACATTCACCAGACTGTAGCACCTTTCACCATCCTCTCTGAGCTGCAATGAAGATAAAAACAAAGCTATTCATGACCTACCATGCTTTGAATGGACCCAGCCTCTCTCTCCCAGAAATTCATGTTAAAATGAAAAAATGGTAATAATAATGATAATAATGCAAGTTATGGTTTAAAAATAATTCTGTGGTCATTTCATCTAGTTTTCTGTTGACTGTTATCTTGAAAGTCTTCCCATTTTCACAAGAAATGAAGATTTAAGGAAAATCTCTTCACACAGAAAAAGGGGGCTTTGAATAAGCTTGATAAACATGCATATACAGTGGTCCTCTGGATCCATGGGGTGTTGGTTCCAGGACCCCTGCAGATACCAAAATCCATGGAAGCTCAAGTCATGCAATTGTTGGTCCTCTGTATCCATAGATTCTGCATCCCACAAATACTGTTTTTGATCCATGGTTCATTGAATCCAAAGATGCATAACCCGTGGATACAGTGGGCCAACTATATGTTGTCTCATTCCAGATCCCAAATGAAAACAGATGGCACACACAAAATTGGGCAAGAGTAGGAAGGTTATTTATGAAAGGACTGTTGGCAAAGGTGTGGCAAGAGCAGAACCACGAGGGGTAGTGCCAGAGCCTGTGACTTGCAGCAGCAGAATTATGACCACCCTTAGGTCGAAAGAGACCAGGGGACAGCGAAGTTACCAGAACCAGAAGGCAAGAGAGTTGTGTAGTGGAGGCCACCATGACAGAAGCAATGACTTCCATCAAGAGAAGCAGACCAAGCAACCAGCTTTGGCCAAGATTGTGTATATCACAACTATCAGTTATACCAAGCACATTAACTGTTCTTGACAGAAAGTATGGTTTTAAAACAAAATCTAAAGAGGTTTTAGTTTGAACAAGGACAAATGATTATAGGTAACAATATAAATAGAAATAGAATCCTGATTAATAAATTTACTAAAGGCCTGGCACAGTGGATTACACCTGTACTCCTAGCACTTTGGGAGGATGACACAGGTGGATCGCTTGAACCCAGGAGATGGAAACCAGCCTGGGCAACATGGCGAGACCCCATTTCTACAAAAAATACAAAAATTAGCTGGGTGTGGGGGTACCTGGCTGTGGTGGCATGTGCCTGTAGTCCCAGCTCCTTGGGAGGCTGAGGTGGGAGGATCACTTGAGCCCAGGAGGTCAAGGCTGCAGTGAGTGGTGATTGTACCACTGCACTCCAGCCTGAGCAACAAAGTGAGACCCCATCTCAAATAAATAAATAATTTAGTAAAGAAGTTGCTTTTGGTCAGCACTAATCTAAGCCCCACCTTTAACCTTTATTTGTGTTCCTACACAGGCAGACACTATAATGTAGAGGACACTTGTTCTTGTCCTCTTAAAAAAATTATTGTGCTACATGTAACTGTCAGAAAGTAAGTCAAAGGTCAGATAGTTCAGTAGCAAAAAGTCCCATATGAGCACCAAGACCTAAGGCATTCATTTTTGAGAGGGAAAAGTTATCAAAAACAATCAATGAGTACTTTCTGAGAAGAAATTTTGATGTGTCACAGAATCGTCCTTTGGTATTCTGACTTCTGCTGTGACAGCGTCATTCATTCATTTATTCATCAAATAAATAAGGGACTTAATGTACTTGATTCTTAGGAGATGGGAAGATGTAAAAGACAGAGCTGTTTCATTCTAGGAGAAATCCGAAGGCAGGTACACAATCAGCTACTCTCCGAAGCCATCCGTGGTACATGAACCCTTTAAAGGGTCATTGACAGGCACGCGAAAGAAGCCTTGTTTCCAGACAGGATGATTCTGGAGGCTTTTGTAGAGACTTCACATTTAGCTGGGCCATAAGGTCTGGGGCAAATTTAGACAGGCTAAGATCATGGAAATGACCTTAGTGTGAGAGTTTATTGGGAACTGGCAGAGTATTCCATTTATGTAGGATGGAAACAGGTGAAGATGGCCAATACCAGTCATGGGGAGCCAAGAAAAGGCACATAGATTTTACCAGAAAGGCCATGGGAGATGCTGAAGATGTCTGAGTTGAGAATGTTGTGGTACATGCTGCTTTGGGAAGGTTAGCACAGCCTTGAGGAGTGCAGCAAGCAATCTTGACTGCCCTTGGCTTGGAGCAAGGGAAGAACTGAGGCAGAGACCAATCAGGAGGCTGATGCAATAGCACTGATGTGAGTTCATAAGGCCTGAGCTGTGGAGGTGGCAGCTGGTATGAAAGGGTCAAACAAGGCATTGGTGCTCAGTTTTACAGACTGATGGTGAACAGGAATGGAAACCGACCCAGAGTTCACGCACTGGGTAAGGGTATGAGTGGAGGCACCATTGACAAAATGAGGTAAGTTAAGAGGAAATTTGTTCATCCTGGAGGAAAGATCCAGAAGGAGTTAGAAGTATAGGACTAGAGTTCGAGGAAGCCAGTTGGGGATAGAAATGTACATTAGGAAGTTCATATGTATTAGGATGACAGTTAATATTAAAATTGCTAAAAACCATCACCTGTGCTGTAACCCATCCCTACCACTCAGAGACACCACACAGCAATGCAGGATGTGAGTGCTCTGGGACCAAAACTTCCTAACCCAAAGCAACATAAACTCAGATGCAGTGTGACCCAATCCCTACCGTTCACAGGTCAGGTCTGCAATTTTCCTCTGATCTCCTAATGTTAGAAAGACAATCTAAGGGGACAACATAGCAAGAGCACCTTAACTTACATGAAAGTGGAACCCATACCAAGAGCCACCAGACAACTCCCCAAAATCAAATCTCACTATTCTAAAAGGTTGCCTGTAGTCTAAATAGGAGGTAACCAGGGAATTATAGCTTTCTGTACATATATATTATTATAGTAATTCAGTTAACGGATCAAAAGAAAACCCACAGGTATAAAGAGACCTCCTCTATTAATTTATTATTTTCTAAATATATGTTTTAATCTAGTAACCAAATTTGAGAGCCATATTTTCCTCCTGAGCCACAATTATCCTGATCCCTCATTCAAAACAACTCTGTGATGAAGACAACAGTACATTTTTCCTGTCTGTTCCATTCTGCCTAAATCACATACCTCTGAAGAATCTGCTCAGGATCACCTTGTCATATACAGAACCTCCAGGTAAATGTCATGGCCCAGAAGTTTAAATAATTACTGTGTTGGACCTTAACATTGCATAGGAAAACAGGAGATAGCAAAGGCAGCATTGCCCCCTCAAAGTCCAGCAGTCATTTCTAAGCACATTAGCAGCATTTAGGATCCTGGTTAGCAATCCCTGCAAGGGATTTCAGAGATGGCTGGTTTCTAATTTCTTGTATTTGCTCTATCAGGTCATAAGAGCATCCACAAGGGGATGGGGTAGTTGAGCTGCCTTGTTAGACCCGACAAAAGTTAGCTTTTTAAAAAATTCCACTTCAGAAGCACTTTTAAGCCAGAAAGTAGACCTGAGATATCCTCCAGCCCAAACTCTTCATGTATCAGATGAAGAAACCGAGGCCTAGAAAAGTTCTGTCACAGTATGATAGACTAATACTCCTAATCACATCCCCCACCTTGAGAAATCCTTGGGATTAGCTTTTGAGTTTGAAAAAAGAGAGGGCAAAAGAATAGCGGACTGGCCTCCCCAAGCCAAGGTCAAGCAACCATATCCTTGTTCCAAAACACACAGGGAAATGCTAAGATTAACATCCCTGACTGGAAACTAGAGTCCCGCCCATAATGTTGGGCAGGGTTGGTTTGAACCCTGTGACCCTGTGATCTCAGCCGTGAGCTGAGGTCAAGCCTAGCCATAGTGTGCATTGTTGAGGACTCAAGCAAGAATTTAAAGTACACATGGGCAAAGTCTTCAGAGAGAAGGCATGTATTACCCAGTAGCCCTTGTTGATATAGGTTTAACATCATGACCTACTCTGAGAGATTTGTTTGTTTTTAACCTCAGGTTCACCAGTATAGAATCACTCATCTACCATAGCTTCATTCTAACTTATCTCTACCCCTATAAGTCTCTTCTCTTCCTCCCTATCTTCTTAGAGATTTGTCCTCCTCTCTCTAATACACTCATCTCCTATGCAACAAATCTCCCTCCCTATCTCCTTGAGAAAACTATCCCCACCCTCTTTTTTTCCTCTCCCTCCTCCTCCTTTCTTTCCTAATAATACCCTTCTCTACCCTCAAGCCCTGCAATGCTACACACACACACACACACTCTCTCTCTCTGTCTCTCTCTCTCTCTCTCTCTCTCCCTCTCTCTCTCTCTCTCAGGTCCAGCACTTGGCTCCTTCCACATGTCAAACATACTTAAGTCACTCAGCCATTTGCAAACATTTATTATTACATGCACAAAATACCATGGTAGACATTTTAGGTGATATAAGTTCCTAATTGTCTTTACCTTATCTATTTCCTCTCCTTTTCACTGTCTCTGTTTTGTCCCCCTCCACTTTTTCTTAATCCTGTGAAGTCTTATCTTCCTTCTCCATGTCTCTGCCTAAACTCAAAAGTCCCAGGTGGCGTTTCAGCCAAATCCCAAGCCATTATTCACTCCTTTCCCTCTTATGTTTAATGCTATTAACCACTATCTTTTTGAAACTCTTTCCCTCATTGGCTTAGTGGCATTCCACTAGCCTCACTGTGTCCCCCTGCCTCTCTCACCACTTTCTTTGTCTCCTTCACTAGCTAACCATCCTTTTCAGCTGACTCCCATCAGAGCCAGTTAGTTTCCAGATTCAGCTCCACTCTCTGTTTTTCTACAGTTATGCCCTCTCCTTTCGACTAGCCATCCATTCCCATAACTCCAGCTTCATTCCAAAGATAAGGATTCTGAAATATTTTCTTCTTACCCAGGCCATTACTTCAAAATGACTTGAAAATAAAGTTTGAATTTCTGTTACCAGTATTCTATCCTTTGCTTAGCTGGATTCTCCGCTGCTTCACCATAACCTCACACATTCAGAGTTGCCATCTGTTCTGAGAACATGAAACAGTATTCCTGGTTTAATTTCTTTATTAATCCACCTTTTCCTTCCTGAGACAACACAGCATTGGTAAGAACATGAACCCCAGAGCAAGACCATCTGGATTTACATACTTAGTAGCTTTGTGACCATAAGCAAGATGCTCTACCCACTCTGTGCTTCAGTTTCCCCATCTATGAAATAGTATAATCATAGCAATCATAGTAACTACCTCATAGGACTTGGAGATTAGATGACTTAATACAGGGAAAGCCAGGCAGAACACTACCTGGCACATTATAAGTGCAAAATAAATGTTAGCTAGCAATTATTATTAATAACAACGTTCATTCAAATCTTGTCTACTGTCCAGTCTAATTCCCAACTCTCCATAAAGGCTTACCTTTCTACATTAATCTTACGAGTATTTATTTTATGCTTCCTCATTTTGTTACTAATTCATTCATTTCTTTCTTCAACAAATATTTATTGAGTAACTATATGCTTACAGCATTGTGCCTAATACAGAGGTTAGAAGGATGAATAAGACATGATTCTGCCCTCAAGGAGTTCATAGTCTAGTGGAAAAGAAAATAAATGTGTCAATACACAGTAATAATTTGGAGAAACTTGAGAGGGAAGGAAGTCCCTCTCTTTGCCATTTGGGGTCTCAGAGAAGGCTTCTTCAGGTGAGAGGTGTAGAGGACATTTCAGATTATAAAAATAATGTAGGCAAACCAAAGTCCTTTAGTCATCAAATAGCATGGTGAGGTAGTGACTGCCAAGTGTTATTTATCTGTTTCCAGATGTTACATCCTCCTATTATATATAACCTACTCAACTAAATCATAGGGGCTGTAAAAGCAGAGAGAACTCAGTTAACTACCTAATTACTTGTACTACACAATACTTGTGTACTGATTTTATATTTCTTTTTTTTGTTGTTGTTGAGACGGAATCTCGCTCTGTCACCCAGGCTGGAGTGCATTGACACAATCTCTGCTCACTGCAACCTCTGCCTCCTAGGTTCAAGCAATTCTCCTACCTCAGCCTCCCCAGTAGCTGGGACTACAGGTGTGTACCACCACGCCTGGCTAATTTTTGTATTTTTAGTAGAGATGGGGTTTCACCATATTGGCCAGACTGGTCTCAAACTTCTGACCTCAGGTGATCTGCCTGCCTTGGTCTCCCAAAGTGCTGGGGTTACAGGTGTGAGGCACCATATCCGGCCTATATTTCTTTTTATATTCTCTGAAACTCTGATGGAGATTAAAATATGAGAGGTTTAATAAATATTTGTTAAGTTGAGATACACTTCCATCAGAACTCCTCTTCCAAGACCACAATAAAGGCTGAAGTATCCAGAAGCTTCTTCGAGGAGGTGGATCTTTCACGAAAAGTCTAACATGAAAGACAAGTAGATTACATGGTGGATTGTGAGCCAATGAGGTGATTCAGATATTGCAGAAAGGGGCTCACAATTAGATCAGAGGCCAAAGTGAACTATGAGTGAGTAATTCTGAATGATACCATCAGGAACCATTAACCTGGTTATATTGTCAGCCACAATACCCAAGATAATGAAGATGATGACAAAGAAAAAGATGACAGTAATGGTAATGCAGAGATAAGGGAGCAGCTCAAAGTTAAGTAAGAACTTCTCCACCACCTTGCAGGTTCTCTTCCAGCAATGAAAACAGAAGCACATATAACCTGCATGGTGACACGAGACTAAATAAACATGCCTTTGAAATTAACATTGAAATAGTGAGAAGTCTAAACTCTTTTTTCCAAGCCTCTACCAAATGACTGAGTAGTTCTTGATCCTATCCAGTGCACTTCTCTTCTAGTGTTTGGAGTCCTCAAAATGAGATTAACAAGGAAAAAGTTAGACACTTGCATGCAACCACCTTTCTGTGGGGCCTGGGTTACCTTCCCCCCAGCTTCAGGCACCAATTCTCATGCTATAATTATCAGGCTCAAAGCTCTGAGTGAATTGTCTTGGTTTTTTTGGTTTTGGGTTTTTGGTGCTAACACCCTGTCATTGGCCAAAAACGGCCAAATAAATCACCGTAAAAGAGACACAGATATCTTAACACAGCTTAACCAGAGAGCCATTCAGTCAGTCACAAAACCACCCAGATGTAATTTTTCCAGATGCTCAGCTCAACTATGTACTGAGAAGAAAAGTTCCAGCCTCTGTGAAGTTCCATAAATAATAAATTTCTTGAAGAAAAAGGCAAACAAAAATTTAACCAACATGAGAAAGAGAAGAAGATTCTATCCCTTGCCATGACCTGCTGGGAAACAATTGTGCTTTGAAGGAGTGTCCGTCCTCTGATTTTTAGACAACCAAGTCTGACATGAATTGCGTATCCTCATCAATGCCTACACTAGTTAATAAAGGGCTTTTGTGTTAGAGATGATAAACCACAACAAATTTTCTTCTGGGATGTTGGTGGCATAAAAATTTTCCTTTTGTAAATGTCAGCACACTGCTTGCAGGAAATACTTGGAGGAAGATATCCACACAAGATAAAAGCCAAATGGTAATCATATGGCATTTCTCCACCCTTGAAAAAAGGCATAAGACGTTAAAAAGGAGGAGGGTCTATGTCTTAAAGAAGGGGAGGCAGCGAGATCCTCTCCCCACCCATAGTAAAAGTTTGAATGTGAGAGCTTTGGAGTTACAATCACAGATTCATTTCTATTTCTAATCTATCTGTGGCAATGACTCATTCCATTTCCTGGTATTGATATATTGATATTAATTTTGCAGTCCTTGCTGTAAACGTCCTTGCTGGATGGTTGCCTTAAAAAACACAATGTGTTAACTAGGGCACGGTAGTAGAGTAAAACAAATCCTTAAGCAATGCCTATACTTTTGAAATATCCATCAAATTTACTTGAAATGACAAAAACATCCAGTCAATTTCTTTTAACAGAAAAACTGGCCACAGCATATTGGAAGTCATGTAAATACGGCAATCTGTTGATTTTTTGACATTCATCTTTTCACCTTACTTTCCCAAGCCCAGTCTCAGAGCAACACTTAACTGTGAGAAACAAATTACTTCTTTCCGTATACAACCAGCTCAGGGGAGTCATTGGCTGAAGACTAGAGTACAAATAAAATTTTTAATTGCTTTGCTGATGACTTTTTATTAAATGTCAGTTATTTTCCTGCTTTCCATGCCTCTCTCAGAAAAATAAGCGCTAAGGGAAGGCGCTGGAGAAATTAGCTTTGTCCAAACTGGCCATTTTGACAGTTTTTTGCCCAAGTTTTGGAGAAGTGAAAAGGAATGATCTCATGGAAAAATAAGTGGTAATATGCTGATTTTTCTCTTCACACTGGATGATTAGGCTTGCTAAAAAATAGCAAATATGGCCTGAAACATGTGACCAATGTCAAGTATTTTGTGCATACCATCCTTCTATCATCAATCCCAGAGCATTTCCCTCTTAAGGCTCTGTAGTTCTGGGCTGGACTCCTATCCCAAAGTCCAGCAAAATACTCTCTGTGGATCTCAGTTGCACAATTATCCGAGTCTAGTAGAAAACATGCAAAGGGCTTATCTAAGTTAAGGTTTCCTCACTCTTCCTAAATCACACTTCTTTAACTTAGCCATAAATATCTCTCTACACTGTCATCCAACTCATAAGGAATCAGGTTAGACTTAACCTTTATAGAATAAATATTTTAAGCTATGCTGTAAACAAATAAGTTACATTATTAAATTAATGGAAAAAAGAACTATTCTTCATATACATACATACACACACATTATTAAATTAATGGAAAAAAGAACTATTCTTCATATACATACATACACACACATGCACGCACACAGATACACATCTCAACACAGGCATAACAGTGGTTTCTCAGACCTAGGAAGGACAGTTACACTTTGACCAGAGAATTTCCCTATCTATAATTTCTTAATGGAAGGTGTGTACAGAGAAAGGCAAAGCACACAAGAAGCTTTGCACTATTTGATTAGAATGCAGCATAATTTTTTTTTTTTTTTGAGACTGTTTCCCAGGCTGGAGTGCAGGGGTGCAATCTAAGTTCACAGCAACCTCCGCGTCCCGGGTTTAAGCAATTCTCCTGCCTAAGCCTCACAAGTAGCTGGGATTACAGGCGCATGCCACCACACCCTGCTAATTTTTTTGTATTTTTAGTAGAGATGGGATTTCACCATGTTAGCCCGACGGGTCTCCAACTCCTGACCTCAAGTGATCCACCCGCCTCAGCGTCCCACGATTACAGGCGTGAGCCACCACACCAGGCCAAATCATACATTTTTTATGTGGTCATTCTTTTCTTGCTCGTAAGTTTTCTTACTGGAAAAGACTGTAAAAGTGTCCCCTTCACTCCCATCTCTTTCCTTCTTCATTAGATAGCCACTCAGTATCAAATGCTAAAAGTTACTAGAAAAGTGAATTGGCATTTGAAAAGTAAATATATGTCAAAGTAGAAAACAAAGGCCCTATGTGTGTGAACTCTCCAACCACTTATCTAGCTAGTCCCCTTTTAATAAATGTTCTAAAGAAAACATACAAAGTTTTGAGTCTTACCAAAAACTCTTCAAAAGAGAGTGAATAAGTTGATGACAGATAGGTGTCCACAAAGCACATCAGAAAAGTATTTAGTGTACAATTACCAATTTTAAATAGTTTTCAGTCAGGGTAGGCTTCCCTTGACTGTCTAACAAATTAAGTAATTTTAAATATTCTTTAAGTTTGAGAGATCTCTTAAAAATAAGGTTTGACCTTTTTAAAATAAATGTTAAAGATTCTTGTAGAATATATTTGGTAGCTGTAAACGCTTGGTACCAGATCTCATTGCCAACTCATGTCTTTCATTATATCAACACGTTTTATAAATATACACAATTTGTGCTCACTGGTACGTCAGACCATAAAATAAACGGGTATATATGCAACTACTGTACCTCTGCAGATTGGGAAATTATACTCTTTGGGCTATGTACACTTAATGTTTAAGAATAACAACAAATAATGCAGTCTCTGTACTGCCAAAATAAGAAAGAAAATTGAGGATACTGGCTTTTCAATGTATCTTTCAGGGAAAAATAACTGTCCTTATTTAAGCATGACTGTTGACCCCTATCAGTCCAGTTTTTGAACCAAGCGGGGGCCTTTTTCTAACTCTGAGAACACGTTGAATGAGCATCTTACTCCAGCCCACCCAAGTAACAAATTCTTTCTGTTAGGAATTGTGCTTGTGATTTTCCGAAGTTAATTTAACCCTGGATTTACCTGAGTCCATGAAATTACAAATCACACCATGTTAGATGGAATAGCATAATAATCAACAACACCGGCACTGGAGTCAGACTAAGGTGGTTCAGACCCTGCCTCCTATAGCTGCCACCTGTACATCCTTGGGCAAATCCCTTAATGTGCCTACCCCTCAGTCTCTTCATCTGAAATGAAGTTAACTGTAATACCTACCTTCTAGTTACGAGAACTGTGTGCTGCTCAAAGTGCTAGATGTATTATCCTCCTCATCATCGTCATTGGGAACTTAAAGAATTTTAATCTAAGAAAATACATTTTGGCCGATTGTAAAAGAAAACTAATTTATTAATATTGGTGTTGTAGCAGCTTCTGTGGTGACTCCAGAATTCATGTTGGAACTCATTCAATTCAGGTAGATAGAGTAATTACAGTTCACATTTATCTTGAAGCCTGACTGAGCTAAGCCCTTCGCATGGATTATTTCATTTTACCTCACAATGACCTTGAGGTGAGGTTTATTATTATTCCCACTTTACAGTTAAGGAAACTGAGGTTTGGAGAGTTTAAATAATAGCTAAGCCTAAGCTTACCTAGTGAGAATTGGACCTGTGTTAGGAACATAGGCAACCTAAATTCAGAGCTTCCAGAGCCAATCTACTTACAGCAGCTTTCTTAAATTAAAAAAAAAAAGAAAGAAAGAAAGAAACGATACATAAATTAAAAATTATTGGCCGGGCATGGTAGCTCATGCCTGTAACCCTAGCACTTTGGGAGGCAGAGGCAGGTGGATTGCTTGAGCTCAGAAGTTTGAGACCAGCCTGGGCAACATAGTGAAACCCCATCTCAATTTAAAATAATAATAATAATAATAAATTCTTGGGACACTATCAACTAATAGCTAGAGAAACTAATAGCTTAGAAAATTTATTTCCAAGGGACTTTTGTTAAGATACTATATTGTAGTCTGAGAATCAATGATTTTCAAAATAACACATTGCCCTATTACAGCAAAACTACACTTCAAATGTTCAAATTTCACACATTGTTAGAAATTTAAAATAAACTAAGCCAATTGGAAGACCTCAAAAAATATTTACAGAAAGAAAGACATTAACATTGTTTACCTGTTACTTGAATTGAAGGGAATAAGTTGAGAGCCAAGAGCAGCCTGAGCATCTTTGTCCTGACGATGGGCTAGGGTTCCAGCCCCTCCTCCCCGAGGAACCCGAAGTGTGAGGGGAACTGAAAGACGCACCTGCCAAGGCCTGAGAGTCTCCGTCATCCACGGCCACCACCACCGCCACCATCCCCTTAGGGCACATGATCAAGGCACTCAAACCACAAGGCATCCTGACTGCAGCATTTCACACAGGATATAACGTTGTTTTGATGACTTTAGACTTTTACTTCTATTTTTAAAGACTTTTTTTTTGTCACTGAAAAATAGTCGGTCACTACATGATGGGCTTATGGGAATTATTCTTTATTGATGGATATCAAGAGTTGTGTAAAAGGGGTGCTTGAAATCCAGCAGAGATTAAAGGGGAGACAAAGTGTTCTTAAGAAGGAACAGGCCGGGTGCAGTGGCTCACGCCTGTAATGCCAGCAATTTGGGAGGCCAAAGTGGGTGGATCATTTGAGGCCAGGAGGTCAAGACGAGCCTGGCCAACATGGTGAAACCCCGTCTCCATTGAAAATACAAAAAATTAGCCAGGCATCATGGTGGGTACCTGTAATCCCAGCTACTAGGGAGGCTAAGGCAGGAGAATCGCTTGAACCCAGGAGGTGGAGGCTGCTATGAGCCGAGATCATGCCACTGCACTCCAGCCAGGGCAACAGAATGAGAAAAGAAAGACAGAAAGAAAGAGAGAAAGAAAAGAAAAGAAAAGAAAAGAAAAGAAGGAAAGAAGGAAGGAAGGGGAGAGAGAAAAAAGAAAGGAAGAAAGAAAGAGAGAGAAAGAGAAAGAAAGAAAGAAAGAAAAGAAAGAAAGAAAGAGAAAGAAAGAAAGAAAGAAAGAAAGAAAGAAAGAAAGAAAGAAAGAAAGAAAGAAAGATGGAAAGAAAGAAAGAGGGAGGGAGGGAAGGAAGGAAGGGGGAGAGAGAGAAAGAAAGAATAAAGTCTCTAGCAGAGGAGAGATTTTCATAGGATGGGGACAGGTTGTGTCAAAAAGATAATGGTAAGAATTCTACTGAGGAATTGGGAAACATCTGCATAAACGTTTAAAGGAGTTACAAATATTAGAAATGTAACATTTGTGTAGGACATAAGGTAGCCCTCTGGAGCATTTAGCACACAGTGCTTGATTTATGTCAAGCCTCCTCCAACTCACTTCTAGGAACTTTGCAAAACCCATTCTACGTGCAAGCAGCCAGCCAGCTGAGTATCTGGGGGAGGTTCCCTAAGCAAAGGGAAAGTCAAAACAACATTCTATGTTCTTAGTGGGACAGTAAGGCAACCAAAAGCCCCTTGGTGTCTCATGCTCTCTATGTCCCTCAAGGTTAAGTAATAGGGCACAAAAGGAGGCTCCGTGGCAGGATTTCTGAGATTCATAACCACCACCCGACTGCACCCTTCTTCAACTCCCAGGCCCTTTGCAGAGAGGGTTATTCCACCAGCACGGCCAACTGCTCTCTTCTTCCGGCACCTACGTCAGTATCTTGTACTCAATGACTTCTTCAAAACTTTTCCAGTAATTTTTTTCTTCTTTTTGATAATCTAAGCTTTGTGCAATTACTCTAGTTGGGGGTTTTGTGTATGTGGGTTGTTTTAAAAGATAACTTGTATTGCTTTTTATTCTGACTATAAAAGTAAGGCATATTTCATTGAGAATGTTTAGAAAAATTATAAGCATTAAAACAAGATTCATCCACATTCTTACCACCCTAATATAAACACTGCTAATATTCTGGTCCACTGCCTTCCACCTGTTGGTCTGTTAAGATTTTTACATGTTTAATATCATGTTTTACTTATAGTTTTCATCAGATATGTACTATTATTTGTTATATCTTGAACATTTTCCCATGTCATTTAAGTATCTTTATAAACATTATTTGTAATTGATGCATAATATTCCATTCTCTAATTATATCATAAATTGTTTAACAAACCCCTAGTGTTGTTACCTTTTTTTCTTCGCTATTTTAAAATGCTACAGTCAAACTCTTTGATGACCTAGCTGTAAGAGGAGGCAGGCTTCATGTCCCTCCCTCCTGATCTGATAAATGACAGATCAAAAGTATTTCCTGTCCTGGTAGACCTTCTTTGTTCACACTTCAATTTTCCCACAAACACAGTCTTTGTGAACCCCTCTTACTAACACATCTTTTGGTCCTTTGGAGAAATTTGTCCTTGGAAATGATTCACTCACACTTCTGAACTATAGGTAAGTGACAAAGCTATGCCCTGAGTCCTGGAGAAGATTCACTTCTAGAATTTGACACAGTCTTCCTGGCTCTGATCCTCTATCCAGTTAGGGGAACCCATGCCTTCCCCAGGGCCTGAAGTCTATCTGGGGGAAAATTTACAGATGGCAAGGTGACCTTTCCTAAAAGGTCATCCATATTCTAGAGCCACCAGCCTACCCAGATCTTAAAACAAGAGGCTCTGAGACTCATTATACATACTGAGAATATACACAGAAGAAACAAAGATACCCAGTAGTTTTCCATGATCAACAACAAAAGGCTAAGGAGTGAGTTAATAACTGTCTTCAAGCATATTAAAGATGACTACATAGCATCTAGTTAATACTATGTAAATAGTAGTAATCGGGTCAAACTTAGCTGAAAAAGAAACAGTTCACTCATCTGGCCTAATTCCCTTATCTTGCAGAGAAGGAAGCTGCAGCCCAGAGAGGTCAGCTCATTTATACGAATTCACAAAACAATAATTAAATATTATTGGCCTTATTATTTGATGAGCCATATTTAATTTTCTTTCCATAGAATAAAAAGAAACACAAACTTTGACATTTGCCTTCCTATGTTTTAACATGTATGACACTAAAGAAGCAAACCATTTCATTAGAATCCTTTCACATTTGCTTTTGAAATCCAATAGCATTCACATATACCAAGAGGTAGAAATGACAGAAATAAAATAAGGACCTTAAATCCGGCAATACACAGGATACTGAGACCCTACAACATTTTCAGTAAAAATAATAGCATTTCCATACTAAGAACTTTACATTCCAGATCTCATTTAATACACAACCTGTGAGGAAGATTATTATTATCTCCATTTTACAGATGAGAAAACTGGTCTGAAGTGGGGTTAAGAATTGTCAGAACAAAAGAATGTCATTTTTCACAGAATTTGAAAAAGCAATCCTAAAAATCGTGTGGAATCCAAAAAGAGCTGAATAGTCAAAGCAATCCTAAGCAAAAAGAACAAAGCTTTGAAGTATCACATTACCTAACTTCAAATTACATGGTAAAACTATAGTAACCAAAACAGCATGGTACTAGTATAAAAATAGATACATAGAACAATGGAACAGAATAGAGAACCCAGAGATAAAGCCACATATCTACAACCAACTGATCTTCAACAAAGTTAACAAAAATATATGCTGGGGAGAGGACTCCCTATTCAATAAATGGTGCTGGGAAAATTGGCTAGCTATATGCAGAAGAATGAAACGGGGCCCATACCTCTCACCATATACAAAAATTAACATAATATGCATTAAAGCCCTAAATGTAAGACCTGAAACTATAAAAATCCCAGAAGAAAACCAAGAAAAAACTCTTTTTTACATCTGCCGAGGCAAAGAATTTATGAACAAGTCCTCAGAAGCAAAGGCAACAAAATAGACACATGGGACTTAAATAAACTAAAAAGCTTCTGCACAGCAAAAGAAACAATCAACAGAGTAAGTAGATAACTATAGAATGGGAAAAATATTTGCAAACTAAACATCTGACAAAAGGCTAATAACCAGAATCTACATGGAACTGAAACAACTCAACAAGAAAAAAACAATCCCATTAAAAAGTAGGCAGAGGACATGAACAGACATTTTTCTTTCTTTTTGTTTTTTTAAATTTACTTCAAGTTCTGGGATACATGTGCAGAACGTGCAGGTTTGTTACAAAGGTATACGTGTGCCATGGTGGTTTGCTGCACCTATTAACCCATCATCTAGGTTTTAAGCCCCATATGTATTAGGTATTTGTCCTAATGCTCTCCCTCCCCTTGATCCCCACCCCCTGACAGGTCACAGTGTGTGATGTTACCCTCCCTGTGTCCATGTGTTCTCATTGTTCAACTCCCACTTATGAGTGAGAACATGTGGTGTTTGGTTTTCTGCTCCTGTGTTAGTTTGCTGAGAATGATGGCTTCCAGCTTCATCCATGTCCCTGCAAAGGACATGAACTCATACTTTTTTATGGCTGCATAGTGTTCCATAGTATATACGTGCCATATTTTCTTTATCTAGTCTATCATTGATGGGCATTTGGGTTGGTTCTAAGTTTTTGCTGTTGTAAATAGTGCTGCAATAAGCATACGTGTGCATGTCTTTACAGTAGAATGATTTATAATCCTTTGGGTATATACCCAGTAATGGGATTGCTGGGTCAAATGGTATTTCTGGTTCTAGATCCTTGAGGAATCGACACACTGTCTTCCACAATGGTTGAACTAATTTACACTCCCACCAACAGCGTAAAAGAGTTCCTATTTCTCCACAGCCTCGCCAGCATCCGTTGTTTCCTGACTTTTTAATAATTGCCATTCTAACCAGCGTGAGACGGTATCTCATTGTGGTTTTGATTTGCATTTCTCTAATGATCAGTGATGATGAGCTTTTTTTCATGTTTGTTGGCTGCAGAAATGTCTTCTTTTGAGAAGTGTCTGTTCGTATCCTTTGCCCACTTTTTATGGGGTTGTTTTTTTCTTGTAAATTTGTTTAAGTTCCTTACAGATTCTGGATATTAGACGTTTGTCAGATGGATAGATTGCAAAAATTTCTCCCATTCTGTAGTTTGCTTATTCACTCATGGTAGTTTCTTTTGCTGTGCAGAAGCTCTTTAGTTTTAATTAGATCTCATTTGTCAATTTTGGCTTTTGTTGTGATTGCTTTTGGTGTTTTAGTCATGAAGTCTTTGCCCATGCCTATGTCCTGAATGGTATTGCCTTGGTTTGCTTCTAGGGTTTTTATGGTTTTAGGTTTTACATTTAAATCTTTAATCCATCTTAAGTTAATTTTTGTATAAGCTATAAGGAAGGGGACCAGTTTAAGTTTTCTGCATATGGCTAGCCAGTTTTCCCAGCACCATTTATTAAATAGGGAATCCTTTCCCCATTGCTTGTTTTTGTCAGGTTTGTCAAAGATCAGATGGTTGTAGACGTGTGGTGTTATTTCTGAGGTCTCTGTTTCGTTCCATTGGTCTATATATCTGTTTTGGTACCAGTACCATGCTGTTTTGGTTACTGTAGCCTTATAGTACAGTTTGAAGTCAGGTAGCAGGATGCCTCCAGCTTTGTTGTTTTTGCTTAGGATTCTCTTGGCTATATAGGCTCTTTTTTGGTTCCATATGAAATTTAAAGTAGTTTTTTCTAATTCTGCAAAGAAAGTCAATGGTAGCTTGATGGTAATAGTATTGAATCTATAAGTTACTTTGGGCCATATGGCCAATCTCATGGTACTGATTCTTCCTATTCATGAGCATGGAATGTTTTTCCATTTGTTTGTGTCCTCTCTTATTTCCTTGAGCAGTGGTTTGTAGTTCTCCTTGAAGAGGTCCTTCACATCCCTTGTAAGCTGTATTCCTAAGTATCTTATTTTCTTTGTAGCAATTGTGAATGGGAGTTCACTCATGATTTGGCTCTCTACTTGTCTATTATTGGTGTATAGGAATGCTTGTGATTTTTGCCTATTGATTTTGTATCCTGAGACTTTGCTGAAGTTGCTTATCAGAAGGAGTTTTTGGGCTGAGACGATGGATATGAACTCATTCTTTTTATGGCTGCATAGTATTCCATAGTATATATGTGCCATATTTTCTTTTTTTTAATTTAATTTAATTTTATTTTTTTATTTTTTGAGACAGAGTTTCGCTCTTGTTGCCCAGGCTAGAGTACAATGGCACGATCTTGGCTCACTGCAACTTCTGCCTCCCAGGTTCAAGCAATTCTCCTGCCTCAGCCTCCCAGGTAGCTGGGATTACAGGCATGCACCACCAGGCCCAGCTAATTTTTGTATTTTTAGTAGAGATGGGGTTTCTCCATGTTGGTCTGGCTGGTCTCGAACTCCCAACATCAGGTGATCCACCTGCCTTGGCCTCCCAAAGTGCTGGGATTACAGGCGTAAGCCACTACACCCAGCCCATATATGTGCCATATTTTGTTTATCCAGTCTATCATTGATGGGCATTTGGGTTGGTTCCAAGTCTTTGCTGTTGTAAATAGTGCTCCAATAAACATACGTGTGCATGTCTTTATAGTAGAATGATTTATAATCGTTTGGGTATATACCCAGTAATGGGATTGCTGGGTCAAATGGTATTTCTGGTTCTAGATCCTTGAGGAATTGACACACTGTCTTCTACAATGGTTGAACTAATTTACATTCCCACCAATGGTGTAAAAGAGTTCCTATTTCTCCACAGCCTCGCCAGCATCTGTTGTTTCCTGACTTTTCAATAATCGCCATTCTAACTGGCATGAGATGGTTTTCTAAATATACAGTCTAAATATACAGCATTCTAAAAATACAGATAGGTTTTCTAAATATACAGTCATGTCAACTGCAAACAAAGACAATTTGACTTCCTCTCTTCCTATTTGAATACGCTTTATTTCTTTCTCTTGCCTGATTGCCCTGGCCAGAAGTTCCAGTACTATGTTGAATAGGAGTGTGAAAGAGGGCATCCTTGTCTTGTGCTGGTTTTTAAAGGGAATGCTTCCAGCTTTTGCCCATTCAGTATGATATTGGCTATGGGTTTGTCATAAATAGCTCTTATTATTTTGAGATATGTTTCATCAACACCTAGTTTACTGAGAGTTTTTAGCATGAAGCGGTGTTGAATTTTATCAAAGCTTTTTCCACATCTTTTGAGATAATCATGTGGTTTTTGTCATTGGTTCTGTTTATGTGATGGATTACATTTATTGATTTGTGTATGTTGAACCAGCCTTGCATGCTAAGGATGAAGTCGACTTGATCATGGTGGATAAGCTTTCTGATGTGCTGCTGGATTCGGTTTGCCAGTATTTTATTGAGGATTTTGGCATCAATGTTCATCAAGGATATTCGCCTGAAATTTTCTTTTTTTGTTGTGTCTCTGCCAGAGTTTGGTATCAGGATGATGCTGGCCTCATAAAATGAGTTAGGGAGGAATCCCTCTTTTTCTAATTTTTGGAATAGTTTCAGAAGAAATGGTACCAGCTCCTCTTTGTACCTCTGGTAGAATTCAGCTGTGACTCTGTCTGGTCCTGGGCTTTTTCTGGTTGATAGGGTATTAATTACTGCCTCCATTTCAGAACTTGTTATTGGTCTATTCAGAGATTTGACTTCTCCATGGTTTAGTCTTGGGAGGGTGTATGTGTCCAGGAATTTATCCATTTCTTCTAGATTTTCTAGTTTATTTGCATAGAGGTGTTTTGGTTTTTTTTTTCTTTTTTAGACGGAGTCTCGCTCTGTCGCCCAGGCTGGAGTGCAGTGGCGCAATCTCGGCTCACTGCAAACTCCGCCTCCCAGGTTCACACCATTCTCCTGCCTCAGCCTCCCGAGCAGCTGGGACTACAGGCGCCTGCCACCATGCCCGGCTAATTTTTTGTGTTTTTAATAGAGATGGAGTTTCACCATGTTAGCCAGGATGGTCTCAACCTCCTGACCTCATGATCCGCCCGCCTTGGCCTCCTAAAGTGCTGAGATTACAGGCGTGAGCCACTGCACCCGGCCGCATAGAGGTGTTTATAGTATTTTCTGATGGTAGTTTGTATTTCTGTGGGATCAGTGGTGATATCCCCTTCATCATTTTTTATTGTGTCTATTTGATTCTTCTCTCTTTTCTTCTTTATTAGTCTGGCTAGTGGTCTATCTATTTTGTTAATCTTTTCAAAACACCAGCTCCTGGATTCACTGAATTTCTGAAGGGCTTTTCATGTCTCTATCTCCTTCAGTTCTGCTCTGATCTTAGTTATTTATTGTCTTCTGCTAGCTTTTGAATTTGTTTGCTCTTGCTTCTCTATTTACTTTACTTTTGATGTTAGGGTGTCAATTTCAGATCTTTCCTGCTTTCTGATATGGGTATTTAGTGCTATAAACTTCCCTCTTAACTCTGCTTAACTGTGTCCCGGAGATTCTGGTACGTTGTGTCTTTGTTCTCATTGATTTCAAAGAACTTCTTTATTTCTGCCTTAATTTCGTTATCACCCAGTAGTCATTCAGGAGCAGGTTGTTCAGTTTCCGTGCAGTTGCACAGTTTTGAGCGTTTCTTAATCCTGAGTTCTAATTTGATTGCACTGTGGTCTGAGAGACTGTTTGTTATGATTTCCGTCCTTTTTCATTTGCCAAGGAGTGTTTTACTTCCAATTATGTGGTCGATTTTAGAATAAGTGCTATGCAGTGCTAAAAAGAATGTATATTCTATCGATTTGGGATGGAGAGTTCTGTAGATGTCTATTAGGTCCACTTGGTTCAGAGCTGAGTTCAACTCCTGAATATCCTTGTTAATTTTCTGTCTTGTTGATCTGTCTAATATTGACAGTGGGGTGTTAAAGTCTCCCACTATTACTGTGTGGGAATATAAGTCTCTTTGTAGGTCTCTAAGAGCTTGTTTTATGAATCTGGGTGCTCCTGTTTTCAGGGCACATATATTTAGGATAGTTAGCTCTTCTTGTTGCATCGATCACTTTACCATTATGTAATGCCCTTATTTGTCTTTTTTGATCTTTGTTGGTTTAAAGTCTGTTTTATCACAGACTAGGATTGCAATTCCTGCTTTTTTTTGCTTTCCATTTGCTTGGTAAATACTCCTCCATCCCTTTATTTTGAGCCTATGTGTCTTTGCATGTGAGATGGGTCTCCTGAATACAGCACACCGATGGATCTTGACTCTTTATCCAGTTTTCCAGTCTGTGTCTTTTAAGTGGGGCATTAGCCCATTTACGTTTAAGGTTAATACTGTTATGTGTGAATTTGATCCTGTCATCATGATGCTAGCTGGTTATTCTGCATATTAGTTAATGCAGTTTCTTCATGGTGACTTTATATTTTGGTGTGTTTTTGCAGTGGCTGGTACCAGTTTTTCCTTTCCATATTTAGTGCTTCTTTCAGGAGCTCTTGTAAGGCAGGCCTGGTAGTGACAAAATCCCTCAGCATTTGCTTGTTAAACAGACATTTTTCAAAACAAGACATACAAGTGGCTAACAAACATATGAAAAAATGCTCAATATTGCTGATCATCAGAGAAATGCAAATTAAAACCACAGTGAGATACCATCTTACACTAGTCAGAATGGCTATTAATAAACAGTCTAAAAACAGCCAATAATCATGAGGAGAAAAGAGAATGCCTGTATACCACTGGTGGGAATGTAAATTAGTACAGCCTTTATGGAAAATAGTATGGAGATTTCTCAAAGAACTAAAAATAGAACTAGCATTCAATCCAGCACTCCCACAACTGGGTATATACCCAAAGGGAAAGAAATCATTACGTCAAAAAGATACCTGCCCTCGTATGTTTAGCACAGCACTATTCACAGTGGCAAAGATATGGAATCAACACAAGAGTCCATCAACAGAGGATTGAATAAAGAATATGGGCTATAGCTATACATTGGAGGTATATATATATATATACACACACACACACACACACACACACGTACAAAAGGTGTATAATGTATACACACACACACATACACATACGCATACACACATACCATGGAATAATACAGAGCCAAAAAAATAATGAAATCATTTGCAGCAATGCATACACACATACCATGGAATAATACAGAGCCAAAAAAATAATGAAATCATTTGCAGCAACATGGATGGAACTGGAGGTCATTATCCTTAGTGAAATAACTCATAAACAGAAAGTCAAACACACATGTTCTCACTTAAAAGAGGAAGCTAAACAATGTACACGTGGACATACAGAGTGAAATAATAGACATTAGAGACACCAAAAGGTGGGAGGTGGGAGGCAGGTGAGGGTTGAAAAGTTACCTATGGGGTACAATGCTCACTATTTGGGTGGTGGGTACACTAAAAGCCCAGACTTCACCACCATGCAATATATGCATGTAAGAAACCTGTATGTGGCCGGGCACAGTGGCTCATGCCTGTAATCCCAGCACTTTGGGAGGCTGAGGCAGGCAGATCACCTGAGGTCGGGAGTTCTAGACCAGCCTGACCAACATGGAGAAACACCATCTCTACTAAAAATACAAAATTAGCCAAGCGTGGTGGCACATGCCTGTAATCCCAGCTACTAGGGAGGCTGAGGCAGGAGAATCACTTGAACCTGGGAGGCGGAGGTTGTGGTGAGCCGAGATTGCGCCATTGCATTCCAGCCTGGGCAACAAGAGTGAAACTCCATCTCAAAAAAAAAAAAGAAACCTGTATTTGTTTCTCCTAAGTATATATTTTTTTTAATTTTAAGAGTTATGAGGACAAAAACATAAGGGTATTCATTACCTTTCAGTTGCAAGACATCTAACATGGTGTATCTCTTTAGAGCTTAAATGGAGTCACTTAGGAAACCGTGGAGTGGCCCAAACGGCTCTGGGAAGTCATAATTAACTGTGCTTCATAGAAGTGCACCTGTATTTTTCTGGAGAAATTCCAGATTTGTTAAATCCACATAAGCCCTTGATATTCAAGGACATATGCATCACGATGAAACAAACAACTTTAATCAATCAATGAGCAGATTGAAGTCCCGACCACATTGCTTGTTAGAGAAAAATATAATACAGGTGACCAAATTCTATAGGCTGTTTGAAACGTAACAGGAACTAAGGCTGAAAATAAGATCCTGTGAGGGAGTTGAGTGAGGAATGAATCTCAGGGCCTTCACCACTTATTGCTCTCTGGTCAGGATTTTTATCTCCAATCCGAGTAAATTGCCCTCATTCTTCCAGGATCAAAGTAAACAGAACCTCTTCAAAGATACTGTCTCCAGCCACCATTGGCTACACACACACACACACACACTCCCCACTTCTGACCCATCTAAACCAGGTCTCCCTGCTATAATCTCCATTGCACTCTTTATACAGCGCACTGGGAATGCCAAGAAGAAAAAGTAACTACAGATGTGTTCGTGCCATTAAGTGTTTAATGTCTATGTCCTCCAGTAGACTATAAACATGATGAGGGTGAATCCATGTCTCTCTCATTTCCAGCTGTATCCCCTGTGTCTAGCTCATAGTAAGGGCTCAATAAGGCATTTACTGAAGGAATGAAACACTCCACCATTGCTCTCTGACCTCCAATCAATATGCCTGCAATTGTGAACCTTTTTCTCTCTGGTACTCTGGCCATGGTAATCTTCTCATCCCTGGTTTCCCAAGGATATAATACTAGATATAGTGTTGCTGAAAATAGCATTTTGCCACTAGCTAGGACATATATATTCCTGTCTGTTCTCTACCCTATATTTCTGTCTGAGCTGTGCTCAATGATACAGAAGACTCAAAGACCTAACACCTTCACAACTCATTTCTCCTACAGCCAAGGCCAGAGTCATGCCTAGCCACTCAGCATCTCCCTCCTCTTTCCCCTGGGGCCTCTGTGGTTCCCATCTAGACCTTGAGAGATGAGGAGCTCCCTGCACAGAATGCATACCCATACTCAGTTTACCATCTAGAATGCAGAACAGGAAAGGTAACTGACTTGGGAATTCCAGTAGCTAACACACAGATTTGAAGTCCCACAGATTTAGGGATCAAATGTAGTTGGACCACTTTCTAGTTATATAATAATCTCATAAAGTCACAGCCTCAATTCCTCATGTGTAAAATAGGGATGACAATACCTCACTCAATATATTGTCCATATCTCACACAAAGTGTAAATCTCCCCTTGCTTTTAAGACACAAAGAAAGTTTGATGAATCTCCATTTCACACTTACTGTAGGGGCTCAATAAATCTTTGTTGGAACAGCCAGAATGGATCCTTGAATATAGGTTCAATATATTTATGTGGATTGATTTTACTCTACAGCATGAATGCCACCAGAACCCGATTTTTACATTAGCATAGTATTCCTCCTTGATGTACAATCCTTTAATAACATATACCAGTATAAACTGCAAAGTATCATTGAAGAGTCTTTAAGAATTATTGTGGTCAAGCTGGTCAGTGAGAAGCCCCATGGCTCTCTCTTGTACACAGCAAGCCTACCAGGATAATATCTTCTTTGATCTAAATTCCAGCTAGAAATTTGCCTTTCATTTCAGTTTCTAATCTTCCCCCAAAGCTCTGCCTTACAGAGATTCGAATTGTCACATGGTGATTGTGGGGAAATAATGAAGCCTGAGACTTTCTGTTTGAGCTGTGTGGTATTATTCCAGCTGTTGCTACGAAAAACTTTGTCAAAAAAAAATAGACAAAGATGAAGTTAAGAAAGTCATGCATATTATCACAAATCAGCAGGACCGAAGCCTGAAAAAAAAAAAAAAACACTATGCTAAGCCTCAGAGAAAGAAAAATCAGAAATAATGGCCATATTGATTGACTAATCCCACTGAATAAACAAATATTGCAAAAAGACATATTTGCAGGAAAAATCCAAGAGGCTTTATCAAGGATTACATGAAAAATAAGGTGTTACATGAAAAATGTGGTTAAAAGTAGCTTAAAACAATTACTTAAAAACCTTTTGATCACTTAGACAGACAGGCCTATTACTACAAGTTATAAAAGCAACAGCTATCATTTATTAGAGGCATCCTGCCCCCAAGTACTGTGCTAAGCATTATGCATGCATTATCTCATTTAATCCTGATAACAACATAGGGAGTTGGTACTACTATTATCTCCATTTTACAGACAAGCAAATCTAATCCTATAAAACTTAAGTAATTTGTCCACAATGATACAGCAAGTAGAAAAGAAGAGATTTGAACTCAACTTTGACTCAAAAAATGGAACTCTAGATTTGAGTATCATGTGAAAGATAGACACGGTCCTGACAAACTAGCAGCTTGATCATGTGATTGATAGATAGTACAGAGGTTAAGAGCAAGGTTTTTACAGAGAAATGTACCTTCTGAATAAACAAATCTGACCTTCAGCCACCAACTTTATAAAGATTCAGCTAGAAGTCTATGTGTGACTTGCAAAGTCTTCCTTTACTCCAGGATATGATGCGGTTCTTATTATTTCCCTGCTGACTTTATATTCACGTAGATCCAGACAATAGAAGATGCAAAACTTGTGTAGTTGTGACATCATCTGGAGAAATTGATCCTGACCAGACCATGAATTTGTGTACTGTCAGCAAGAGAGATACATCATGAACCCAGGCAGTGCTGATCTGAGCTTCAGGACACCTCCATGACAAAAGGCCCACTCACTTGATCATCTGAAAAAAAGCAGAGAGGGAATGACAGATATAAAAAAAGTCAATTGCGGCCAGCGCAGCGGCTCACTCCTATAATCCCAGCACTTTGGGAGACCGAGGTGGGAGGATCACGAGGTCAGGAGATCGAGACTATCCTGGCTAACATGGTGAAATGCCGTCTCTACTAAAAAATACATAAAATTAGCCAGGCATGGTGGCGGGCACCTATAGTCCCAGCTACTTCGGAGGCTGAGGCAGGAGAATGGTGTGAACCTGGGAGGCAGAGCTTGCAGTGAGCCAAGATCACGCCACTGCATTCCAGCCTGGGCGACAGAGCGAGACTCCGTCTCAAAAAAAAAAAAAAAAAAAAAAAGTCAATTGCCATCATTAAAGGTGGGGGGATACTATCACCAATCATATTCCATCTAAATTATCATGACAGGGTAAACTTATAAGTCTCAGAACCCAAAGAGATTGGTATTAGGGAAATCTACACTTCTCAAAAATCCTGTGATTCTGAAGATCTAATGGTCTCACTGAGCCATGCTTTTTTTGGGTTCACTGAAGACCAGCTACCTGCCTTGTTGCTGACATTCCACAAAGGTATCAACAGTTCTGTGTTTGGCTGATTTTTTTTTATTTTTTTGAAGCCACTAGGACACTTGGATATTTTCTGGAAACAGGAATGTTCATTAAATATGACCAGGGTTGAGAGGGCAAGGTAAGGAATGTATTTCACTCCACATCTTGTATTGAACCTGATTTGACCCTCTCTGATTCCCTACTGTGCAATCAGTGGAATGGTAAGGAAGCAACCTCTGACCCCTTCAGGAACTGCAATCTTGTCCTAGCCTTGGGAAAACTGTCAGGCTTGGTTTTCCTCCTTTCGGAACAATTTTAAGGGCCTTCCTCCCCTAACATGTTGTTTAGTACAGCACCTCCAGGAAATAGAACTGTTAACTTCAACATTGCTCTCAGTGGTCTCTCATGTTACCAGGCCCCCATGGGAACCTTCTCATCCTCCCCCTCGCTGTATCTCCCTTCCCCCTACCCCTTCCCACCAGTTCCCACACTCACTAAATAAGGAAGGTCAATCTGAATACATCTGTCCACATCTCCGGAATGTCACAGAAGAGTAACAGCTGTTGACCTCTGTTCCGAACACATTATCCTGTTTGTCCCAAAAGTAGCTTGGGCGAGTTCCAGCTAATATATGCAATCTCTACTTCCTATGGGGAACTTAGGGCCAGCAGAGTATACTCCCCACACTTGCTTTTTGGCATTGGCATAAATACAACCTGTTTTCATGTACCAAATCCTATCATTACTATTAATAGTATTAATAATTATGATAACAATTATGGCCAAACTTTATCAAGCATTTGTTAGATGCTAGATATAGCACAAAGCTAAAAGCATCCCAGGTTTTTAAGCCTTAATTTTTCCTTTAAGTTTTAGAAAAAGCAGTAATTTTCTTTCTCCCTAAGTGACTATACTTCCATATCTTAATATATACACACACACAAAGCCTTTATTAACCTCTCATAGGTACAGGCGATAAAACTGAAGACTGTGTGCTTTCTCCTAGAAATATTGGAGGAAAAATAAAGGAACTTGGGGAGAAAAAAATACCTGAATCTGAGATGTTGCAAGATATCCAATAGTAAGGTAAAGAGCAAAAGTAAAGAGGCTACAGCCCAAGACAAGGTCCAAACAAATCTAATATTTGTCTGAGAATCCATCCAGAAACACCCATTAACACCGCAGTGCATATGATGTCATGTATACATTATCTTGAGGAAAATTCCAGGCTAAACTTGTTCTTACAGAATTTAGCTTCCATTATATTACAGATGGCTCAGATTTGGAATGACTGGTACTTGGCTCATCATTCTCTTCATTGAGGGGCCAGAATCAATAGTGGAAACACAAGGAAATCTCATCCCTTTCAGGAATCTAATCTAGGTTGACCTCTTGCACTGTTGTTCATTGTATGAAATTCACCCAGCTTTGCTATGTCAGATTGTTATAGAACTCTTCTGGAAAATTGGAATTGTGTAACTGGCCTCTAGGCAGAAAAAAATGAGAGTAGGAAGGCCTATAATGGCCTTGAAACTGCACTTGCTTACCTAAAAACCTGTGTTCAGTGACTATGACACAGCAGGTGTTGCTCTACACCATGATGCCAGGAGAGACTAAGGCAGTAAGAAGGCCCTAATTTGCCTGAAGAGGCTTCTCTGGCCAGAGGTGCTGAGTTGGAGGATAACGAAAACTGGCCAGATCAGCATGGCGAAGAGAGGGCCTTCCCTTCCAAGTAAAGTATACACTACTTGGAAAAGTTTTAAAGTGCATGGCTTGCTAAGGGAACCAACCACAAGGAGCTCAGTGTGGCTGGAACAGAAAGGACACTGAGGAAGGGCCCAGGAGGTGACAGGTAGTTGAGGCCAGTGACAAAGGACCTTTTATGCCTTGCTAAGCAGTTTGCTCTTCGTACTGAGAGCAATGAGGAACCCTCACGATATGGGTCAGCACACAGGTCTGGGTTGCCAGGACAGATCTAAGAGGCAGCAGCATATGAAAGCCAGGATTTCAAATAGGTTGAATCTCTTACAGCAGCTCCAACAGATTGAAATCAGCTGTCTGACTCACTGTGTTGAACAGGACTTCTGAAACTTCATATCAGTTCAATGGGAGCATAGGAAGGGGAGGAGGCGCATAGGAGATGGTACTCCTGGGACTCCCAGGTCAGGGTGAGAATAAAGCCATGAACCCAGATCAGATTGCAGGCAGCTCTTCCCCACCTGTCCCTTAAATCTTGGCATTTTTCCATTGTTGGAGTTCGAGGTGGCTAATAAATTACTCCTTCCTACTTGCTAATTCAGTTCTAAATCCTATAAGACAGACCAAGAAAGACAAAGGAGTCAGGCAGACAGAGAGGAAAATATCGCTGATAGAGGGCTACCCGAGAACGTGGCTGAGCCGTGCAGTCACAACAAGCACCCCAGAATTATTAGGCAGACCTACCCACCCATCACAGTTCTTGCCCAGAAACCACAGGTCCCACCTCCAGGGAGAGAGTCTTTACCACTAAGCTACCACATGGCCCAGAGCAGGACACTTGCTTTCTGCAGGGAGGCAGGTCCCCAAGGTGGGAGCAGGTGGCAGCAGGAGGCAGAGGGAGAAAGACTGAAGACATAAGCAGTAGAGGATAATTTGCAGGAGAAAAAAACGAGGCAATGAGAAATGGCCCTAGGACGCCAGATAATACTTTAGCATTCATTAAACAGGAGCAAGCTTCCTTTGAGACTATCACACTTGTCTAGGAAAACAGAAGTTATAGCAGTTATACATTAACTAGCGTTGATCAGGCACTTTTCAATTCACACATGTTATCTCACAGAACTACTGTATAGGAGTAATTATTATTATTCCATTTGATAGATGGAAAGATCTAGTAAGTAGCAGAAAAGGATTCAAACACAATCCTTCCAGTCTAAGATTGTAATCTTGGAAAAGCTGATGGATTCTTTGACTCTGGCTTCTTGCTCTTTGCGATTAAACCATCACTTCAGAATGAGCTTCCGCCAGACTGTGTGAATGAGTGAAAGGGGCATTATCAGAAACCATCGTTCGGTTTGTGTGGTGGAGGGTGGGAAGTGGAGGATGGGGGTGAGTGAATGGCCTCATTTGCCACCAGTGTATGTGTTCCCTTTTCTCTGCCACTTTGCCAACATCTGTTATTTTTTGACTTGTTAATAATAGCCATTTTGACTGATGTGAGATGGCATCTCATAGTGGTTTGATTTGCATTTCTCTGATGATTAGGGATGTTGAGGATTTTTTATATGCTTGTTTGCTGCATGTACGTCTTCTTTTGAGAAGTCTCTGTCCTTTGCCCAATTTGTAATGGGGTTGTTTCTTTTTTGCTTGTTGAATTATTTAAGTTCCTTATAGATTCTGGGCATTAGACCTTTGTCAGATGCAGTTTCTGAGTTTTTCTAGTTTTAAATTGTCTTGTGATACTAAGAAGAATTTTTATTTGATTAACTGGAGACAGACCCTGCTTGCAAGTTCAATTTCTAAAATACCTGAAGAAATGAACAAACATTTCTTCTTCCCTCTCTCTTTCCTCCCTTCAAGCTGCAGAAATAGAAGCATTTTAATTTCAGCAGAAGGGAGTGAAGGTGGAGTGTTTACTCTGGGTCCACCCTCAGACATTTGGGAAACAAGGCTAACTTCTCAGGGCTTGCTGGTGATGCTGTGTCTCTATTGAGAAATTCGGACTTCCTAAAAATAGCAACCATAAGGTGCTGAGCAATGAGGGGTGGCAGACAGGCTAGTGATTTGCATTCCGCTTGCAGATGTTGTCCCAGAGGACTCTGAGGCTACCGCCCAAGGGAATAGGGAGGGCTCTGGCTGGCTGAATGGACTTTCTCCAGGTCCTAGAGGTCAGAGTTTCGAGAAAATTATGTCCATTCTTTTCCCAGATCTCTACTTAGGGAAGGTTTATGGAAATGCACAATATGTACCCAAGATTGTGGGTTTGTTCTCGCAGATCTCTCTCTAAGCTCTCTAGATCTATTACTGTCTTTTTATTTCTCAGAAATTCAGTCTACAAGCTGGACAAAGTTATGTATGTGTTTCTGTGCAAGCATGAGGTTAAGTACTTATTGCCTTTTCCCTTTTTCTACTCAGTCAGTATGCAAAAAAAGTCTCATATGAAAGTGGATATGCGGGCATTTTGTCCCCAACATTCCTCTTACATCCACCTGGCAAGACTATGTCCAATAAGTCTGACAGCTCTTAACCTTTTTTGTGTCAGGGACCCCTTTGGTGGTCTGGAAGCCTAAAGACCCCTTCTCACAATCATGTTTTGAAATGCATAAAATAAAATACATTGGATTGCAAAGAAAACTGAAAGTTTTGAAATGTAGTTTTCAAATATTTTTTTAAAAACAAATGTTCATGATATAGTAATAAATATGCTTCATTAACATATTAAATCTAGCTATGGTATGATAACTACCATAATTTTTTTTTTTTGAGACAGAGTCTCGCTCTGTTGCCCAGGCTGGAGTACAGTGGCACAATCTCGGCTCACTGCAAGCTCCACCACCCAGGTTCATGCCATTCTCCTGCCTCAGCCTCCCAAGTAGCTGGGACAACAGGCCCCGCCACCACGCCGAGCTAATTTTTTGTATTTTTAGTAGAGACGGGGTATCACCATAGCCAGGATGGTCTCAATCTCCTGACCTCATGAGCCACCCGCCTCGGCCTCCCAAAGTGCTGGGATTACAGACGTGAGCCACCGCATCCAGCCGATAACTACCATAATTTTGAAGTAGTGGTAAGCATAAGTAATATTTTGAGATACTTGGAACAACTATAATGTGACATGAAAATATCTGTGATTCTATTGATGACAAAGTGACAAGTACTGCAAAAAATACTGTGGTTTGTTACTTAAATATATCATTGAAATGTTAAATTTCAGTTGGAGAGGATAATGAAAAGGAAGGTATAATTTTTTTCTCAACCAAGTTTACATTGGACACCTAGTTAAGAACCCCTGAATACATTAGTATATCCGGTTCCCATCAGCATCTCATCTACCCACACATGGATGGCACACACACATACACACTCACAAACACACACACGCACACTACTGCATTCCCTATGGTCTCAATACTGGAATCTGGCAGCATTTTAATGACAACCATAAAGGACACTTCCCAGATGGTTTATGCAGTGAAAGATCAAGGAGCAGAAAGGGCAAATAACATTGTAGACCTCAGTAGCAGAATTCTCTGTAGCCTCCAGTTCCAAATACTAGTTGGGTGTGGATGGCCGCTCCCAACCATGGTTTTCTCCTTTCCTCATGATACCTGGACCAGAATGATAAGCTCTGCAGTTTCACATGTACTTGTTTTACTCCCACATTTTAGATAAAGTCCAACATTCCATTCTACTTACTATTACTCAGCAAGGTAGAACATGTAGTATCTGAGATTACATGTGCAGTGGGAGGACCACACTCAAGCTCAGACCTCTTGCTGTGGATAATGATGTAAAGCTTCCTGAGCGCTCTGCAAACAGTCAACATCTACCATTTGATATACTGTCCTTGACAATAGATCCAAAAATCCTTAGAGGACTTCTGCCAGTTAGGACACACTCACCCCCTCACTCACTCTGCTATAGACTCATGGGCATTGTTCTCTAGCCTCTAAAACACCAATTTATTTTAGGCCTGAGGTCTTTAACATGAGTTTTTTTCCTCTAAAATGTTCTTCCCCTTTACTCATCCCAGGCCTTTTCCTTCCTCCTGACAGTTATTTCTCACCCCCTATGTACTTCCATTTCATCCTTACCTCAATATCTAGTTTATTTTTCATAACTGGCCACATAAAACATAATTATTTTATGTATTTTGTTTATTTGTCTGACTCTTCCATTAAAGGCTGAACTTTTTTTTTTTTTTTCTTGAGACAGAGTCTCACTCTGTTGCCCAGGTTGGAGTGCAGTGGCGCAATCTCAGCTCATTGCAACCTCTACCTCCTTGGTTCAAGTGATTCTCATGCCTCAGCCTCTCGAATATCTGGGATTACAGGAGTGTGCCACCACGCCTGGTTAATTTTTGTATTTTTCAGTAGAGATGGGGTTTCAGTATGTTGGCCAGGCTGGTCTCAAGCTCCTGGCCTTATGTGATCCACCCGCCTTGGCTTCCCAAAGTGTTGGGATTACAGGCACGAGCCATCGCACCCAGCCAAAGGCTGAGCTTCTTAAGGGCAAGAACCACGTCTGGTTTGTCCACCTGTGTACTCCAGCAGCAATACAATGCTTGGCACATAGCAGGCACTCAACAAAAATTTGGTAAGTGGATTAATCAATAGTGAGTATTCCCTCTTATAATAGGGGAATATTTTCTATAATATACAATGTACACTCTTGGCTCCTACATGAGAGCAGTCGTGGAAGGTAGTGAGCTGGGTGAAATATCGAATATTCAAAAGCATCTCTCTATTTTATGGACCAGAAGTGATATCTCATTTGGCCTAGTTTGTCTGTCACCTGTTGATCCAGCTGCCACAATTCACCCTACTTGTTGTGCCAGAATCTAACAACTGGGGTGGATAATTCTTATTCCAGGAAAGATGGTGATATGAAGCACAGAGCTGTTTAATCTCTGGAACCATGGAGTTTGGCACCTCAATGATGTTCCAATCCTGGCTGGCTAAGCACTCCTTCGGGCAAACTCTCTCATGTCAGTGTCATGGTACAAGTCAACTTTTGGGTGGTAGTCACCTTCCTGCAATTCACTTCCTTTGCAAGCCATTCATTCATCCAACAAGTGATTAATGAGAATTTTACTCAGTGATAGGCCCATTAGTATGGGCTGGGAAGACAAAGACAAAGCATTACCCTCAAGTGGCTCGTAACAGACAAGGAAACCAATGACAACTTGCACAAGGTGAGGTTCTACTTTCACATTGAGAGAAGCAGAGCACATTATCCTGGCTCATAAAGAACTACCTTTCTAAAATATCTATAAAACTATTTAAATGAACCAACCTGCTAAGCACACCCACAGATATGTTCATGTGTATGTGTAGATGTATGTATATATTCACATTTGCTGTCTCTCACAAGATCCTCAGAGTATCAAAGAGAAAATGAATCTCCCTCCCAGGGGCATATGAACCAGACTTTACCATTCAACGCAATTACTGTTGCTTTAAGAGAATGTCTGGAGCTGCTGCGCTGCCCAGCCCAGTAAGCACAATGGAACATTTTCCTTGAGATTACCTCACTCTTACTGACCCACACAGGAAATAATTATTTTGGTAGTCACCAGTAAACAGTGAAACACACTTACTTGAAAAATAAGCTCTTTTTGACCCTGCAAGACAGTGGCTTCACAAGTATGGCTGAACCTAGTTTCCATCCAAATTCAACAATTTTGTACGTAAATGGTGCCTTATTCTTGGATTGTGGGTTCCCAGATCCAGACCACACTTCAGAGTTCTGCCAAAATGTCACAGCAAACAGTGGTTTCCTTGTATTTCTGGCTAGAGAAGAATGTAGCATCAAAGAACTATCAGATTTCTTTCCCAAGATAGAATATGAAAATTCCACAGATGCCCTAGCAACACATTTAAACACTGTAGTCATGTCTGAGAAAGTGCTGCTGCTCTTTCAGACGTCAATCATTGGGTGTGCCGGAGAAATATGGCAATGTTTAAAGGAGTAAGTATCAGTCTTGGGCAGGATTTTTGAGTTGAAGTGAAAAGTCTAGATCTCCACTCCCTTTTCTGAGGCCTAATATCATAGCCCTTTCTTTCTCTATGTAAGCATAAGTGATGCCATTTCTGGATTGTATCCTTAAAGGGAAGAGGCAGGCCATATGGACTGGCAGATTTACATGATAGAAGGCACCTGGGTTCCAGATCCTTGGGCTGCCATACTAGACCTGGGCTGCTTAGGTCGAGATTTTTAGATGAGACAGGAGAAATCATCTCTATAGTAGTCCCCAAAAGGCTGCACCCTCAGTGGAAACTGCAGAGTGTCCCAAGAACCTATCTCTGAGAGAAGTAAGGCTACCTGTTGAAAACAGGTGACTTGGGGTAATGACACCATGTTCTCAACTAACATTGACTCTATTCTACTGAAATCCAAAGTCACTGAATTAGGATAAAGGCTTGACCTCCTTGACAGAGACCCAAAATAATAGCAGTTTAGGTACACTAGATGGTTTCCCCTGTCTCATCTAACAATCTGGAACTAAGCAGTCCAGGATCAGTATGGCAGCCCAAGGGTCTGGAACCCAGGTGCCTTCTATTGTGTAACTCTGCTGACCTCAGACCTATATGGCCATGGCTGTTCTCAGCTACATGTTGGGAATTCTGTTACTATAGAAAAAAAAAAGGATTGATTTGGGGGATAGCCAGTAGTTTGCTACAGTCATCAATTTTCAGATAACTCCTTTGAATGATGGACGAGACATAGACTCTTTTGTTGCAAAGCTATTGCAGTGTGCCTCCCTCCAAAACTGCTCCATTTATCAGACTAGCTGCACCATCATGACACACTGGTATGCCTAAGCAAGGAAAGGCTGTGAGAGTAGAGCTACTGTGTGTAGTAACCCCTGACCAGTTGAGTAAGCAGGGCTGTCCCTCCCCCTGGGAAACTCCCTTGCTGATGCCTCTGCTGGGTCTAAGAGTGTTACCTTTTTCCTGTAGACCAAAGACTCTGCTTTGATGACCATAAGCCCCAGAGGTTATTCCATGGTGTAAGAATGTCCTTGTCTCACTCTGTCTTCTCTATGGCCCTGATAGGTGAGCAATCTAGTAGTGAGTCAGAGACTCAAAGCTCCCAGGCAGTTTCAGCTTTGGAAAGGAGAGAGGGTTTCTCCAACGCTGAAACCCAAAAGGAGTAAAGTAAAAGAAAGGGGCTACATGGCAACTTGGAACTTTTGTGTGGATTTCTGAGGTCACTCCAAGAAATAGGTTATGTCAACAGGAAGCTTGGGGGTAATTGATCCAGCCCTCTTCTTGGGTCATTTTGGAATGAGACTCACTAACTGCTAAAGCTATAGAGAATTCCTGAGCAGGGACTTCCCAGAGATTTTCCTTCACTACAGAGGAAAGAACGAGGGGCTCCATACTGAATGGATTAGAATCCCACCTTCTGTTTACCAAACTGCAGGATATGCTTAATATCCTGGCATGAATAGGCCATCACTTGGCGGCGGCAGACAGCACCTGTTTATGGTGTCTAGTCTGTTCAAATGAATTCAATGACGCTCTAATATCAAGTAATATAAAAATACCAAAGGTATGGATGTTCAATATCTCAAAGATCAGCTGAGAAATGAATCAGTATAGGGGGCCAAACTGAAACAATTTCTATTGAGAGAGAATGAAACAGAAGTGAGTTTGTTTTTGCGTTATTAGCAGAAATTGTGATATATTACTACCAAATTATGATTAAGTCATAGCAAAAAAAGTATTTGAGTTGAAAAATATTAATTCTCCTTTATGAAAAAACAAAATATCTTCTAAACATAGATCTACAAACTATAGAAACTTTGAGATTTAAGCAATCTCACAAAAGTTGATTTTAGTGATTGTATATAGTACATGTGTGGTGGCTGATATATAATGTTCACACACACACACACACACACACACACTACAGGGTACAGGACAATAAAATCTTAACAATGATTTTAATTACGAAACTCTTCCAAATTCCAATTTAGGTCTCTGGTCAGGGAACATTAGGACATCCTTTTCCTGTTTCTGCCTTGTCCAAAAGCTGGGACAAACTCTTGGAGGGGGTCCAGGATGTCAGGAAGAAATTATTTTAAGTGTTGTTATGTTTGGGAGGGGCAGCAAGGCAACATGAATTGAGCTCTATATCTACATCCACGTATAGCAAAATAAAGCATGCCCCGAAAAGACTCTGCTTTGTTCATTTCTGGCAGTGGGCAAGGGAAATTGCACAAATGTCCTACACAAAACCTTAGTCACTCCTTCCTTCATTCCCTTAGCACGGTATATGTCCCTCCATTAGCACTTACCTCATTCATTACACTGTAATTATTTGCTCACAGGCCTGTCTCCAGCATTGGCCTGTGACATGGGAAAGAGTTAAGAATACTAGCCCCGGAGCCAGATTGCCTGGATTTGAATCCTAGCTCTGCCATTAACTAATTTCTGTGACTTTAAGCAAGTCCCTTAACTTTTCCAAGCCTCAGTGTCTCCATCTGTAAAAGTTAGTAATTATCTGTTTAATATGATGCCTGTGAATGTTTTAAGACAAATGAGTGAAAACTACATCCCATTTTAAGGCACATCTTGAATAACTGTTAGCTGTTCTTAGTATCACCATCTAGAGATAAACTGCATCCTTTTCATCTTTGCATCCCCAGCCTTCATAGTGTGGCTAACTCCTGAAAGTCTGTAAGTTGAATGAACTAAAGAATGAGAAAATGTGGTGGAGAAAAGGCAATCCCCTCCAACGCCCTTAATTCACTCCTCTCCAAAGCAGCAGAAAAGCCTGGTAAGTTTTGAAAGAATAGGTATGTGTGGCCCAGCCCCACCCGGCTTCCTCTTGAGCATAAGCTGCCTTCATGGGGCCCTTGCCAGACTCTACCCTTCCAGCTTTGCCCTGGTGAGTAATAGGCCTACCCCTTTCTTCCCCATCTTCCCCTGGGGGACCAATTGCCCACAAAAAGCAAACACTCAAGGCTGGGTACAGTGGCTCACATCTGTAATCCCAGCACTTTGGGAGGCTGAGGCAGGCAGATCACTTGAGGCCAGGAATTTGAAACCAGCCTGGCCAACATGGCAAAACCCCACCTCTACTAAAAATACAAAAACTAGCTGGGCACAGTGATAGACGCCTGTAATCCCAGCTACTTGGGAGGCTGAGGCAGGAGAATTGCTTGAACTCAGGAGATACAGGTTGCAGTGAGCCAAGATTGCACCACTGCACTCCAGCCTCGGCAACAGAGCAAGACTCCATCTCAAGAAAAAAAAAAGTAAACACTCTCTACTTTCCTCCAGGAATAGACTCTCCCTGACATGGTTTGGTGCCATCTGAGACTGGGTAGGAAAGACTGATGAATTCTGGGCTCGGCTAGTAGATTTATAGGTCCTTACACTAAGCCATTCCTCCAACCTAACTTGACCAATCACTAACATGGTATTTTGGCTTTCATCTGCCAGTCATTTGGATCATTCCCCAGTATGTTCTGTTTCTTGGGCCCTCTCCAAAACTCTAACAGTGGCTTAATAACAAGAAGTATTTTTTAAGATTTTTAATTTTTCAGAATTTTAATACAGGGCTGCTCCTGGGAGAAACTGAAAGTACCCAGATTTCTGGAGGACTAACAGTCGAAAAAATAGGGTACTGGCATTAGCTGGGTGCAGTGGCTCACGCCTGTAATTCTAGCACTTTGGGAGTCCGAAGCAGGTGGATCAAGGTCAAGAGATCGAGACCATCCTGGCCAACATTGTGAAACCCCATCTCTACTAAAAATACAAAAATTAGCTGGGTGTGGTGGCGTGTGCCTGTAATCCCAGCTACACAGGAGGCTGAGGTAGGAGAATCACTTGAACCCAGGAGGCAGAGGTTGCAGTGAGCCGAGATTGCACCACTGCACTCCAGCCTGGTGACAGAGCGAGACTCCGGCTCAAAAAAAACAAAAACAAAAACAAAAACAAAAACAGGGTGTTGGTTGTTCTCTTTTTGCCTGTCCAGATCTATTTTTAGCTCTTCTCTTCTTTGCTGCCTCTCAGGAGTTGACCACCTTGGACCGCCTCATCTAGGCTTTCTTGCCTTCTGGCTTCCAGCTGGGCTCCACCAATTGCAGGAGATTCAAGGGTGAAAAGAGAGAGAGACCAGAGTATTTGCTCTGTCTACTCTTTCCCTAAGTGGTTGCATTCCTCTACTTATGTCCACAGCTCCTCTTGGATGCCCCTCTCCCAGGGCTACTGTTCTTTCTGGGTCTCTAACACCACTCACTCTCCTTGTCCCTGCAGGCCTAGGAGCAGAAGTAACAGCTTCCCAACATTGCTAGTCCCCTAGGTGCTTTATCTTCTTTGTTAGTCCCCTTAATCTTGCCTGCAGCCCTACAAGGAGTCCCTTTGTTGAAGTCTATTTCTCTTCAATAAAACTTTTGACTGTGCCTTCTCTTTCCCACTTGGACCGTGATTGAAATAACTGATGAAGAATGACAGGAAGACCCTTTTGGGGATGGACACATAGGTCATGCAAAGCCCAATGTCAATTCACATTTGTCTCATCCAGAAAAACTACCCTTATTTTTATTACACCTCATCTAGTAGCCTTCTGATAGTTTGACCTTCCATGTTGTTCTAGCTAAAGACATAGAAGACTTTGGTCAAATCATCCCTATATACAGAGTCTTGTGAGAGTTCAATATCTCTTCTCAAATCAATAGATACTAAATGGAAAGTCAAAAGGAAGTGGTTGTGACAGAATTAACTCCGTTTACTTTTAGTTCTCCAGAAAAAAAAAAAAAAATCAGCTGGGCGCAGTGGCTCATGCCTGTAATCCCAGCACTTTGGGAGGCCAAGGCAGGCAGATGACCTGAGGTCAGGAGTTCGAGACCAGCCTGACCAACATGGAGAAACCCCATCTCTACTAAAAATACAAAATTAGCCGGGCGTGGTGGTGCATGCCTGTAATCCCAGCTGCTCGGGAGGCTGAGGCAGGAGAATCGCTTGGACCTGAGAGGCAGAGGTTGCAGTGAGCCGAGATCGCGCCATTGCACTCCAACCTGGGCAAGAAGAGCAAAACTCCGTCTCAAAAAAAAAAAAAAAAATCACAAATTTGAAGGGGTGGCATTCTAAGATGAAGAGCTCTAAGATCTGGGTTCAAAGATAAAGAATCTGAAGTTTAACAGGCACAAGCTTCTGAGAATACAGCCACTAAGTGAGCTTGGATACAGACTCAATTTTTATAGTCTAACTTTCTGATCTATTTCCATCTGCCCCTTTATATTTTAACATGCATGACTATTGACCTGTGTTTACAAATGAAGGCAATTTCTCACAACCTAAAATTTTAATACAAGAATAAATTCTCACTCAAAGGATAACATCAGTAAAGATTAGTTCATTGAGGCTGGGTATGATGGCTCATGCCTGGAATTCCAGCACTTTGGGAGTCTGAGGCAGGAAGATCACTTGAGGCCAGGAGTTCAAGAACAGCTTGGGCAACATAGCAAGGCCCTGACTCTAAAAAATAATTTTTCTTTAATTAGCCAAGCATGGTGGTGCACACCTGTAGTCCTAGCTACTTGGGAGGTTGAGGTGAGAGGATCACTTGAGCCCAGGTTACAGTAAGCTATGATGGAGCCACTGCACTCAGCCTGGGTGACAGTGCAAGACCCTGTCTCTCTAAGACACAAACAAACAAAAAAGATTACCCCATTGAGAGAATTCTAAAAGGCAGCAGCTAAACAGTAATTACTCTTCTATAGAAAAAGTGGAAAAAAAAAAACTCAACCACCTTGGTCTAGCATTCCAAACCTTTTACAATCCAAAGCCATCATACTTCCTACACTCTCTGACATCAAAAACACACCATGCTTCTTCCTGCCATTTGGCCTTTGCTCACTCTGTGACTCATAACCTAAAACACCTTCCCCGTCCTCTCCATCTATCCCACCTGATTCCTCAGATGCAATCCCCATTCCTCCACGATGCTTTTCCAACCATGGCAACACATGATGTTTTCTGTTCTCTGAGTATCTCTGGCACTTACCGACATCATTTACTGAATTACATGACACTCTATTCTTTGACCATTTCATTGTCTTCCTCCAATTACATTCCTGGGGTAATTCTTGGTGATTTCAGTATCCTTCCAATAACCTGGCCTCTGCTGTCTTTTTATTTACACCTATTTAGTTGTCCTTTACAGCACTTTAGCACCTAATCCCTTCTTGTCATTACCATTATTACCATTAACTGAACCCCCTTCATAATCTTAATTTCAAGTATTTCATCCTCTAATCACAATCTGCAATATTTCAGATGACTCTGACTATAACCCAATGCCCTCCAGTTGACAAAGCCTACCATCTTATCATCACCTCTCAAGACCTTCATGTTCTTGTTTTTCTCCTTAACCAGCTTAAAGTCCAATATTCATCATGATACTCATTAACCTATTAGGTACACCTTTAATTCCCTGTACCTTCTCTACCTCCTTCATGCTCTGCCTATTCTGTACCTGTATTTGAACATGGCTGGGAACAAGCATAGAATCACTCTGACTGTTCTTAATTTAAATTGTGACTTTTCTTGTTGACTCTTTCTTAAAGCATTCAATTTGGGTTTTGTAGAAACAATAATCCTCTTTTCTTTTGCATTAATATGCTTACCTCTTATTTCATTAAATAATAACTTAGTAACAAATGCAACTGGTATAAATAAATTTGGGAATAAACCAAGTTTACTCTAAGTAAGCATAAAACTGAAGAGAACAGAAGCGTAGGGTATAACAGTGAGTAGCCTACTAACATAGAGTGTGCAGAGTGCCATGGACCTCAGCGGGATGCATTAAAGAGGATGTGGAGAACCTCTTAATCTGGCAAGTCAATTAAGTGAGAGTCAGTTATGAAAATGTCTACTGTACATGTATCCCTGAAACTATAGATTCTGTAAATTAAAATCTGCAGGCTGGGCGTGGTGGCTAATGGCCTGTAATCCCAGCACTTTGGGAGGCTGAGGTTGGCAGATCACGAGGTCAGGAGGTTGAGACCAGTCTGGCCAACATGGTGAAACCCCGTCTCTACCAAAAAAAAAAAAAAAAAATTAGCCGGGCGTAGTGGTGTGCGCCTGTAATCCCAGCTACTCGGGAGGCTGAGGCAGGAGAATTGCTTAAACCTGGGAGGCAGAGGTTGCAGTGAGCCAAGATTGTGCCACTGCACTCCAGCCTGGGCAACAGAGCAAGACTCTGTCTCAGGGAAAAAAAAAAAAAATCTGCAAATAAGCAAAAAATGATTTACCTCTTACCACTTCATTTCCAATACAAATAGTCGATCTGGGGCTATATTTGTTGGGTTTATAGTAAGGCTATTGAGAAGCCTATCCATTTGCCTCAAGCTTCTCCACCATTTGGTAGTCATGGTACCATTTTGGCTTCATTCAATAATGGTCATTTCCTAGTTGGTGTTGCAGTATAAATATCAAGCTCTTTAAGATAAAGTAGCTTCACCCAGAAGTAAATTACCTCCTCTACAAAGCATGAAGATACAATTAAAGCCAGTGTCTCTCAATCATTTGTTTTCATTATTGTTGTCCCTCTAAAAAACATTTTCAGACATTTTTTAATTGCCCCCCACAAAATTTTAATATCATATAAACTATGTATCTGTTTTATATATATAATATATATATATATGTATCTTTATACATGAGAAAGTAAGATTACATATACTCACAACCAATTTTCACTTCCTTGGGGGTGACATAGCCCCTGTTGAGGATGCATGACTCATGGCATATGAAGTGCAACCTGTTATAAGGTTCTTATTTGGCTGTCCTCCATGGTTGACAAGGTAAACACAAACGGGAGGCTCATTTGGGGAGATGGAGGTAGTCTACTTTAATGGTGAAGCTGTGAGTAGTGACCCATACTTCTATTTTTTTTTCATTTCTTTTTTTTTTTTTTTTTTGAGATGGAGTCTCACTCTGTCACCCAGGCTGGAGTGCAGTGGTGCGATCTTGGCTCACTGCAACCTCTGCCTCCTGGGTTCAAGCAATTCTCCTGCCTCAGCCTCCCAGGTAGCTGGGATTAGAGGCATGTGCCACCATGCCCAGCTAATTTTTATATTTTTAGTAAAGACAGGGTTTCTTCATGTTGGCCAGGCTGGTCTCGAACTCCTGACCTCAGGTGATCCACCCACCTCAGCCTCCCAGAGTGCTGGGATTACAAGAGTGAGCCACCGCGCCCAGCTCACTTCTTTTATTCTTTCTTTCTATCTCTCTTGCTGTCTTTATTCTTACCAACTCAGCTCTCATATTTTTATTAAAATGGTAAACAATTCAACACCAGACTAGGAATAAAGGAGACAGTATTTTCAAACATTTTACAATATTAAACAACAGTAGCAAATATGCCTTTCCTTTTCAAATTATTAGCAGTTTCTTTTATCTGAGAAGTAAAATATCTGTGAATACTATTATCCAGTGTCATCACACCATTTCATGTGCCCTCTCACCTTCATACTTGTTTATTGTCAGTAGCATATATATCATGTGTATTAGCAGCACAGTTCAGAGATCCACGATAGCATTCAGAAAAAAGAAAAAAAATCAAAAATGAGAAAAATATGGAAAGAAAGGGAAAGAACATTGGGTGGGGAAGAGGAATCCTGATTTATATCCAAAAATTTCAAAGGGAACTATGAAATATCAACTTAATAGTAGTTTATTGTCCTACTATATTAAGGAGGTCAGTTTGTTCCTTCAATGTTCATCTTCTAATACCAAAGAGTTATTTTCTTAGATCTGGAGCCAAAAAAAAAATGTGTATCCTGTTCTGTGTATAATTATTTCATAAGCTTCTAAGAGTAGTCTTTCTGACATTTGGAGAGCAGTGCAAATTTTTGTTACTCTTATTTTCTATCTCTATATCCATCTGTCATCTCATTTGCTTCTCTGGTTTGTTTGTTTGTTTTCATTCTTCCATTTCCCTTTCCTGGTATATCCTCTCATACTCTTAATGTGCAGGAATAACACCCCTGATTATAGACGATGGTAATTAGAGCTCTAAAACTTCCGTGCAAAATTGGATTCTGACTTGCGTGATAGTTATCAGGATGACGAGAAAACAACTTTGGGGAAAATCAAAGTACCACTAATGATTAGCTGGTGTTTGCCCAAAAAATGGGTTTTGCTATTAACAGTTGGGCCAACCTAGGCAGCTAAAATACCTAGAATGAATGCAATTTATTTGCTTTTCCCTGTAGAAATTATGCATCTTGATTTTACAAACTCAATTACTGCAAGAAGCTAGAAGGGAAAAGAGGAAGCAAGCATAAGACACATTTCTTATAGGCATCCAAAAACTTGGCAAAACTTTAAATTTTCCTGCCATTTTCAACTCAAATCTTTTATTTCAGTATTTTTACCTACATTGTTTCTTTTGATAGAATTAGGAATCAAGTATTTGAGTGATTATTTATATAAAGTTTGTCTTCCTCCATCAGACTGTACACTCCACAAGAGCCAATGCCTTGTCTATTGTGCTCACCATTACATCCCCATGACAAACATGTGGCCTGTACATGGTAGACGCTCAATGCATTAGTGTTATTGAATAGACTGGATGGGAGATTCGGTTAGTTGTGCAATTAAAGAGATTGGATGGGAAGAATAGTTTGATATGACACTTTTCTCGATGCAAAATGATGCTGTGAAAACAACTGTTATTTTTATTCATTCATCTTGATTCCTTTATTTATTCATCCTAGAGCTATGTGGTGCCTGAACAAAGACTATTAAGACAGTCCCTGGCTTTTAGTGACTCATAGTCTACAGAGAGAGACAGACATAAACCAATAAGTCATAACACAGTGAGAGATGAGAAATAATAAATATCAAGTCAAAGGAGAGAGAAAAATAGCAATCCAATTGTCTCTTGTTGAAATCAGAGTTGTATCTCAGGCAGGCAACCGTCTAAAGTAGAAAAAAATAAAGGACTTAGAACTGAATTTTTGTTTGGTTTTGCTTTGTAATGGGATCATTGAAAATGAAGCCAAACTAAACTGGGGGCTTTGTCCATCTAACTCTATTCAGGTCTTTGTTTAAATATAACTCCTTCAGAGAAATCTCCTCTGATCCCTTGCTGCACACACCCGCTGGGTTAGGTCCCCTCCATGCCCTTTCACTTGACTGAGAAGTCCATAAGGCCAAAGAACATGTTTGTCTAGTCCGCTAACTATTGTATCTCCAGAGACTAGAACTGTCTCTGGCACTTAGTAGGTGCTCAATAAATGTTTAATGAATAAAGTTTCCCTTGCAATGTATTTACTTTTCTTTTTTCAAACCAATTTATCTCACTTTTCCACTCTACAAACAGAAAAAAAACTTCTCCTCTCCAAATAATCTTCTTTGCCTTTTCCTTCAAGATGACTATTTTTCTAATGTTTCAAGACATTATCATTCAATAACTGGAAGTAAATTACATTTTGTATATCTACATCCAGTAGGGAATTGGACCTGAAGAGATACCTGAGGCGTCTTCCTCCACCCCTGCCGAGCATCCTCAAAGACTAGGCCTGTTTGTAGACTCCCAGTTTTCCCATGGGGTTTCTCCACACCTCATATGCACAGTTTCCACAAGATTTGGGCTGAAGAAGGGAGACTTTCTCTTGGAGAGTGAAGTGTTCTCAAGGGAACAATGAAAAGTCAGCATTTACTATCTGTGCCCGAAATTAATTCTTACCCTTTGCTTTCAGGAAAGCGAGGAGGAGCAGCACAAAACCCCAGTTTAAGGCTTGATGTGCTTCAGATATTTAGAAACAGAAATTTAAGAAAGACCCTGAAAGAGCTTCCAGTCCTAAAGCAACAAGTTCTGAGGTCAATGGAGCCTGTGTCTGGTGCTTCCCCAGGCCATCTGGCAGCCAGAGAGAGATATTTTAAGTCATGGCAAGGCATGTGGCAACCTCAAAAACCACACCCTTTGAATGTCAGCCTCCTCCACCAACATGGGTTAAGTCTGACATGAGGCAAGAAATAAAGGCCAGGCCATGAGGACATCAGCCCCACTGAAATGCTGTTGACTTTCAAAAAAATATATGATTAGTACAAGTTTCTTATTCTTTTATTTACTAAATGTTCTGCTGAAAACTGGAAAAGTCAGTCAAATTTGGATGTTTCCAGATGTCCAGATGTGTCCTAGATACAGCCTAGATGTCAAGAAGAAACTTGAATTGATTTAAATATGGGGTATTTTTTTTCACTGTAGAAATATCTCTTCTGAATTATACACAGTCTTTCACATGACCTGGGAGGAAAAAATAAAATATAATTACTGAGGAGGGATATGGTTGATGCTCACAAATATTGGCTAAAAGTAGACATAGGACTAGAAAAGAAAAGTTTAAAAGTTTCTTTTAATAGTGTCCTTTTCTCACACACACACATTAAAATGATTACTAAAAGAAAATATGGGGACTTTTCAGCTGGGATGTCTTGTTTAGAGCGGGGATTGAGAGGTGAAGCCAGCAGGACTTCCTTGGTCGAGTGGGGACTTGGAGAACTTTCCTGTCTTACAAGAGGATTGTAAAACGCACCAATCAGCACTCTGTAGCTAGCAAGAGGATTGTAAAATGCACCAATCAGCACTCTGTACAACGCACCAGTCAGCGGTCTGTAAAATGCACCAATCAGCAGGATCCTAAAAGTAGCCAATCGCAGGGAGGATTGAAAAAAGGGCATTCTGATAGGATGAAAACAGAACATGGGAGGGGCCAATAAGGGAATGAAAGCTGGCAACCCCAGCCAGCAGCTGTAACCCACTCGGGTCCCATTCCACGCTGTGGAAGCTTTGTTCTTTCACTCTTCACAATAAACCTTGCAACCCTCAAAAAAAAAAAAAAAAAAAAAAAGGAAAGAAAAGAAAAAAGAAAAGAAAAGAAAACATGGGGACTTCGTAAAAGTGTATTAAATACATACTTGCTGTTTTCTTTGGAACAGATGTTACATCATTATGTACCAACTGTAACAACTGATGTAACTGAAATCTCCTGGAATTTCCTGTTGATTCTTATTTCATCTAGAAATAAGGATTTCTCTTTGTTTTTTTTTAGCTAAAATAATTCACCTTTAGGGGAGGAGTACCACCTTCTGAGGTCCCGAGTTGATGGCAGCAGACAGAACATCTCTGGATGACCTGGTTCTGGTACCAGTCCTGCTACATATTATTCACCAGAAAAATAGACCAAAGTTCTCACCATAAAAAAAAGAAAAAAGAAAAAAAGATAAGTATGTGAGGGAATTTATATGTCAATTATCCTGCTTTTGCCATTCCACAATGTATACATATATCAAAACATCATGTTGTACACCATCAATGTATACAATTTTTGTCAATTAATTAATTAATTGAACTAGATCAAAGAATTGCTCTAAGATTCTTCTTCTTGCCAGTGTCCCACAATTCTTCAGTGCCCCCACAATTATTTTGAAGACAAATCAGGGAAGGACTGGGTCAAGGGTCTGCCTAAATACACCGTGCAGCTAACTGTTCACTGGAGTTTTAGAGCTTGCTCTCAAAACTTATGAGCCAGATACTACTTAGCCCAGGGCCTGGTGGCTAGGCTGGTTCTCTCATTTCTAATCGAGGGCCTCTGTTGCAAACATGCTCTGCTAGATCCTCAGTTATACCAAGAAGCAGCCAAGCTTGATGCCCCTCTTTGTATTTATTGGAGCTGGAGGTCCTGGAGCAGCAGTGTATCTCTTGTGTCTGGCATTGTTCAATCCAGATGTTAGTTGGGACAGAAAGAATAACCCAGGGCCCTGGAACAAACTGAGTCCCAAGGATCAATACAAGTTCTACTCAGTGCATATGGATTACAGCAAACTGAAGAAAGAAGGTCCAGATTTCTAAGTGAAATGTGTCACTGTAAAGCTGCTTTAGAATGAAGGTTTTCCAGAAGCCGTCCACACAGTTTTCCACTTAACCAGGAAGTATTTCTCCTCTAAATGCATGAAATCATGTTGATATAATGTGTTGAAGATTATACTGATTAATAAATAACTGAAACTTGAAAAAAAAAACTTATAAGCCTAGAAAAACCTGCTGCTTTGTATTTTTTGTTTCTACTTTTGTTTTGCAGGGATGACAACAGTTAATGCTTCAAAAATGACAACAAACTTGGGAGTCATCAGCTCATAAAATATACCTGAAGCCATCAATTGGAATGAAATCACCCTGGGAAGATATATACAGTGAGAAAAGAAATAAAACTGAGATCTGGGCCAGGCGCGGTGGCTCACGCCTGTAATCCCAGCACTTTGGGGGGCCGAAGCAGGCGGATCACGAGGTCAGGTTTTCGAGATCAGCCTGACCAACATGGTGAAACCACATCTCTATTAAAAATGCAAAAATTAGCTGGGTGTGGTGGCGCACACCTGTAATCCCAGCTACTCCAGAGGCTCAGGCAGGAGAATCACTTGAACCCAGAAGGCAGAGGCTGTAGTGAGCCGAGATCGCACCATTGCACTCCAGCCTGGGGCAACAGAGCAAGACTCTGTCTCAAAAAAAAAAAAAAAAAAGAAAAAAAGACTGAGATCTGATTCCCCATTGATAATGAGGGTAGTGGGGGTGTGAGCATAATAAGAGAAGTCCTAGAAGAAGCCTGGAAAGGAGGATCAATATAAGTAGAAAGAAAATTGGTACTATGAAAGAAGCCAAGGGAAAGACTGCTTTAAGGAAGCAATGGTCAACAAAGCCAAAGCTTTCTACAAGTCATGTAGGATAGGATTAAGAAGGAGCCATTAAATACAGTGCTGTGGAGCTGCTATTAGCAATGGAAGTCTCCATGGGCAGTGGTAGCAGAAGAACAATGGCAAGTGGCTTGAGAAGTACACAAGAGCTGGAGCTGTGGACTGAGCTGATATTTATCCTTCCTCTCCAGTATGAATACTCAAGCACAATGTTGCAAAATATGCACTACATAGCTGAGCTTAGTCACAGAAGGAAAGTAAAGCCAACTCCAATTGACTATATGGTGGCTTGAGGTTATAGAGCCTAGACAGATGCTGGTGCTGGGGTCAAGAGTATTAGGACAAGAGACAAGGCATAGACCCTGCAAAAAGAGAGGAAGTAGAACTAAGTCTACTACGTATATCCAAGATCCTCAATGGGCTGCCCAGTCTATTAAAATTGATCTAGAACTGTGCTATCCAGCATGGTAGCTACTACCCATACATGACTATTGAAATTTAAATTAATTAACATTCAGGTTGGGTGCAGTGGCTCACGCCTGTAATCCCAGCACTTTGGAAGGCTGGTGAATCACTTGAGGTCAAGAGTTCAAGACCAGCCTGATCAATATGGTGAAACCCCGTCTCTACTAAAAATACAAAATATTAGCCAGGCGCAGTGGTGAGCACCTGTAGTCCCAGCTACTCAGGAGACTGAGGCAGGAGAATTGCTTGAACCCGGAAGGTGGAGGTTGCAGTGAGCCAAGATCGCACCACTGCACTCCTGCCTGGGCAACAGAGCAAGACTCTGTCCCAAAAAATAAAATAAAATAAAATAAAATCCAACAAAATGTAAAATTCAATTCTTCAATCACACATTTCAAGTATTCAATAACCACATGTGGGTTACTGAGTACCAGTGGCTACCATGTTGGACAGCATACATACAGAACACTTCCATCAGCACAGAAAGTTCTACTGGGCAGTACTAATCTAGAAAATCTCTGGCCACCATCACAAAGAAGCAGCAAGAAGATGTGTTATCTGCCTCAATCTTTGGATGAAGGTGGAAAACTCTCCCAGTGAGAAATTGATACATTAAGCATGTGTCCCTTCCAGGTGTGAGTTACAAATTTGTACCACCCTTATGTGCTAGAATCCCAAGCCAAAAATTTTACACGTAGAGTCCCAGGAGAAGTAAGTGCAGAACACAATACACACCCACAAAACACTCCAGAGTATACATTCACAACCCCAGACACATAGGATTCCACAGTAAAAAGTAATCTTATCTAAAAATGAGCTAATGATAAACAAGTACAACCCACAGAAAGAATTTGAACAGGCACTTCACAAAACTCTCGTACACTATTGGTGAGAATGTAAATTATGTGTCTAATGACTCAGCAATTCCATTCCTAGATATACACAACAGAAATGGGTACATAGAAAATGTACCTAAGAGCAAGTGCCCAGAAACAGTACAAAAGACAAGAAAGTCATAGTAGACTACTCATAACAAACTAAAACCAACTTAACTGTCCATCAATAGAAGAATGAATAAATAAATTATATATTCATACAATGGAATATTTTATAGCAATAGGAATAGACAAATGACTGCTACATCTAAGGGCATAGATGTCTCTCTCAAAAACAATGTTAAGGGAAAGAAGCCAGACAAAAGAGTCCATATAAAGTTCAAAACAGGCAAAACTAATCAATGATCACAGATATTAGGATCAAGATTACCTTTGAGAGGGGTGGTGACTGAGAACCTCTTTGTGGGGCTTCTGGGGTGCTAGTAATACTCTCTTTCTTGATCTGGGTGGTTGTTACCTGGGTTATATTTCCTTTTTGAAAATATTTCAAATGAGTAGTTATGATTTATGTACTTTTCTATATGTATATATAAAATTAAATTTTTGTTCAAATAGTAAAGGGATTAAAAACAAGATGGAACTAAAATTCTAGAGAGCAACAACATGGAATACCAGATATGGATGTCAGAGCTCAACTATTCCATAGTGCTTATATTGTTCTGAGGGAGAATAGAAATATTTATTAATGTTAGTTAAATAGGCATGTTAAATAGGTATGTTAAAAAAATTTTTTTTTTGAGACAGAGTTTCGCTCTTGTTGCCCAGGCTGGAGTGCAATGGCGCTATCTCAGCTGACTGCAACCTCCACTTCCCCGGTTCAAGCGATTCTGCTGTCTCAGCCTCCTGAGTAGCTGGGATTACAGGAGCATGCCACCACGCCCAGCTGATTTTTGTATTTTTAATAGAGACAGGGTTTCATCATATTGATTAGGCTTGTCTCGATCTCCTGACCTCAGATGATCTGCCCACCTCGGCCTCCCAAAGTGCTGGGATTCTAGGTGTCAGCCACCCCACCCGGCCAGCATGTTAAAATTTTTAAGGTAACAAATAAAGAATAAGAAAAAAATGTAAATTTTTAAAACAAAGAAAAATTTCTTTTTTTAAAGTGATGCTAAAAAAGTAAAGGCAAAGCATAAAGAAAAAACATAAAATTTCTTTCAAATGGTGATATAAATATACCCAAATAAATCAGTAATCACAATATAAACAAGTTAAACTCACCAATTTAAGAAACCGTTATTCTCAGATTTGAATAAAAACCAAAACAAAATGCAGCTATAAATGTCTTACAAGAAACACACCTAAACATGGAAACACATATATTAAGTAAAGGGATAAAGCTGTTGTATTAGTCAGAGTTCTCTAGAGGGACAGAACTAATGGAATAGATACATATCTAAGAAGGAGTTTATTAAGTATTAACTCACAAAATCACAAGGTTCCACAATAGGCCATCTGCAGGCTGAGGAGCCAGGAGAGCCAATCTGAGTTCCAAAACTGAAGAACTTGGCGTCTGATGTTGGTGGGCAGGAAGCATCCAGCACGGGAGAAAGGTGTAGGCTGAGAAGCTAGGCCAGTCTCTCTTTTCACATTTTTCTGCCTGTTTATATTCTAGCCGACCTGGCAGCTGATTAGATTGTGCCCACCCAGATTAGGGGTGGGTCTGCCTTTCCCAGCCCACTGACTCACATGTTAACCTCTTTTGGCAACACCCTCACAGACACACTCAGGATCAATACCTTGTATCCTTCAATCCAATCAAGTTGACACTCGGTATTAGCCATCACAGCTGTCTAGTCAGAAATTGGATTGATCTAGGGTTAAGGACTTGGTGGGTGAGTGCAATGGATGGAAAATAAAATAAAATGGTGAGAGAGTGGTCAAAGGGATAGGTTACAAGTCTAGGTTGGCTTGTAAGGAAATGATACCAGAAAACTGCTGATAGTGGGGAAACAGAACAGTTGAGGAAATGGGACAGTTAAGTAAATGACAGTCTAGTGGGTCCCAAAGCAGATGTGATAACACAGAGCAAAGGAGCAAGTTTGGGTTCCGTCAAATTTAAATTTAGATCTAAAAAGGCAATTCAGTCTTTTCTGTATCTTATCCAACTTTCTTATTGTAAATAATCTATAGGGCTCTACAAGATGTAAAGAAGATAATTCACAGCAATGGCCTCTAAAGTTGAAGTAATCAGTCTTTAAACTATAGACAGCCTTGAATTCCACTTTAGAATTGTGCAGACAGGGCCAACAGAAAAACCAGGCATCTGGTCAAACAACCAAAATCTCACTGGGTCTTGAGGCAATCAGGGCACAGAAATTTTAAAAAATATCTAAGCAAACATTGACCTTTCGTGTAACAAAATCTAACACACATTTCCTTTGGTAAAGTTCATTTCTATTTTTCTGCATTACACACCACTTACTTGAGGGGAAATAACCCTTACAATGTATGTGAGGTCCACCAAGTGGAAACTTTAGTTCTAGGTTCAATATAGTAAGTACATTACATCGCTATAAACTCCTTAACAGGGCTCCATCTACTGAAATCCCTTTTTTTTTTTTTTTTTTTTTTTTTTTTTTGAGACAGAGTCTCGCTCTGTCCCCCAGGCTGGAGTGCAGTGGCGCAACCTCGGCTCACTGCAAGCTCCGCCTCCTGGGTTCACGCCATTCTCCCGCCTCAGCCCCCGAGTAGCTGGGACTACAGGTGCCTGCCACCATGCCCAGCTAATTTTTTTGTACTTTTTTAGTAGAGACGGGGTTTCACCGTGTTAGCCAGGATGGTCTCTATCTCCTGACCTCGTGATCTGCCCACCTCGGCCTCCCAAAGTGCTGGGATTACAGGCGTGAGCCACTGCACCCGGCCTTTTTTTTTTTTTTTTTTTAAGAGATGAGGTCTCACTCTATTGCCCAAGCTGCAGTACAGTGGTGTGATCATAACTCACTGCAGCCTCGAATTCTAGGGCTCAAGCAATCCTTCCGCCTCAGCCTCCCAGGTAGCTAGGACTGCAGGTGCACACCACCGTGCCTGGCTAATTTTTTTTTAATTTTTTTAGAGTTGTGAGGGTAGGGGAGGGAGTCTTGTGACGCTGCCTAGGCTCGTCTTGAATTCCTGGTGTCAGGCAATGCTCTCACTTCAGCCTCCTGAGTAACTGAGATTACAGGAGTGGGCCACCATGCCCAGCTCTGAAATCTTCTTAATTTTAAAGTCTCAGCCCACATGCCACAGCCTCCTTAAGCCATCTCCAACTTCCTCAAGCAGAATGTATTATATTGTTTCCTCTGCATGTCTTCTTCACATTGGTAGTGTGGTTGATATAACAATTCTTCTATTCTGCCTTTCGTATAATTATTTACATAAATCCTCATCTCTCTTAAAATGATAAATATCCTGAGGACAAGAACCACTCTTGAACTTACTCCAGAATATAGCACACCATCCCATAGTGAAGAAGGGGCCATAAACTGGACATAGACAGTTGATCCACTTCCCAGATAGGGAAGTATGATTTTGTTTCATGGTATTTTCCTTTTCTCCTTTAAACTGAAGAGGCTGCTTGGACTAAGAGTACCAGGCTGACATAGAAGAACAACTGATCTTCCAGAAAGTGCTGCCAACATCTCTCCACTCCAAAGAGCTAGAATACCAATAAACCTAGGAAGATCCAGTTCTAAATATATATATATATATATATATATATTTTTTTTTTTTAGATGGAGTCTCGCTCTGTTGTCCAGGCTGGAGTGCAGTGCCATGATCTCACCTCACTGCAACCTCTGCCTCCTGGGTTCAAGCAATTCTCCTGCCTCAGCCTCCTGAGTAGCTGGGATTATAGGCGCCCAACACCATGCCCGGCTGATTTTTTTGTATTGTTATTAGAGACAGGGTTTCACTATGTTGGCCAGGCTGGTCTTGAACTCCTGACCTCATGATCTGCCTGCCTCAGTCCCCCACAGTGCTGGGATTACAGGCGTAAGCCACCGTTCCTGGCCCAGTTCAGTATATTTTGATATTGCATCTTCCTAATGTTTGTTTCAATTAGGGACAACTTTGAACCACACACACACTTTTTTTTAATGATTTTCTGTGAGTAAACCCTTGAGGAGTCATATAACCCATGCCTTTCAAGTGTGTCTGTACCAACCTTCCCGTTAAGTCTGTGAAGAGAATCCACTATGTTAGTATATCATTTCTTATGGCAAAGGCTATCAATACATGAGCCGCTGTTCACTATGCCTGATGAGAACCTTACTAAAATATTTTCCTCTCTTTTCTACCTTCATCTTAAGGGAGAAGGGAGATGTCTAGTCAAGAAATAAAATCTCATTGGCTCAGCCTGGTGCGGTGGCTCACGTCTGTAATCCCAGCACTTTGGGAGGCCGAGGCGGGTGGATTACCTGAGGTCAGGAGTTCAAGACCAGCCTGGCCAATATGGTGAAACCTCATCTCTACTAAAAATACAAAAATTAGCCAGGCATGGTGGCACATGCCTGTAATCCCAGCTACTAGGGAGGATGAGGCAGGAGAACTGCTTAAACGCGGGAAATGGAGGTTGCAGTGAGCCAAGATTGTGCCACTGCACTCCAGCCTGGCCGACGGAGCAAGACTCTGTCTCAAAAATAAATAAATAATAAATAAATAAAATCTCATTAGTTCTCAGGGTAATCTTTATAGGGGTCTGAGGATAGGGTTAAATTGTTACTACAGTTGTGGCAGACCTCGACAATGCAAAGCCCATAGAAACACATCAGTGCCCATCATTGTTAAAAAATAGTATTAAATGTGCTTAGGCACCAGAACTATAATCTAAGAGGCAGAATCCAAGTCTTAAGTCCCAATTCCTGTTTTCTGAAGCATAGCAAAGTAATTTACTCTCCGAGTAAAACAATCTTTCTAGATCAGTGGTTCTCAAAGGATGAGGTTTCTAGATCAGCAGCATTAGCATCACATAAGAGCTTGTTAGAAATGCAAATTCTCAGCTGTGCGGCCATAAAAAGGAAGGAGATCATGTCCTTTGCAGGGACATGGATGAAGCTGGAAGCCATCATCCTTGGCAAACTAACACAGGAACAGAAAACCATGAGGCTGGGTTGGTGGCTCATGCCTGTAATCCCAGCACTTTGGGAGGCAGAGGCAGGCAGATCACTTGAGGTCAGGAGTCCGAGACCAGCCTGGCCAACATGGCGAAACCCCATCTCTACTAAAAATGCAAAAATTAGCTGGGTGTAGTGGCAGGCGTCTGTAGTCCCAGCTACTTGGGAGGCTGAGACAGAAGCATCACTTGAACCTGGGAGGCAGAGATTGCAGTGAGCTGAGATCATACCACTGCACTCCAGCCTGGGTGACAGACCGAGACTCTGTCTAAAAAAAACAAAACAAAACCAACACTGCATGTTCTCACTCATAAGTGGGAGCTGAACATTGAGAACACATGGACACAGAGAGGGAAACAACACACACCAGGGCCTGCTGGGGGATGGGGGATGAGGGGAGGGAACTTCGAGGACAGGTCAACAGGTGCAGCAAACCACCATGGCACAGTATACCTTTGTAACAAACCTGCACGTTCTGCACATGTATTACGGTTTTTTTTTTTGGAAGAATTAAAGAAGAAAAGGAAAAAGAAAAAAATGCAAATTCTCAGCCTCATCCTCCACCTGCTGAAGCAGAAACTTCAGGTGAGAGGCCCAGCAATCATGTTTAAACAAGCCCTCCAGGAAAAGCTGATGCACAGTACGATTTGAAAACTATGACTCTAGGCCAGACCAAATAGTGGCCTGTGGAGCACAGCATTAGCATTTCCTGGGAGCTCATTAGAAATGCAGAATCTCAGGCCCCACCTCAGACCTACTAAATCAAAAACTGCAGCCGAACCAGATCCTCAGGTGATTTGTATATACATTAAAGTTTGAGGAGCAGGATCAAGGATCAAACTGAGAAACTTAAAAACCTAAACAAATAGGCAGAGCACAGTGGCTCACGCTGTAATCCCAGCACTTGGGGAGGCTGAAGGGGGCAGGTGACCTGAGGTCAGGAGCTCAAGACCAGCCTGGTCAACATGGTGAAACCCCGTCTCTACTAAAAATATGAAAATTAGCTGAGTGTGGTGGCACACGCCTGTAGTCCCAGCTACTCGGGAGGCTGAGGCAGGAGAATCGCTTGAACCCAGGAGGTAGAGGTTGCAATGAGCAGAGATCACGCCACTGCATTCCAGCCTGGGCAATAGAGCGAGACTCCGTCTCAAAGAAAAAAAAAACCTGATTTTATAAATATGTCACTGCAAAATTTACAACACACTCTCTTCCTCATATAACTCTCTCAATAACCTTGTAGATTAGGTATTGTCATGACCTCCATCTTACGTATGAGACACAAGGAGAGTGGATAATTTGCTGGATGCCACAAAGCCAGCAAACAAAAGAGCCAGGATTTCAATCTAGGTATTTTGACTGTGAAAGGTAGGCTCTTAGCCAGCACCTATAACAAGTTATTCTGATTGTAACTCCAGTAAGGTCTTTTTTTCTCTCTCTTTCACATCACACTGCTTCTCTAACAGCAATTACATTCATCGCAACCAATTAAGCCTTTCCCCTAAAACTAAAAATAATATATATCTATTTTAGTTGAACAAATATTTATGGAGGTCTATTTTTTAGCAGAGAAGCCTGACCTGTTGGAGCTTATAGTGCTAGGTTAATAAGTGTAGGTGCTCAATAAATATTTGCTGAACCAATGAATCAGTGAATAATTTTATTATAATATGCTAAGTGATTCAGGAGGAGAGATGAGAGCCCTGTATACATTCTGGGGCCTCAGACATTTGCTGTAAATGATTAATGCTGAGCTGAACCCATAAAGAGAGGAAGTGTCAACCAGACAAAGAATAAGGGAAAGAGGATTCCAGGCATGTTAAAGTGCTGGGGCTTTATCTGAAGATGACAATCACTAAGTACTTAAGGAACCATATGGTCACTCAAATAGATATGTGTGAACACATATACATAAACAGTTATACCAAAAAAAAATCAAAATACCAAGAATCCACTCCCCAAAGCCATTAGAACTTCCAGGGTGAAATAAACCACTAGGATTTAGATTATTAGCAACCATACTCTATGAGAATATATGAATGTGTGGTTTGTAATTAAGGTCTTGCCCCCCTGTACACAGGAATGGAGAGAAAGGGCTTAGTGGTCTGAGTTGCCTGCAGGATTCAGAGGGCCAAAAAGAGATAGAGGAAACAGAGCCCAGGCCTTGGAACCTTCAGAAAATAATGGGAAGCCCCCTGCTCCTGACTTAGTTTCAGTATCAACTCTTATAGAAAATAGGAATAAGAGGGACAAATTTGAGTGACACCATTTTTCTTTTTGACACATAAATGACACACCATTAAGATGCCTGCTCTTGAGAATTCCTCAGAAAGTGAAATTATCCTCCTCCTTAGCTTCATGGTTTGGTTCGTTTTGTTGGTTTTTTGTTTGTTTGTTTGTTTGTTTTGAGACGAGTCTCACTCCATCACCCAGGCTGGAGTGTAGTGCCGCAATCTCAGTTCACTGCAACCTCTGCCTCCTGGATTCAAGCGATTTTCCTGCCTCAGCCTCCCCAGTAGCTGGTATTACAGGCATGCACCACCACGCCGGGGTAATTTTTTTGTATTTTTAATACAGACGAAGTTTCACAATGTTGGCCAGGCTGGTCTCGAACTCCTGACCTCAGGCGATCCACCCACCTTGGCCTCCCAAAGTGCTGGGATTACAGGCATGAGCCACCACACGCAGTCATGTATGCTATTTTTTTTACATAGATTTCCTGGAATTTTTATTAATAATTATAGATACCCAAGCAATAATTTCCATATCTTACTGTCTGTAAACCATAAAGCAAATATATGTATTTTTTTCTTTCTCTCCTACTTTTGCTTACATTTTGCTTATCTCCAGATAATTCAAAATTATTAAATAGATTAAATAACAATATTTAGGGAGGGAGGGTTACTTGTATCCTCTGTTTTAGGTATCAAGGTATTTCCTCATCAAAAAAATCAAATTTTCTTAAGTTTATAGGGCTCCAGTATTAAAAGTATTTTTCTTGAGGCGTTTTGTAAAAAGGGCAAGTGTTTCACAAAAAAAAAAAAAAAAAAAAAAAAAAATCTTTGATTCCTAGTTGCCTAAACCAAAGTTCAGATTTGTAAGGCTTCCTCTTCAGTAGGGTGTGTTGGAATCTTGATGGATTGGGCCATGCAGCCAAGGCCCCCACAGTTGGGAGTGCAGGGACAGTGTTTTTTCCTTGTCCAAACACCAATATGAACTGGGGATCCTCAAAGAGAGACATGACCCAAGAGATCAGGGTCACTTGTCCGTCCAGCAGAGATCAAAGCAGGCTTCCTTCTGAGAAGCACCCTCAACATCCCAGCCTCTCCTTAGAGAACATCATCAACAGTCTGCACAGGGGCAGAAGGAAAACAGGCAAAGAATGTGTGCGGAATGGTGGTTCACTTCCTGCCAAGACATGAAAGCAACTCAAGAATATGCAACCACCTGCCACAGCCTTGTTTGTCCTTAGACTTTTTTCATCCACATCTTGGCATCCTCAGTCAAAAATATAATAGGCCACCCAAATATTTTAATAAAACATTTTCTAGGGCAGACTCAAGAGTATTAAAATTACCTTAAACCAAGCAAGCATAGCAATGAGAAACCTCATTTCAACTGCTCCTTATATAAAGACTTGGTTCAAAGATCAATTCTTGAGATTCTTTTTTTGTCATAAAAGCATGAACTGCATTTAGCAGAATTTTATGAACAATTTTTTTAATTATTTATAAATTTCTACCAATTTAATACAAATATTTTCATGGGCATGTATTTGCTGCAGCCTTAATTATATGAGCAAGTAGATATTTATATACACAGTTATGGGTCTATTTTTGAAACTGCTTGTGAAACGTTCTTCTATTTTACAAAGTCCTTATTCCAAATAAAAAGGATATAGAGAAGCCAAGCATGGTGGCTCACACCTGTGATCCCAGCACTTTGGGAAGCCAAGGTGGGAGAATCACAGGAAGACAGGAGTTCAAGACCAGCCTGAGCAACATAGCAAGACCCCATCTCTACAAAAAATTTAAAAATTAACTGGGCATAATGGCACGCACCTATAGTCCCAGTTACTCTGGAGGCTGAGGCAGGAGGATTGCTGGAGCCCAGGAGGTAAAGACTGTAGTGAGCCATGATTACACCACTGCACTCCAGCCTGGGTGACAGAGTGAAACCACCATCTAAAATAAAATAAAGGGCATATACAGGTTGTGCCTACATTGCACTGAAATTACTATTCATTTCCATTACCCTCAATGTTTGCAGACATTAAAAAACTGGTTGTTGATAGATAAGCAAGCATTCGATAAATATCATCTGCTTGATTTCCCACTCTTTAGAAAACCATGAACAAACATTTGATTTTTACCACTTGGCAGTTTAACATTTCTTGGTCATATAGACAAGTAGGTTATTGAAGAGACTAATATACTTGCATTTCCTCTTTTAAATATGACCTCTAAAATAGGCAGTTTGAAAATTATAATTGCCATACCATGTCAAGTGGCTGATCATCTAGTGTGATATTTTGTCTCTAAGTACAGCCCAAACATAGCCTGTGTGAAGCTATCGTTGTTCCCCATAATGGCAAAAAATAAATATCCCTCCTCTATTTCCCATCTCAGAAAAAAGAAGTGCAGTTCCCCCTACTAAAGGCAAACCCCTCCTTATATGCTCTCAACGCTACCTTCTCCCGTCTCCTCTGAGAGCTTTTGAGTCTTCCCTTATCTCAACCCCATTCCCACCCCACCCCCACCCATTTATGTACACAAATCCCAAATCATATAAATGTCTTATCTCAACTCTCGGCTACTATTTCATCTCTCTTCTCTTTATGAAATCCGTTGGACTCTACACTCTCTGCCTCTACTTCTTCTTTATCCCAGCTCAATCCTTGAAAGTTGGCTTCAAAACCCATAACTATAGACCAAAACATTCTTTTCTCAATGGCCTCTCAATGATCAAATCCACTGGCCCCTCCCCCACTCCTCATTCTCATCAGCTTCTCTTCCTGTCTGAAACTGATTCCTCATCCCATTCTTAGGACCTTCTTTGCACTGTCTGTCACTTCCCCTTTTCTAACTCTCGTTTCTTCATCTATCTCTGTCTCCCTTGCAGACCCTACTTTCTCTTCTTGTCCTGGGTATAAAGCATAATATATGGATCTACTCTCAGGCTTCTTATCTCTCTGGGCCTCATTTTTGAAGATCCTTTATAGGTAAAAGATCCCCAAGTGTGCCAGTTCTGATTTGAACTCCAGGTTCATATTGTTCACTGCCTGCTAGAGATCTCCGCTGACATACATCTCAAACTCAGTATGTCCAAACTCCACTTAACCTTCCTTTCAAGCCTGTTCCTCTTTTCCAGACACTAGGAAAAAAAATCTAGGAGTCATCTTCAATTATCTTCTCTTTCTCATTTCCCACATTTAGTTACAATGTCCTATATGTTCTTTTTTTTTTTTTTTTTTTTAGACAGAGTTTCGTCCATCACCCAGGCTGGAGTGCAATGGTGCAATATTGGCTCACTGCAACCTCCACCTTCTGGGTTCAGGTGATTCTCCTGCATCAGCCTCCCAAGTAGTTGGGATTACAGGCACTCACCACCACACCTGGCTAATTTTGTATTTTTTTTTAGTAGAGATGGTGTTTCACCATGTTGGCCAGACTGGTCTCAAACTCCTGACCTCAGGTAATCTGCCCGCTTCAGCCTCCCAAAGTTTTTTTTTTTTTTTTTTTTTTTTTTTATGAAGTCTCACTCTGTCGCCCAGGCTGGAGTCAATGGTGCGATCTCAGCTCACTGCAACCTCCGCCTCCTGGGTTCAAGCAATTCTCCTGCCTCAGCCTCCCCAGTAGCTGGGACTCCAGGCGTGAGCCACCATTCCCGGCTAATTTTTATATTTTTAGTAGAGACAGGGTTTCACCACAGTGGCCAGGCTGGTCTTGAACTCCTGACCTCATGATCCGCCCACCTCAGCCTCCCAAAGTGCTGGGATTACAGGCGTGAGCCACCACGCCCAGCTTCTATATGTTCTTTTTACACGTTCTCACTTTCACTATTGCCTTCTGTCTGGATTGTTCCAAAAGTCAAGAGATGGTTCTACATATCCAGTCTCCTTCTTTCCTGACCCCCAATATACCCTATACACTGCTTCCAAAGTAACCCTTGAAAATATGGTTCTTTATGGTGTCACTGCCCTGCAAAATGAAGACCCAATACCTTAAGATGCTATTCAAGCCCCTACAAAATGGCCTGCCTCTGACTGCACCTGCTCATGAATTCTTCACTGCAATAATACTGGATGCTTCAACTACCAGAGTACCACATTGCCACTGTCTATGGGTGTTACTTCTACCCAAAATGTTCTTCTCCAACTCTGGAACCCTCTCCACCCATTAAAACTAAGGAACATTTCAAATTCTGCCTCTTCTGTGAAAACTTCCCTGTTCTCTTAGAAATCTCTCCTTTCTCTATGAGACTTAGAACTCAGTGACATTAAGGTAAAGAAATGTCTTTGCAAACTTGCAAATGTGTGTGGAGAGTCTATGTTGCGTCAAACCTTGTATTCAGGATGTAGAGAATACACAGTCCCTGTTTTTCGGGAACTTCTGCTTCTTGGGGATAGAGAATGCTTAGCATACTAAATTATAACCGTGGCCAGGTGCGGTGGCTCATGCCTATAATCCCAGCACTTTGGGAGGCCGAGGCAGGCGGATCACCTGAGGTCAGGAGTTCGAGACCAGCCTGGGCAACATGGCAAAACCCTGTCTCTACTAAAAATACAAAAATTAGCTGTGCATGGTGGCAGGCACCTGCAATCCCAGCTACTTGGGAGGCTGCGGCAGGAGAATCGCTTGAACCCGGGAGGCGGAGGTTACAGTAAGCCAAGACATGCCATTGCACTCCAGCCTGGGTGACAGAGCAAGACTCTGTCTCAAAAAAAAAAAAAAAAAATTGTAACCATGTGTGCATTCTGTGCTACAGATACAGGGAAGGGGCACTGAACCCAGCCTGGGGTGTCAGGATGACTTTCCAGAGGAGCAACACTGGAATTGAAGAAAGAACAGTTGTCCAGACAGAGATAGGCGTGAAGAACATTTCAGAAGTAAAACATCACATATGGAAAGGCATGAGAAACCATGTTCCATTTCAGGAATTCAGGTAACTCAGTTGCCTGAAGTATAAAGTACATAGGGGGCCAGGCACTGTGGCTCAAGCCTATAATCCCAACACTTTGGGAGGCCGAGACGGGTGCATCACCTGAGGTCTGGAGTTCGAGACCAGCCTGGACAACATGGTGAAACCCCATCTCTACTAAAAATACAAAAAAATTAGCCAGCCATAGTGGCAGGTGCCTGTAATGCCAGCTACTCAGGAGGCTGAGGCAGGAGAATCGCTTGAACCCGGGAGGCAGAGGTTACAGTGAGCCAAGATCGTGCCACTGCACTCCAGCCTGGACAACAGAGGAGAACCCTGTCTCAGTAAAATAAAATAAAAGGCATGGGGGAGGCGGGACAAGAAGCTAGAAAGGCAGGGACGAGTTGCAAAGAGTCTTGAGTGCCTGTATCAGTTATCTGCTGCAGTGGTGCTGCATAAAAATCATCCCAAAACTGCGGCTTCAAATAATAGCCATGCCTGGTGTGGTGGCACCCACCTATAATCCCCGCTACTCCGGAGGCTGAGGCGGGAGGATCACTTGAGACCAGGAGGTCAAGGCTACGGTGAGCCATGATTGCACCACTGCACTCCAGCATGGGTGACAGAGCAAGACCCTATCTCAAAAGGCCATTTATTCTTGCTTATAAATCTGTGGGTCAGCAGAATGGTTCCTCTGGCTTGAACTGGGGTCATGTAGGCATATGCAGTCAGAGTGTGCATTGAGAAACACTCCTGCTGATCTTGGCAGAGCTGTCTCATGTGTTTGGGAGTCAGGGGCTATGAGGGGTTTAGGATGGCCTTGAATCTTCTCCACATGTGCCTCACATTGGCAGTACGTTAGCCCAGGCATGTCATGTCCTCATGACAAGGAAGAAGTGAAAAAGAGAACACACCCAATCATGCAAGAGGGCAAGAGGAAACGCCTGCGCTTTTCAAGCCTCTGCTTGCATCATGTTTGCTAACATTCCAGCGCCAAAGCAAGTCACATCAATGAGCCCAGAGTCAGAATGGGAGGGAACACAAAGGTTCAGGGCAAAGGCTGTGAAAACTGGGAGGGGCCGTTAATGCAATCAATCTACCATAGTGTAGAGGAGTCTGAATTTTTATACTTAGAGGCATGTTGTCATTCCTATTGATTAGAAACTCTTGAGCAACAGGACTGTATTTTATTCATTACTATATCTGCCATAGCAGTTAGCATAATAATATACCCAAAGTACACATTCAATAAATTTTGGTAGAGTATAACTGAATCCCTAGTTTATACAATAATTTATTATATATACTAGCTGCAAGTTTTCTAAACACTTATCAAGTACATTTATATTTTCAATCTATATCATCCTTGGAGTACAGAGTTCTATCTATTTATTACCTGCTGTGTAAAACAGTAATGCCTGTTCACTGCCTAAACACCACCTCCTTTAAGCTTAGCTGGGCTAATTCTAATGTTGAAAGGGAAGGTGAACAAATATGTGGGTTTTTTCCCCAGTCTTTCCGAATTTTGCAAATTTCAAACTGGCCCTCCCTCTTCCATAAAAAAGACTTCAAGCTTCTTGGCCTGTCTTCCAATTGTTTAAACAAAGATTTTTCTCTCTACTGGAGCAATTAAAACGGCCCCCATGATGGCAGAGGAAATGCTTTGGTTTGGTTTGAGGCTTCCCAAACATCATTACAGACTAAGGACACCAAATATGTAGCTGACAGCAAAACAGTTTATAATTATGCACCAAGAAACAACCCACCGAAATCCCCATTCTATGCATAGCCTGTCTCCCTGTGCCCTCATTCCTATCTCCACAATCCCACCCACAGTTCTCATCTAGAAAGGCCCAGGGAAATAGCCTTTCTCTGGTCACTAAGTGGTAAATACATTGGAGTCATCTTTGACTCCTCTTTTTTTTTTTTTTTTTTGAGACAGAGTCTCGCTCTGTCACCCAGGCTGGAATGCAGTGGTGCGATCTTGGCTCACTACAACCTCCACCTCCCAGGTTCAAGCAATTCTCATGCCTCAGCCTCCAGAGAAGCTGGGACTACAGGCACGCACCACCACACCTGGCTAATTTTTGTATTTTTAGTAGAGACGGGGTTTCACCATGTTACCCAGGCTGATCTCAAGCTCCTGACCTCAAGTGATCCACCTGCCTTCGTCTCCCAAAGTGCTGGGATTACAGGCATGAGCCACTGCCTCGGCCTGACTCCTCTCTTTCTTTCGCACTCCACGTTCAGTCCAGCAGCAAAGCATGTCAACTCTGTCTTCAAAATACATCCAGAGTCTGACCACCTCTCATCACTGTCACTGCTATTATCCTGGTGCAGACCACCATGAGCTCTCATTTCAATGATCAAAATAGCCTCCTACCCACTTTCCCACCCACCATGTCTTCCACACGATAGCCAAAAACGTACGCCTGATCATGTCATTCCTCTGCTCAAAATCCTCCAGTAGATTCCTCTTACTCAGAATAAGAGCCAAATTCTCACCTCAGTCTGTAAGGACCCACATGATTTCCCTGCACCCTCATCTTATCACCTTCCAGTGCTTTCTTGGCTCACTTTGATCCAGCCAGGAAGATAATGGTCTTCCTGCTGCTCTTGAATGTGCCCACTGTGCTGCCTCCTCAGGGTCTTTGCCTGTGATGTTCTTCAGCCTGGAGTACAGTTGCCACAGACACCCACATGGCTCACCAGTTCCCTGTTCAAATGTCGCCTTATCAGAAATTTTTCCCCACCTACCAGTTATGAATTAGCACTTGTGGCTCCCTCCCCACTTCATTACTCTCGATTCCCTCCTTATTTGGCATGTTATATATTCATTTGTATATTGTTTGTCATTTGCCCTTCCCACTAAAATTTAAGATCAGCGACAGCAGAAACTGATCTGTCTTGTTCACTGTTTTATCCTCAGAAACTAGAATATAGATTAGGTAGATGGTAGACCTTCAACAAATAATTTGAATAAAGTAGCTATGCCCTACCCACACTGCACGTAAGCATTAGGCACAGGCTTATTCTGAATGAAATTTGTTGTGTTTTATTCATTCCTTCTTTTTGATTCATTTCTCCAAACTACCCAGGATTTACATTTGCCTATGATACTAAGAAACTTGAGGAAAATGAATGCTGTAGTATTTAAAAAGGATCAACTTTAGATATTTGCTTTAAGAAAAAGGGAAATAAAGTTTCCAGCCAAATTCCTAAATTAATGTGCATGATAATAAAATAAACTTGCCTAATCTTCCTGGAATCACTTGGGTAATTCCGAACACGGAGCGATAATACCACAAGCTTCTCTAAATGCAAGGCAGACACTTGCAAACCTGAGCTTTTAATACCAAACAAGTGCCAACTTTTTTTTTTTTTTTTTTTTTTGATATGGAGTCTCATTCTGTCGCCCAGGCTGGAGTGTAGTGGCGCGATCTCAGCTCACTGCGTGCTCCGCCTCCCGGGTTCACGCCATTCTCCTGCCTCAGCCTCCTGAGCAGCTGGGACCACAGGCACCTGCCACCACGCCCGGCTAATTTTTTGCATTTTTAGTAGAGATGGGATTTCACCGCGCTAGCAAGGATGGTCTTGATCTCCTGACCTCGTGATCTACCTGCCTTGGCCTCCCAAATTGCTGGGATTACAGGCCTGAGCCACTGTGCCCAGCCCTACAAGTGCTAACTTTTAAGTATATATATAATGTTATTCTCCGCATATCCACACCTCTACATCATCAAACTATAAGAACCCACTGACATTCTGGCACATTATCCAGGCTTCACCAAGCAACCTCATGTCCATACGTCTCCCAGAGCAGCCAACTCTAAGTGGCACTAACTGGAAAAGCAGCCTCGCATTGTCATCCCACAAGGAGAAGGGCAAAGCTCTGCTTTCAGATGCCAGTGTAGGGCCACTGGGCAAGGACCCTCCGATGCTGTTCCAATTTTTTCATTCTGTTCTTCCTTTTTTTTTTTAGACAGCGTCTCACTCTGTTGCTCAGGCTGGAATGCAGTGGTGTGATCTCAGCTAGCTGCAACCTCTGCCTCCCCAGTTCAAGAGATTCTCCTGCCTCAGCCTCCTGAGTAGCTGGGACTACAGGCCTATGCCCCGCTAATTTTTGTAATTTTAGTAGAGACGGGGTTTCACCGTATTAGTCAGGCTAGTCTCGAACTCCTGACCTCAAGTGATCCGCCCACCTTGGTCTCCCAAAGTGCTGGGATTACAGGCATGAGCCACTGCGCCCGGCCTCATTCTGCTCTTCTTTTTATTGTGATTTACTCTTCAGGTATATAAGACAGTGGTTTTCCAGCAGTATGCTATGGCACTCCATTTGTTTGGTAAAATAAATTTTGTAAAATCTATTTTTGCTGCAACTGAGTATACATATGGTTACACTGAGGTCTATCAAGATGCATTCTGCAAAAAGTAAAAGTTGTGGCGTAATGACAGATTGCAGCAAAGAACAATTACATGTTTTCCAAAACATGGAAACACTGTTCCCCAAACATAAAAGAAAACATCTTGGGAGGCCGAGGTGGACAGATCACGAGGTCAGGAGATCGAGACCATCCTGGCTAACATGGTGAAACCCCGTCTCTACTAAAAATACAAAAAATTAGCCAGGCGTGGTGGTGGGCGCCTGTAGTCCCAGCTACTTGGGAGGCTGAGGCAGGAGAATGGCGTGAACCTGGGAGGCAGAGCTTGCAGTGAGTTGAGATCACGCCACTGCACTCCAGCCTGGGCAACAGAGCGAGACTCTGTCTAAAAAAAAAAAAAAAAAAATGAAGACATCAAGGTAAAGGCAGTAAACTGAGCAGTCCTCAAACCTAGATGTGGCGTGGAAAGGGAAGCATAAGAGCTGTACCTTTGCTGTATGTACTTGTATGGATACCATAAGATACTGTTTTATCATATATCATACTGAACATGGTGGTGTAGTTTCAATTCCTTTAAGCCCCTATGTGTGTTGCCAATACTTACAGCACTTGAAAGTGTGCTACAAACACAGGAGATTGCGAGCCTCTAGTATGGCAGAAAGCTTTATACTTGTATGGAAGACCAGAGGAATATATACAGATTTATTCTGATTTAGGTTACCTAAGGGAACTCCCTCACACAGAATATGGAATTAGGGGAAGGCCTAATTTTTTTTTTTTTTTTGAAACAGACTCTTGCTCTATCACCCTAGGCTGGAGTGCAGTGCGCGATCTTGGCTCACTGAAACCTCTGCCTCCCAGGTTCAAGCCACCACACCCAGCTAATTTTTTTGTATTTTTAGTGGGGATGGGGTTTCACCATGTTGGCCAGGCTGGTTTCGAACTCCTGACCTCAAGTGATACACCCGCCTTGGCCTCCCAAAGTGCTAGGATTACAGGTGTGAGCCACCACGCCCAGCCAGGGAAAGCTTAATTTAAGGATGGACTCCGTATTCCACAGACAATTTTCAGAAATAAGTAGTCAAAGAAAATTAGACCAACCTGAAATCTGATGTCTCTATCAGAGGACATTCAATAATCTCGGGAATTATCTTTAGTTTGTGCTTTGAGATGTAACTATCCCTCAGGATTCCAAAAATAAAAGTCAATGGCTATCACAGTGCTTGAAACTCCTAAAAGTGTTACTCCTCCTTCTGCCTCTCTGTCTTTCAACTATGTTTCACCGGAGCATTTATTTTCCTCTGAAGGTTTGTGTCTGAACCAAAGGAAAATGCTGGGACCTCTTTTGGAGAAGTTTTGGCTTCAGTAAATTTTATAAGATAAACAAAAGTGAGACCTTCCCATCTCTGTCAATCATATTCATTCAAAATAACAGCACTCTCCAGGACCGGGGGTTGTGGGGAGGGAAAATGCTGGGGAGAAGGTAATGTCATGAATTGTTCCCCTGCAGCTGGTATTTCTCAGTAACAACTGTACATACAAAACAAAAGATCTCTTCAGAAAGCCAGGGACAGACAGAGAGGCCAATAAGAAGAGATCATTATAATCATATTTTAGAGATCAAACAGCTTGAATTACATTTGCTTGAGCCCAGTTAGGTTTCCTGGTTGTTTCAAATAGAACATAGCAATTTAGTGTACCCTAACATAAGAATATAATATAATGGCAAACATACATAATATTATCTCCAGGCATCTACCATGTAGCAGGTTTGTTATCTTCTACTTCTCTTCCACAGTGCTGGGGATAAAAGATAAAAGATATTCTAACACAGGGAGGCAGTATAGCACAGTGGTTAAGAGCATAGGCTTGGCATCGCATCAGGATAGAGTCCCAGCTTTGCCTCTTACTACTATGTTACCTTGGGCAAGTTTCTTAACCTCCCCAAAGGCTCAATTTCCTCAACTGCTAAACAGAAGTTGGGATTTATCTACTTGGTGGTTATGGTAAGAATTGAGAGAGAGAACTCATGTAAAACATTGAGCACAGTACCTGGCCTGCAGAGAGGACTTAGTAAATGTTTGCATTTAGAGTCAATAAATGTCTGAATACACAAATACTTTGTTTTTCCCTAGACCTCTCATTTTCTATCCTCATTCTACCCCCAATCTAAGCAAAAAGGAGGGAAGTATTTGGAAGTCATTGCAGCATGTTCGTCATGTCATATTGCTAAAAAGGAATGAGATAACTAACTTGCTAGGCTTGGTTTTGCTGTTGGATCAAAGGCCTGCTACACAGCTGTGCTCCTGCAAAGGACTGTTCCCTTCTCTCCTTCTAGCGTGTCCCCTTTACAGCTGCAGGACTCCAGTACACAGCAGCCACCATGACTGTTCATGGGGAGATGAGTATCACGTGTAAGCAATCAGTTGGCTCCCATCCAGGAAGTAAGGCTTACAAAACATTTATCCAGACACTAGTCTTCTGGGACAAAAGTCCACAGTGCTATCCACAGGCAGGTATTGGGAGTCGGACCAGGAGGCTTCCGGGAAAACAGTCTTGTCCTTTTTTATTAAATAGACAAAAATATGAAATGTGCCTAGCTTTAGAGCTTGGCCAGTTCTCTAAGATGTTTCCTTAACTGTCTATAACTTCTTCAAAACAACATTAAGAATGACCACACACTGGGGCTGGGCGCGGTGGCTCACGCCTGTAATCCCAGCACTTTGGGAGGCCGAGGCAGGCAGATCATGAGGTTAGGAGATGGAGACCATCCTGGCCAACATGGTGAAACTCCGTCTCTACTAAAAATACAAAAATTAGCTGGGTTTGGTGGCACACACCTGTAATCCCAACTACTCGGGAGGCTGAGGCAGGAGAATAGCTTGAAGCCAGGAGGCAGAGATTGCAGTGAGCCAAGATCGTGCCACTGCACTCCAGCCTGGCAACAGAGCGAGACTTGGTCTCAAAAAAAAAAAAAAAAAGGAATGACCACACACCACATAACCAGACCAAAAAAAAAAAAAAAAAGAGGAACTCTATTTCAGTCCACATGAACGATGAAATCAAGGAGGAATTTTACAATTACAGGTTTCCTTTGACAAAGGGGTTTTACGACTGCTTTGGCCTCAGAAGTGGGTGGTGCTTTCATTTGCAATGCCTTAAAAACTAAATGTTCACACCAGGGATAAGAAATCTGGTCACATGGAAAATCCAACTGCTGCTTCTAATGAGATGCTGTTAAAACCACATTTTAAAAATGCTTCCTAAAAGCATACAGAATGCATAAACATGAAGGTATTTGCCTGTGTCCAAAATTACAGAAGGGCTAAACAACACTGAGTTTCACTGGCCCAAAGCCAAGTGAAGCACTTCACCCTGACAGAAATTATAGTGCCGTCATTGTGTTGCAATAACCCTCTATAAAATGGAGCATTGTGTTTCTGCTGAGTCTTGAACAGAAAATGAATCAGGATCTGGCATCCTTAGAGGAATGGGGAGAAGTGTATTTTTGCTTACAGAGAAGAGGATATTCACTAAGTTCCACGAAGTAAATGTTTTGCTCATCTTTTTAAAAATTCTGCCTTTCAAAAGGAGCTATCTTTGACCCACATTTGAAAATGCTTATTATGTTCAGAAGATGTTGCCATCTTTTGCTCTATAAACTTTTAAAAAAGCACTTGCTGTTTGGTTTTGGAGTTGTGCTTTTTGTTGTTGTTGTTGTTGTTTTTGAAATGGAGTCTCACTCTGTCACCCAGGCTGGAGGGCAATGGCAAAATTTCAGCTCACTGCAACCTCTGCCTCCCAGGTTCAAGCAGTTCTCCTGCCTCAGCCTCCTGAGTAGCTGGCACTGTAGGCACACGCCACCACACCCAGCTAATTTTTTTGTATTTTTGGCAAAGATGAGGTTTCTCCATATTGCCCAGGCTGGTCTGGAATTCCTGAGCTCAAGCAATTCTCCCACCTCAGTGTCTCAAAGTGTTGGGATTACAGGCGTGAGCCACTGCACCTGGCCGTTCCCACGTTTTTAAGACTCAACTGTTACATGGAAAATAAGCTCAGGTACATATGCTCAAGTGCAGAAAGGTAAGCCTGGTAAAAACTAATAATAACCCTAGTGCAAAAAGACTCAAGTAGGCTGTCATTATGAAAAGTTGGTTGCTAGTTAGAAAAGAACAAAGGTCACTGTAGTTCAACTTTTACATTTTTATTTTTGTTTTTTTATTCCCTGGAATTGTATAATGTGGTGCTTTAGGCTAGATAGGGCCTACAGTTATTTTTTTTTTACCCTAATAAAACACTCTTATGGTTACTACTACCTAGCCCAATCCTACTCTTCCCCTATTTCAATACTCCAAGCATTTGTTTTGAAAACGTCATAAAAATCTAATTTTTATCAACTGACATATGTTCCAAATTGATTTTACTGAGAGCCTAAGCCCCTAATCTCTATTAACTTTTAGGTTCTTTTTGCCTTCAACCCAGAAGTTGTTGTGTCCACTAGAATGGAAGGCAAGAAATAGCCAATGACATATATACATGCATACATATATATATATATATATATTAGGATATCTGTACCTTTGAGGAAACAGCAATCGTTATAGCTATCCTTCATCAAGTATTATAGTAGGCACCTTGCTAAAGGCTTTAAAATGTGATCTCCTTTAATCCATACAACACTTTTTGAAGTAGAATCTATTATCTTCATTTTACAGAAGAGAAAACTAGGACTTAAGCAACTTGCCCAGGTTCATAGATCTAACAAATCAGAGAGCCAAGAGTGAAATCAGGCCAAATTAACATCCATTACACAATGCTGTCTCCCAAGCTCCAAGTCTGTTTACCCTGGGCAAATATTACACTTATATTTCAAAAGCAAAGGGAAGAGAGGGAAGTGGATGCTTCTAAATGCAGGAGAAGCAAATGGAAAATTTTGTGGCTATTTATTCATCCACAAAGTTTATTAAGGGACAAACACACTGTATGAGATCGTTGCAGGATTGCAGCGCAGTTCCTGTCTTCAGAGAGCTAACATTAACTGGAAAGACACCTAAGAATATAAGTCAAAATTTTAAAAGTGCTCCAATAGAGGTATACCCAAAGTATTGTGTGTAGGGGCATAAAGAAAAAAGAGATTTTTTCTGACTACTTGACAAACAGTTGGATAGACTCGTTTTGCCTTCTGATCATTACTACCACATTCATTTAACCTACTCATTAAGAACATTTGACACCTGTTTGCCAAAATTAATGCATAGTAATTCTGAATATTTGAAGACTTTCAAGTCAGTGAACTGAAAAATCTCCTTCTATACTCTCAGATATTATTAGTAGCAATGAAAGCTGGTAAAATATATATATTACATATATACATGTATATAAATATTTATATATAAAATAAGGTTTTAGAAAGCAAGCCAGTTTTGGAAAAGCAAATCAGTAACATGAATCAGACTCCTAGGAATTTATCTACTTTACTGATAAGCTCTTGGGGTAAAGTGTTAACTCAGCCCTTGCTTATTTAATAATAAACTGGAAATAACCTAATGTCCATCAGTTGGGGATTAATTAAATTCTGGCACATCCATACAATGGGTTGCTCTGCAGTTGCCAAAAAGAATTTAACACTCATTAAAGGAAAGAAAATCTCCATGGCAGATTGTTGAATAAAAGCAAACTACAAAAGAATATGATATCATTTACATTAAAAATATATATGTATACATATATACACACATACACACACATGCACATATATCGTGGATAAAATAAATGCATAGAAAGATATCAAAAAGGATGTTTTTGAACATGTCAACATTGGGAATTAGGATAACTTTATTTCTTAATACTTTTCTGTTTCTTGAATTTTATGCATCAATTTATTATTTTGGTAATCAGAAAAGAAAAACAAGAAAACCATTATTTTGGGAAGAGAAGGAAATGTAGCTCCTTTTAGAGTTAAATATTATAAAATTATATGTTCCAGAAATAATATTTCAAAATATATTTCTATTGAAGTAGTAGTAACTCACTTTGAACAAAACCTTTTATTCATCAGATAATAGATTTGAATTTACTTTGTGGATCTGTCATAATCAGAAAATCATAACCATGTTGATAGAGGCAGGAGGCAGAAAAATACCTAGGCAGATGGGGCGGGCCCCCGGTGAAACCGCACCTTCAAGCCAAAAACAGCCTGAAGCCTGAAAGACCAGGCTGCTGGTTCCAGATGAAACTGATGACCCAGAGTGAGAATTTCCATTCCTGTTTGCCCACACTTTTCCAATTCGTTCTTTCCAAATAATGCCTTTTAATCAATTGAATGTTACCTTTTCCAATACTACCTATGGCCCGCCCCTCCCCCATCCTGTGCCAATAAAAACACCAGACTGAGCCACACTAAGAGAGACCACCGACTTTGGGTGGCGGAACCACCCTTGCAGCTCCCCTCCCTGAGAGCGATTTCGTCACTTAATAAAACTCTTCTCCACCCTTCTTACCAGTTGATTGTCAGTCTGATCTCATTCTTCTTGGACACAGGACAAGAACTTGGGACCCCAGTGAACACCAGCACGAAGAAGGCAGTAACAGTGTAGCCCACCAGCACCCTGTGGCCGCCCCCACATGACAGGAAGCAGTGGTGGAGCAGGCCAGGCCCAGAACCTTGGACCCGGTTCATCTGGCTGCAGACTGCAGGACTACAAGAGGTGTTAGCATGCCATAACACCCTCTCTGGGGCTTTGGGATTGCGGCCTTCCTTGTTTGGGCACCACCATGTTCCCCTCATCAGGACACTGGACTCCACCACAGGAGTTTGCTTGCAAAACACCTGGTCCAGCCACAAGCCCTGCACAGAGCCCACTCTTGTGTCGGCACTTGGAGCAGCTGGCCAGGCCTGCACTCGCTTGCTCACACACCCTCCTCCCACCAGGGGCTGAGTGCACAGTTGCAGTGACCACGGGATCCATGCTGGAGTACAAGCCAGGTACAGCCCGGTTGGCTGAGTGGGCGGGGCACCGCTTGTTGCCAGCCCAGGCCTAGCAAGGCCCAGGCAGGGGCATGGCTGGCTAGAGGTCTCCAGGTGGCAAAGTGTCTGAGAAAAATCTTGCGTCAATGTCAAATCTTATGAACATGAAGTTGGACTTGACTATCTTGCTCAATGTAGAGAAACAGTCAAAAAGAGCCAAAAGTTCCATGTAGCATAAGAAGTATATTCCAGCAGAGAAAATCATAGGTCTATTCTTTTTGAGTCTACTCTAGAGGCAACAAGGAATATCGCTAACTTTAGGGGACTTTCTAACATGATACTGCTAATTTGTAACCTGGCTTCAGGCCAAAGAGCCCAAGTAGCTGGAAGAAATATGCTATACTTTTGTTCTCCTTTTCTTCTTTCTTTACCAGTGATTCTATGTTTACAAATTAAATAACAAGAGAATCCAAAAAGCATTCCCAACTTTGCATGCATTATAATACACACCTCCAAAACCACTTCCACTAAGGAAGTAGGAATTATGGACTCATTTAATCAATAATATAAAGAAACATCATTTTCTTTTTTCTTTTTTTTTTTTTTTTGAGACAGAGTCTCGCTCTGTCGCCCAGGCTGGAGTGCAGTAGCGCGATCTCGGCTCACTGCAAGCTCCGCCTCCTGGGTTCACGCCATTCTCCTGCCTCAGCCTCCCGAGTGGCTGGGAATTTTTAGTAGAGACGGGGTTTCACCGTGTTAGACAGGATGGTCTCGATCTCCTGACCTCGTGATCTGCCCGCCTTGGCCTCCCAAAGTGCTGGGATTACAGGCGTGAGCCACTGCGCCCAGCCAAGAAACATCATTTTCTTTAGGTTATGAGAGTCAGATTGCTGACTGATGAAAGGAACCAATTTGCACAAAGATCCCTAGACTTTTTTTTTCCTCTGTGCAAAATTAGGCCTCTTCCATGGCTAACATTCTAAGATTCTATTATTTACAGTTCTAGAAAATGTGCTATTGAGGGCATAGTTCTCAATAGATGATATTTCAGAATAGAACTTATTCCAATTATGGGGATACACTGGTTATATTAGGAGTATGTGTTTTTGCTGCATTCTTGTCATTACTGAAAAAGAATAATTATCAATTTCTAAAAAATAATCAAGTGGATTTGATGTAAACAATCTCATGCCAAATGCTGAGATTTAATGAAAACATATGTAACTCAGTAGTGAGAAGTAGAAAAAAATTTATGGCAGAGAAGAATGAAGGAAAAAATGTTTTTAAAAATGAAAAGTGTAGAAAGAGGAACTTTTTTTTTTTTTTTCTGAGGCAAGTCTCGCACTGTCACCCAGGCTGGAGTCCAGTGGCACAATTCGGATCACTGCAAACTCTGCCTCCTGGGTTCAAGCGATTCTCCTGCCTCAGCCTCCCAAATAGCTGAGATTACAAGCATCCGCCACCATGCCTGGGTAATTGTGTATTTTTAGAAGACACAGAGTTTCACTGTGTTGGTCAGGCTGGTGTCGAACTCCTGACCTTGTGATCCGCCCTACTCGGCCTCCCAAAGGGCTGGAAGGCACTACTGGTGTGAGCCACCACACTCGGCCCTTAATTATTATTTTTTATGAATTAAACTGAGAAGTAGCCAGAAAAGGGAAAAACAGTCTCTATAACCAAAATGATATAGAAGTTTGTGCAATTCATACTTTAGTATTAATTTCCTAAATTGCCCCCAGATACTCCTTGGTCAGTTTGAACAATTCTTACCACCTTTCAAATAAGTGATATATCATCCACAACTTCCAAAATAAGTAAAGTCCTTAACTCTCATACACATATGTGAGGCTAAAAACCAAATCATTTTCCATGAGAGCATACAATTTTCACGTTGCCCTAGGGCCAAAATGATAATGTTCTCAGGCTCTCAAATAGTTTAAGGTCGCCCTTTTATGAATGTTAAATGTTTGATTCTTTTTTTTTTTTTTTTTTTTTTTTTTTTTTGAGACAGAGTCTCGCTTTTGTTGCCCAGGCTGGAGGGCAATGGCACGATCTCGGCTCACCGCAACCTCCGCCTCCCGGGTTCAAGCAATTCTTCTGCCTCATCCTCCCAAGTAGCTGGTATTACAGGCATGCACCACCAACGCCTGGTTAATTTTTTGTATTTTTAGTAGAGACGGGGTTTCTCCATGTTGGTCAGGCTGGTCTCAAACTCCCTAACTCAGGTGATCCGCCCGTCTCGGCCTCCCAAAGTGCTGGGATTACAGGCGTGAGCCACTGTGCCCGGCCCAAATGTTTGATTCTTTGACAGTAGGAAATTTCTAGAAGTTTCTCCAACAGTAAATCCTCACTTAAAGTATTTTCATCCAGGATCTAAAAAAGAATAACATTATTGGACATTCTGAAAATTAAATGGAGAGGAAGTCGGTTGTTGCACAGAAGTGCAGTGTGGAGCTGGGCATGGTGGCACGCCCTGTAGTCCCAGCTATTCAGGAGGCTCACACAGAAGGATCACTTCAGCCCAGGAGTTCAAGACCAGCCTGAGCAACATAGTGGGACCCCATCTTTTTCAAAAACTACATTTTAACGAAGTGTGGTGGGCTAGGAGACCAGTGGATTTGACATGATCTTGGGCAATTCACTCAGCCTATGAGCTCTACTTTCTTAAACTTTTAACAGCCTCTTTTCAGAATTACGTTCAGAATAGAGTTGGAATGATCTTAGTTCAACGCCTGACCCTGTTATTTACCAAGTGTGTGTGAATTTGAGCAAACTTACCCTTTTTTTTTTTTGGAGACGGAGTCTCACTGTGTCGCCCAGGCTGGAGTGCAGTGGCGCCATCTCAGCTCACTGCAAGCTCTGCCTCCCGGGTTCACAAGATTCTCCTGCCTCAGCCTCCTGAGTAGCTGGTACTACAGGCGCCCGCCACCACGCCCGGCTAATTTTTTGTATTTTCAGTAGAGACGGGTTCTCACCGTGTTAGCCAGGATGGTCTCGATCTCCTTGAGAGGTGACAGCGTGCTGGTAGTCCTCACAGCCCTCGCTCACTCTCGGCGCCTCCTCTGCCTGGGCTCCCAATTTGGTGGCACTTGAGGAGCCCTTCAGCCCGCCACTGCACTGTTGGAGCCCCTTTCTGGGCTGGCCAAGGCCAGAGCCGGCTCCCTCAGCTTGCGGGGAGGTGTGGAGGGAGAGGCACGAGCGGGAACCGGGCTGCGTGCGGTACTTGCGGGCCGGCGCGAGTTCCAGGTGGGTGTGGGCTCCACGGGCCCCGCACTCGGAGCGGTCGGCCGGCACCGCCGCCCCGGCAGTGAGAGGCTTAGCACTTGGGCCAGCAGCTGCTGTGCTCAATTTCTCGCCGGGCCTTAGCTGCCTTCCCGTGGGGCAGGGCTCGGGACATGCAGCCCACCATGCCTGAGCCTCCCCCCCGCCCCCTCCGTGGGCTCCTGTGTGGCCCGAGCCTCCCCGACGAGCGCTGCCCCCTGCTCCACGGCGCCCAGTCCCATCGACCACCCAAGGGCTGAGGAGTGCGGGCACACTGCAGCGCCAGACTGGCAGGCAGCTCCATCTGCGCCCTGGTGCGGGATCCATTGGGTGAAGCCAGCTGGGCTCCTGAGTCCGGTGGGGACTTGGAGAACCTTTATGTCTAGCTCAGGGATTGTAAATACACCAATCGGCACTCTGTATCTAGCTCAAGGTTTGTAAACACACCAATCAGCACCCTGTGTCTAGCTCAGAGTTTGTGAATGCACCAAATGGACACTCTGTATCTAGCTACTCTGGTGGGGACTTGGAGAACTTTTATGTATAGCTAAGGGATTGTAAATACACCAGTCAGCACCCTGTGTCTAGCTCAGGGTTTGTGAATGCACCAATCGACACTCTGTATCTAGCTACTCTGGTAGGAACTTGGAGAACCTTTGTGTCCACACTCTGTATCTAGCTAACCTAGTGGGGAGGTGGAGAACCTTTGTGTCTAGCTCAGGGATTGTAAACTGCACCAATCAGCACCCTGTCAAAACAGACCACTTGGCTCTCTGTAAAATGGACCAATCAGCAGGATGTGGGTGGGGCCAGATAAGAGAATAAAAGCAGGCTGCCCTAGTCAGCAGTGGCAACCTGCTGGGGTCCTCTTCCACCCTGTGGAAGCTTTGTTCTTTCACTCTTTGCAATAAATCCTGCTGCCGCTCACTCTTTGGGTCCACACTGCCTTTATGAGCTGTAACAGTCGTCGCGAAGGTCTGCAGCTTCACTCCTGAAGCCAGCGAGGCCACAGACCCACCGGGAGGAACGAACAACTCCAGACGCGCCGCCATAAGAGCTGTAACACTCACCACAAAGGTCCGCAGCTTGACTTCTGAGCCAGCGAGAGCACGAACCCACCGGAAAGAAGAAACTCCGAACACATCCGAACATCAGAAGGAACAAACTCCGGACACGCCGCCTTTAAGAACTGTAACACTCACCGCGAGGGTCCACGGCTTCATTCTTGAAGTCATTGAGACCAAGAACCCACCAATTCCGGACACATCCTGAACTCCTGATCCGCCCACTTCAGCCTCCCAAAGTGCTGGGATTACAGGCGGGAGCCACCGCGCCTGGCCACCCTTTTTATATTTTCTCGTCTACAAAAAATGGAATATGAATATCCACTCCTTCAAACTATGAAACTACTACAAGAAAAAATCAGAAAAATTTCCAGGACATTGGTCTGGGCAAAAATTCCTTGAGCAAAAACTCATAAAAGCACAGGCAACCAAAGCAAAAAATGGACAAACGGGATTACATCAAGGTAAAAAGCTTCTGCACAGCAAAGGAAACAATCAACAAAGTGAAGAGACAACCCACAGAATGGGAGAAAATATTTGCAAACTACCCATCCGACAAGGGATTAATAACCCGTATATATAAGAAGCTGAAACAACTCTATAGGAAAAAATCTAATCCAATCAAAAATAGGCAAAATATTTGAACAGACATTTTTCAAAAGAAGACATATAAATGGCAAACAGGAACAGGAAAAGGTGCAACAACACTGATCATCAGAGAAATGCAAATCAAAACTACAAGGAGATATAGCACCCCAGTTAAAATGGCTTATATACAAAAGACAGGCAGTAACAAATGCTGGTGAGGACGTGGAGAAAACGGAGCCCTCATACACTGTGTACAACCACTATGGAGAAAAGTTTGGAGGTTTCTCAAAAAACTAAAAATTGAGCTACCATATGATCCAGCAATCCCAGTGCTGAATATATACCCAAAAGAAAGGAAATCGGAGCCAAGCGTGGTGGCTCACGCCTGTAATCCCAGCACTTTGGGAGGCCGAGGCGGGCAGATCACGAGGTCGGGAGATCGAGACCATCCTGGCTAACACGGTGAAACCCCATCTCTACTAAAAATACAAAAAATTAGCCAGGCGTGGTGGCGGGTGCTGGGACTCCCGAGTAGTCCCAGCTACTCGGGAGGCTGACGCAGGAGAATGGCATGAACCCGGGAGGCGGAGCTTGCAGTGAGCTGAAATCGTGTCACTGTACTCCAGCCTGGGAGACAGAGTGAGACTCCTTCTCAAAAAAAAAAAAAAAAAAAAAAGGAAATCGGTATATCAAAGAGATATGTTTGTTGCAGCACTGTTCACAATAGCCAAGATTTAGAAATAACCTAAGTGTCCATTAACAGATGAATGGATAAAGAAAATGTGGTACTCATATACAATGGAATACTATTCAGCCATAAAAAAAAAATGAGAGCCATTCATTTGCAACAACAAGGATGGAACCAGAGGTCATTATGTTAAGTGAAATAAGCCAGGCACAGAAAGACAAACATTGCATGTTCTCACTTATTTGTGGGATGGAAAAATCAAAACAATTGAACTCATGAACATACAGAGTAGAAGGATGGTTACCAGAGGCTGGGGTTGGGTGGGGAAGTGGGGAGCTGAGGGGAGGTGGAGATGGTTAACGGATACCAAAAAATAGTTAGAAAGAATGAATGTGTGCTACTATTTGATAGCACAACACGACGACTATAGTCAATAATAATTGTACATTTTAAAATAACTTAAAGAGTATAATTGGATTGCTTGTAACTCAAGGGATAAATGCTTGAGAGGATGGATACCCAATTTACTCTGATGTGCTTATTTCACTTCCATGCCTATATCAAAACATCTCTGGTACTCCACAAATACATTCACCTACTATGTACCCACAAAAATTAAAAATTAAAAGAAAAAAAAGAAAATGGTTGGGCACAGTGGCTCACACTTGTAATTCCAGCACTTTGGGAGGCCGAGGTGGGCAGATAACTTTAGCTCAGGTGTTCAAGACCAACCTGGGCAACATGGTGAAACCCTATCTCTACAAAAAATGTAAAAATTAACTGGGTGTGGTCAAGCACTCCTGTAGTTCCAGCTACTTGGGAGGCTAGGGTGGGAGGATCGCTTAAGCCCACGAGGTTGAGGCTGCAGTGAGCCATGATCCCACCACTGCACTCCAGCCTAGGCGACAGAGTGAGATCCTGTCACAAAAAAAAAGAATACCCACTCCACAGAGTTGTTGATAATTATATAAGAAATTATATAATACACAGATAGAAGGTGCTTAATAAATGTTAGCTCCCTTCCTCCCCACCTCTCCTTTTCTGCATCCCTGTCCTATTTCTTTAGAAATGAAATTTAACACTTTATAATACCTTTAATATATGATGATTTTAGTTCACTTTAAAAACTTTTGTATTGAGGTATAATTTACATACAATAAAGTATGTAAAGTATAAAAATGACAATTTTATATATGTGTATACACCTATATAATCACTACTCAGAGCCAAATATAGAACATTTATTTATAGCATCCTCCCAGATATTCCTGCACGCCACATACGACCAATACCCCTCCAAAGGTAACCATTATTCTGCCTTCACCATTATTACTAAAGTATTTTTAAATTATGTCAAAAATAAATGACAGTATATCTATACTAAGGAATAAAAAAGCACTAGTTAAAACAAAGGAAGTAGAGCTATACATGCCAACATGGAAATATCCCAAGATATATTGTTCTGTATTACTAAGGTAATTGAAAATTAATAACAGAAATGCTAATGGAAAGAGGTAGATGGAAAGGAGAACAGAAATATGATGGGTAAAGCTCTTTTAGTCTTTTTGAAATCTTCATTAAGCCTGGCGAGGTGGCTCACACCTGTAATCCCAGCACTTTGGGAGGCCTAGGCTAGCGGATCACTTGAGGTCAGGAGCTGGGGACCAGCCTGGCCAACATAGTGAAACCTTGTCTCTACTAAAAAAAAGAAAAACAAAACAAAAAAAAAAAACAAAAAAAATTAGCTGGGTGTGGTGGTGCATGCCTGTAGTCCCACCTACTTGGGAGGCTGGGGCGGGAGAATTGCTTGAACCCAGGAGGCAGAGGTTGAGTGAGCCAACATCACACCACTGCACTCCAGCCTGGGGGACAGAGTAAGACTCTGTCTTGGCCAGGCAGGGTGGCTCATGCCTGTAATCCCAGCACTTTGTAAGGCTGAGGCAGATCACAAGGTCAGGAGTTCGAGACCAGCCTGACCAACATAGTGAAACCCCATCTCTACTAAAAATACAAAAATTAGCCAGGTGTGGTGGCACGTGCCTGTAGTCCCAGCTACTTGGAAGGCTGAGGCAGGAGAATCGCTTGAACCTGGGAGACAGAGGTTGCAGTGAGCCAAGACCACGCCACTGCACTCCAGCCTGGGTGACAGAGTAAGACTTCGTCTCAAAAAAAAAAAAAAAAAAAAAAAAATCCTTACTAAGCATGCCTTCACTTTGTGGCAGAAGTATCCAAACTGAATTCAGTCACCTAAATTGGAAGCATAGCAGGAATCATTGAGAGACCACATATTTGCAGAAACAAATGTACACCTCTCCCTCTAACTTGGACACCACCACATCCTGAGCTGAAACTCTTCATAATCCTTGCAGGGCCACACCTTTTCTATCGCCAGCCAAAGGGCCAAAATGAAAGACAGAGAGGCCTGCGGGTTCAGATCACTGCAGCCTTGCTGTGCAATAATATAGATGCCAGCACTGGGGTTTATCCGACTCTTCCCAAAAGTCACAACCAAATATAGTTTCTCCTGAGATGTAGTGAATAAGCCTGGCCTAAAAGATTGTGGTGGTCAAAATCAACCTAATAGGGCAAGGCCTTACCTAGAAAGTTCTGAACCGATCTAATTTGCATCTAAACCTTCAAACTAACTTTTTGTTAATATCTGGATTTAAATAGTAAACAACTAAATGAGTTCAAATGAAGAGGAAACAACAGGTTTATTTTTCAAACTTATGCAAACGGTTTCTGAAACCACCTTCACACTCCCTTTGCAAGTCAGTGTGAATGAATGGGTGGGCACACAGTAGTTGCACTTTAATCCATTTTCTTTTTCAATTGCCAGCACGAGGCTTGAGAGCTTCCTTGTTAACAATTCTCACAGGCCAAACCCTTCTCCAGTGCAATGTAAGCTTCTTTCCTCTTGTCCTGTTGTTTGTGGAGATGAGAAACAACCAATGTTTTTCTGTTAATGACCCTTCAAATCAGTTGGACCTTTCTTCTCTAAGTTAACTAACCCTACAGCTTTCTGGCCTTTCCTCATAGCCTTTATTTTCCAAGCCTTAATTACATTTTTGCTCTTCTCTGGAGCTCTGCCAGTTCCCCACAACCTCCTTAAAGGGGAGACACAAAGTAGCCACAGTTGAGGTCAGACCAGTGCTGGGAAAAGCTGAGAAGCCACTTCCTGCCCTTTGACTTTTATGCATCCCACTATCTTACTGACTTTATAAATAAACAGCACTCATTGAACTAATTCTAGCAGGGCTGTCATTCAAGCTGAAGCCCACCTTTCCCATCTTGCATCTCAGCATTTTGATTTCGTCCCGTAAACTTTTTGTGCTTACCCCTTTTGAGCTTTTCTAATTCAAAATGTCTCACCCAATGAATTGTCTGAGCCACTTTACATGCGATCCCTCCTTTCTCTACTTCCTCACAAAAACTTTTGTAAATTCAGGAAGTGCCTTTCCAGAAGCCAAGCCAGTGATCAAAATCTACTAAGGTTTCCTCTCTCCCCGACACCATCCCCAAGGCAAGTACTGCTGACACTGTGGTAATAAAAACTACCGTTTATTATGCCAGGAAGTGTGGCATACATTATTTCATTCATTCCTCACAACAACCAACCTTATTACTCCTATTTTATTGAACAATTTGAGGTTAGCTAGATTAGGTAATTTGCTGTAGCCACAGAGCAAGCAAGTGCTGGATTCAAATATGAGCCTCTCTGCCCCTGAACTCACTGTGCCACAATGTTGCAAAATCAGTGCTCACTGGCATTTGGATGTCATCCACCAGGCAAATGTGACTCCACTTGTAAAGTCTATGCTCTCTCTTTTGGAGCTGGGACATCTTTCTCCTGCCCTTGAGTGTCAAAACTCCAGGTTCTCTGGGCTTTTGGACTCTAGGACTTGCACCAGCCACCTCCTAGGCACTTGGGCCTTCAACCTCAGACTGAGTTATATATAATCCAAGGCCTTCAGACTTGGATTAAGTCATGCTATTGGCTTCCCTGGTTCTCCAGCTTGCAAATGGTCTATCATTGGACTTGTAATGGAGCCAAGTTCCCCTAATAAATCCCTTATCCTATCTCTCTCTTTCTCTTTCTCTTTCTCTCTGTCTATATATATACAAATTATATATACTATATAACTGATTATATATAATATCTAAAAATCATATATATTATAATATTTTATAGAAATTATATTTTAATATATAATTATATAATTTTTATATTTATATATAATCAGTTATGTATAAAATATATAATATATAAATATAGGCCAGACGCGGTGGCTCACAACTGTAATCCCAGAACTTTAAGAGGCCGAGGCGGGTGGATCACGAGGTCAGGAGTTTGAGACCAGCCTGGCCGACATGGTGAAACCCTGTCTCTACTAAAAATACAAAAATTAGCCAAGCGTGGTGGCATGCGTCTGTGGTCCCAGCTACTCGGAAGGCTGAGGCAGGAGAAGTGCTGAACCTAGGAGACGGAGGTTGCAGTGAGCTGAGATCAGGCCACTGCACTCCAGCCTGTGCAACAGAGCAAGACTCCATCTCAAATAAATAAATAAATAAATAAAATATATTTATAATATACTTATAATACTTATAAACACTCATAAATATACTTATAAGTATATATTTATAATATAATATAGCATTTTATGTCTGCTTCCTGTGGGACGCAGTGGTAACCATTTGGTTGGGAACGTGAGTGATTTTTTGCCTTGTTTCTCTTGCTTCTTTTCTCCTCCCTTTTATTTTGTTGGTAGAGCGCAGTTATGGGGCAAGAAGAAGAAGCAGCGGAAGCCGTGGTGCTGGTATTGTAATAGAGATTTTGGTGATGAGAAGATCCTTATACAGCACCAAAAAGCAAAGCATTTTAAATGTCATATATGTCACAAGAAATTGTATCCAGGACCTGGCTTAGCCATTCATTGCATGCAGGTGCATAAAGAAATAATAGATGCTGTACCAAATGCAATACCTGGGATAACAGACATAGAATTGGAAATATATGGTATGGAAGGTATTCCAGAAAAAGACATGGATGAAGGACGACAAGTTCTTGAACAGAAAACACAAGAAAGTCAAAAAAAGAAGGAACAAGATGATTCTGATGAATACGATGACGACGACTCTGCAGGCTCAACTTCATTTCACCCACAACCTGTTCAACTTCAACAAGGTTATATTCCTCCAGTGGCACAGCCAGGACTGCCGCCAGTACCAGGAGCACCAGGAATGCCTCTAGGCATAGCTCCATTAATGCCAGGTGTTCCTCCTCTGATGCCAGGAATGCCACCAGTTATGCCAGCCATGCCACCTGGATTGCATCATCAAAGAAAATGCACCCAGTCATTTTTCGGTGAAAACATAATGATGCCAATGGGTGGAATATACCACCTGGACCAGGAATACACCACCTGGACCAGGAATACACCACCTGGACCAGGAATACCACCTCTGATGCCTGGAATGTCACCAGGTATCCCCTCCACTCCCCGACCCCCATTCCACATCCTAGAATCCTCCAGTGACCCAAACACAGGCTGTTTCAGCACCAGGTATTCTTAACAGACCACCTGCACCAACAGCAACTGTACCTGCTCCACAGCCTCCAGTTACGAAGCCTCTTTTCTCCAGTGCTGGACAGGCTCAGGCAGCTGTCCAAGGACCTGTTGGTACAGATTTCAAACCCTTAAATAGTACCCCTGAAGCAACTACAGCATCCCCAAAGCCTATGTTCTCTGCTTATACACAGTCTGCAGATTCAACCACTAGTACAACAAATAGTACTGCAGCTAAACCAGCAGCTTCAATAACAAGTAAGCCTGCTACACTTGTAACAACCAATGCAACCAGTAAGTTGATCCATCCAGATGAGGGTATATATCTGGAAGACAGAAGGGCACGGTTACCTAGAGATCAACATAATCTTCCTCTGCAAGGAGAGGCCCCCATTGGTAATCCACCAGTTGAACCAATTGGAAGTATGACGCCACCATAGCCAGGCATCCCACAGCAACAAGGAGTGAGACCCCCCAGTGCCGCCTCATGGTCAGTATGGTGGTCATCATCAAGCCATGCCAGCATACCTTCCTGGTGCTATCCCCCCATATGGGCAGGGACCGCCAACAGTGCCCCCTTACCAGAGTGGGCCTCCTCGACCTCCAATGGGAATGAGACCTCCTGTAATGCTGCAAGGTGGCCAGTACTGATCTTACCTCATCCAGTCTAATAGGTTTGGAGATTAAACCTTTTCTCAACTTGTGCTGTTTATTTATTTATTTATTATTATTATTATTTTTTTTTTTTTTTTTTTTTTTTTTGAGATGGAGTCTCGCTCTGTCGCCCAGGCTGGAGTGCAGTGGCGCGATCTTGGCTCACTGCAAGCTCCGCCTCCCAAGTTCACGCCATTCTCCTGCCTCAGCCTCCAGAGTAGCTGGGACCACAGGCGCCCGCCACCACACCCAGCTAATTTTTTGTATATTTAGTAGACATGGGGTTTCACCGTGTTAGCCAGGATGGTCTTGATCTCCTGACCTCGTGATCTGCCCGCCTCGGCCTCCCAAAGTGCTGGGATTACAGGCGTGAGCCACCGCGCCCGGCCTAACTTGTGCTGTTTATATATCCAAGCTTCCATCAATAAGGCTTCATTGTGACTTTAACAAATATTATCTTCCCACATACCAGGAACTATTGGACGTTGATTTTACATGGGAAAAATTATGTGGAATAATAAAGCAGGAGCTTTTCCTGAAGTTGCAATTTATACTGTGTGGCTTCGTTTTCATGTTTCATCTAGGTTTGTAGAAGTGAAGTATAGTAAATTTGGTTCATTAAATTGTGAAGGTGCTGGAATAACATGAACATATCACTTTAATAAAGGCAAGTTCTGTAACCTTACATTGCTCTTTTGTAAAGTTATGCCTTCACAGCATTTCAGATGCTGTTGGACTTCAAGTCCCCAATCTAGCTTGGTGAGGGGTGTAACTGTTTCCAAGTACTTGTACATTGGAAGTCTGAATGTGTAACAATATTTACTGTATTTAGAGTTCCTCATGTTGCAGGTTTTAAGAAATCTGACCCACCAATGTCATGTGACTTTTCTGTACCGGTAAACTTCATTGCAATAAAATGAGAGAAAAATGTATGCCTTTTTATTCATAACCCAGCTGTGGACCACGGCCTGAAAGGTTTGTACAGATGCATGCCACAGTAGATGTCCACATAATAAAATTCATAGTTACCAATGCAAAATATATATATATAATACAAATATGTTATATATAATAATATATAGAGGCATTATATATAATTAAAGACATTTTATAATCATATATATATATATATATATATATATATATATATATACACATATACATGCATACATACATACACACACACACACACACGTATAATTGATTCTGTCTCTCTGGAGAACCCTGACTAAAACAGATTCTGGTTTAACCCTAAAATGAACAACAATCATGCATTCCTAACAAACACAAGAAAAAGAAAAAGAAAAGAGTGAAAGTAAAAGAGAGGGAGAAGAGAAGGCAAGACAGACAGGAAAGGAATGGTTGAAAGTCATCAAAATCTGTTTCAGGTGACCCTCTCTGTAAGGCTGTCCAGAACGCTCTTCTTCTTGATCATAGAAGTAATAATATGGGACAGAAATAAATTGTTTATGGTCCTGACAGAGTGTAGACAGAATGCATCTCTAGATTCTCCTGGACACAGACAAAGAGTTACCCAACAGTGGACAAGAGTAACACGGCCAGATAAAAGATTCCCTAATGAGACATATTTGTTTAATCAGTTGCTTCAACAGTTTTTTTGCTTTTGTTTTTGTTTTTTTGAGACCGAGTCTTGCTCTGTCACCCAGGCTGGAGTGCAGTGGCGTGATCTTGGTTTACTGCAACCTCCGCCTCCCCGGTTCAAACGATTCTGCTACCTCAGCCTCCTGAGTAGCTGGGATTACAAGCACCTGCCACCAAATCCAGCTAATTTTTGTATTTTTTTAATAGATATGGGGTTTCACCCTGTTGACCAGGCTGGTATCCAACTCCTGACCTCAGGTGATCCACCTGCCTCGGCCTCCCAAAGTTCTGGGATTACAGGCATGAGCCAACACGCCCAGCTGTTTCAACCATTATTTATCATATAAAGTCTGTTACAAGTTTATCAAAAAATGAATGTTATGAAAATGAAATAGAAATGTTGGGGAGGAGGGAACTGGAAAGTAATTTGTCCACATGTTAATAGAGAGCTGTGTGTGTGTAAGCTCCTCAGGATGAGAGCTGAGCACAGTACTGCAGCTGGAGGTATCATGGGGATGGGAAGGTGGTGAGGGGCTCTTTCATACATTATCATTGAGTCTTTTATTACAAGATGTTTGTATACAACATGGGTCTAAAATTTTTAAGAAACAGATTGTTTTTAAGATTTCATCAGCCCAAAAACCATTTTAATGAATTTTATTGTTTAAATGGAAAAAAAGCCCTCAATTCTGAAGGTAAAAAATTAAGGAAAATACAGTAAAATAACATAAAGTAAAATTTAATAAGAAATGTGGATTTGGGGAAGGTTGACTTTTAAAAATTGATTCTCTGAAATCAATTTTTAAAACTCCTAAGAAGAAACAGAATTCTTAGTTCTCAATCAATATCAGTTCTACAAACTCAGTATTATTAGAAGAGTGACCTAAATGTTAAACTTTTCCTCAAGGATTTGATGAACTTTCTCTACTGTTAAAAAAAAAAAAAGTCCTACTTTTTAATACCAATTCTGACTAAAATGAGACCCATACTAAATCAAACAGGGATTACTTAAAATTTTTTAAACTAGTTTCATGAGTTTAATATCCTTGATGTTGGCCAGGCATGGTGGCTCATGCCTGTAATCCCAGCACTTTAGGAGGCTGAGGCAGGTGGATCACTTGAGGTCAGGAGTTAGAGACCAGCCTGGCCAATAATGGTGAAACCCCATCTCTACTAAAAATACAAAAATCAGCCAGCCATTGTGGCACACGCCTGTAATCCCAGCTGCTCAGGAGGCTGAGGCAGGAGAATCACTTGAACCCGGGAGGTGGAGGTTGTAGTGAGCTGAGATCGCACCATTGCACTCCAGCCTGGGCGTTGCAGTGAGACTCCGTCTAAAAAAAAAAATCATCCTTGACATTACAGATCTCAGTAACATACTTTTATAGAAAATTGACAAGTCTACCAATGCGTATTTAAATGTTGACAACTAGAGAACTGCATGTGCACCCACTCTGATTTAGATGTTTATCTTATGAAATAAAGACATTTGTTTAACTTTCCAAACAAAATTATTTCATGATTTCTCAATAGTCCTTCTAAGGTTGCTTGCCTCTGTAATCTGCTTACTTGCAAAAATAAATCCATTTCAATCACTGCCTGGCCGAAGTTTAAACTTAAAAAAAGACTCAACAATTAATCAATAGGTTGATGTGCTGATGCAGTAGAATGTAGCTAGGCCTGACCTCTGACTAGTGCAGAGGTCATCCTGCTAAAACAGTAAACAAAGTATTGTTGATATAACTCAGCACAGAGAATGCAACCTAGCAATAAAACCTCACCACATGGATTTAGTTATGTGCACAACCTCAATAAATGTTTTGCTGAAATTGGTGTCAAATCAAATACGTGTGTGTTAAGCTCCTCCATTGTATGAGATGACGACAATAATTTATAAATAGTTTAGGTCTACAATTAAAGTATTCTCTGTTTTCCTACAATAGAATTCCTCTAACACTGCAGCATTATTAGGAAGTATAAAAAGAGTAAACATATTTTAGAGTCCTAGCCAAAATTAATGTTCTCTAAGTTCATAGCTATCTTTATACAGGAAAATGTCATAATTATAAAAATAAATTATTCCATGCAACCTGTATGGAATTACCTTAATTTAAACATAATTTAATTAGGTCACCTTCTGGTTGACTCTATGTCAGGCTTTTAATTTGTGAGAACAAATGTTTTTTAAAAAATTTCAATGTCAGGCCGGGTATGGTGGCTCACACCTGTAATCCCAGCACTTTGGGAGGCCAAGGGGGGCAGATCACTTGAGGTCAGGGGTTTGGGACCAGCCTGGCCAACATGGTGAAACCTCATCTTTACTCAAAAATACAAAAATTAGCCGGGTGTGGTGGCTCATGGCTGTAGTCACAGCTACTTGGGAGGCTGAGTCACGAGCATCGCTTGAAGCTGGGAGGCGGAGGTTACAGTGAGCCAAGATCACACCACTGCACTCCAGCCTGGGTGACAGAGCAAGACTCTGTCTCAAAATAAATAAAATAAAATAAAATAAATCAATGGTAAACATCTTGGTTTTATTCTTATAAGATTGTATATGCCTGGATGATCTACAGGCTCAAAATGTTTGGGAACTTTCACGGTAGCTTTGAAAAAAACATGTAGTCAGTTTGAGTTCACAATAAATCCTCTCCATCCAATGGTGACAAAAGGATGCCAGTAAAACACTGAACAATTTAAAATTACATGAGCTCCAACTCTCCCATTTGGGAAGTAAATGCATCCTAAAACCACTGAACCAAGGCCAGTGAGGCCAGGCGGGTAACATCATTAATGTCCAATGGCAAGCAACAGGGCAGAAAGACCTGAATTTCCTTCCTTCTTCTACTAGAATGTGGTGAGCAGTCATGAGGGATATTTGCACAGTATTTATGTCTCATCTTTTCCCCTTCTTTGCTCACAAGTTTCCTTTGAAATAGATGCAAGCCTTGGCAAGTGTTTTGAGTTTCTTGAAGTTAACACCTTGGCGAGGATGCTATTTGAGGAAGAGGTCTGTCAACAAACAAAATAGACAATGAGGCAGGGTGATAACAGTCCCAGGCTGGGTCCCAGCCTTACCACAATGGCAGGGGAGGGCCAGGGTCTGAGACGCTTGGCTACAAGTAGCTAAAAGGCATTGTAGAGCTTGGTTGAAGGCAAAGGCCCTAAAGGCAGACTACCTGGGTTTGAATTCCAGCTCTGATACTTCTTAGCCAGTTAATAGTGAGCAAGTGTTTTCACAGCTCTAAGCCTCAGTTTCCTTATATGAAAAAGAGTGATTTTACTATCATCCACCTCTGCATGTTGTTGAAAATATTAACTAGTGCATATAAAGCACTCACAACAATATGGACAGCATGCAGTTAATGTTAGCTATTCTTCGCTGTAACTCAGTATCCTATTGTCACTGTAAGTCTTTAGATGATTTTATGCTTGAATTTATTATTATTATTGATTTCCAAGCCTCTAGTCTGTCCCCCTTCTGAACCATCTTGCAGATGTCTGCCTGGTTAAGCCTTCCAAAAGCCTCTTCCATCATTTCACTTCCCTGCTCAAAAACTTTCAATGGCTCCCTACCTCCAGGAAAATGTCTGAACTCCTCAGTCTAGCTTGCAAAACTCCCTATAGTCTATCTCCAACCCACTTTTCTAACCCTTTACTCCAGCTAGTCTGATAGCCCTCTTCTTTGTATCATCCAGCTGATACATATTTCTATTTCACTTTTTATATACACAGTACTAGATATACCATAAGTGGTTGGTAACTGTTTGCTGGTGTCATTTTTGCTGTGGCAGCCTGGAGCATGGATATTTATGTCTAACTGTAGCAGAAGATCCTGAAGGCTGTGGTCTAGCCAGAGGAAAGGTTTGCACAGATGTGCTTAGGAATATATGCTATGTATTAAAGCTATTTTTTAGTAATATCCTTATTGAGGAGTTTAGAGAGAAATTCTCAGAAATTCTCAGATAAGGGGTCTAAAAATAAGGCTCTAGAGCCTTAGAGGATTTTAAAAGCCATAGTTCTATCCTTGTCTAAATATTACTATCCCTACTGTAAATCATACCCATTCAAACTTCTCCCCATAGGAGCACCCACCTTAAGAGGAATTTATTTTTATTTATTTATACAAAGCAACACAGTAATCTCTCTTTCTCATCAACAAAAACTTCCGGCCTTATTCACAAAACTGACTTAAAAGTCACTGTAATGATGGCTTGCTTCCTTTATGGTGCCACTGGGATTTTGGAAGTACATAGCAGAGCCCAGTACGCCTGGGATTAAGGAGTGGTCCAGAGTGGTGTGCTGATAACCCCTAAGATTGGAGTGGGGGCGATGGAGGGGGACCCTGAGTATTTACTGCTAGCTATTCATTGAGAAAGTGAAGGGCAACCCTCACCTAGCAATTTCCAAGATGAACATCTTCCTTCCAAGGACACTTCATTTAATGGCACTAGAAAAGTTATAGGAAAAATGTTTTTACCTAATTTTAGAACATGCAGAAGATTTGGACAATCGTTTCCTCTCCTATAAAGGAGTTTTGCAAGCCACTTTTAACAAATTAAGTGGAGCCCAAAAATTCAGACCTTCAATTATGAGCTGTCACTAGATAGCAGGCACAAATTGGTAGCCCTTAAAGCAAAATACAGCTCACGGATGCGTTTTGTCTGGTCAGCACAGTGTCTTTACTTTTCAAAAATTTATTTAATTAAAATGTCTTTACACTGGAGTGATCCTCCCACCTCAGCCTCCCAAGTAGCTGGATCTACAGGTGCACACCACCACACACGGCTCATTTGCCTCATTTTTGTATTTTTTGTAGAGATGGGGTTCACTATATTACCTAGGCTAATCTCCTAATCCTGGGCCCAAGGGATCTGCCCACCTCGGCCTCCCAAAGTGCTGGAATTACAAGCATGAGCCACTGTGCCCAGGCTTCACAATATCTTAATTAAGGATAAAAAAATTATCTTCACTAAAATGAGGTTGGCCTTGCACTTTGGGAGGCTAGGGCAGGAGGATCATTTGAGGCCAGGATTTCGAGGCTGCAGTGAGCTAGGAGCACAACCCAGTACTCCAGCCTGGGTGACAGAGCAAGATCTTGTCTCTAAATAAATAAATAAAAGGAGGTGGGGAGGGTGGTAAGCTGGAATCTTAGTTGTTCATAACTTTAAGCCTGTCCGGAGACTTCTCCACAACCTTCAAGTACCACCTGCCTTGTCCAGCTCACCAAGAAAGTAAAGTGGCCTTTGTTGCTTTGGGTTTCACCAGAACATTTCATATTAAGTAAAATGCATGGGATTCCATTTCTTGGCCATGATAAGGGATAAAGGACAGAGTTAGACTTTGACATAAACAGGACTCACCCAGTAAGCAGCCAGTAGGAATGTTGGCAAAGTGTAATTAGCCAGCTGGTCTGTTTAAATCCACCCTCTTCTCTAAATGCCAAGTGTTGAAGAATTAAATATTTTAGCATGCCAGGCATAGTTCAAAACCGGATTTTTAAAATCCATTTTCATGTTGCCTCCTTTCTCTTTAGCCAGTTTTATGTACAAACTAGGGGTCAAGTAAGTTAATACTTCCAACAAAAGGGCACTGAAACTTTTGGTCAGAGCCAGTTGTGAAGTCAGTATAAACTTTTCCTGAACTCTTGCTCAAGAAGAAAACTTCTTGAGTCTTAATTATCTTTGAGGCTGGAATGCTCAGAGCCCATCTCACAATCTAGTCCAGCCCCTTCAGTAGGACACATATTTTTCCTTCTTGCCTGGGTTACAAAAGATATGCTGGTTATCAAAACAGACCCAAGGCATGCATGAAGCAACTGAAAACTATGGTTGCTTGATAAAGCCCAGTTCTCATCTTTTTTGCCTTTGCAAATTCCAATCTCCTGTTCTGGAGTCTGGGAGGTAAACAGTCTTCCCTGGAATTTTCATACATCCACATCCTGGGTCTCCTGCTTTGATTGGTTCAGCCTTCTCACGTGTTGTCTCCTCCTTATCTTTCTCCTTGGCTTGTTAATATGTTTACTTCAACTAAACTAAACTCAAATGTCATGGTCCTAATCAAAGCAAGAGCATTTCAACTCATTAATTTTTCCATTTGCCTTCTGATATTCAGTCTAAAATTTGCATAAGCTTAGATATTCTCGGACAAGTAACTTAGAGTAAGGGATTGCAACTATAAGGGCTTAAGTGTCTTACCACAGAAATGTTAAGGTTCTGTCCTGCCTCCCTCTCAGATTAAGCAGTGGCCAGTTCCTTTGAGATTTTAGGAAAAATTGCTCTCACAAAGGAATAGCTTATAGGAACTATTCCACCTTAGGGCATTTATTTACTGAGATATTTCCCATTTTGATGTTATTAATTACTCTTTCCAATGAGTAATAAATATTTTTTTAAATTCTGTTTTCAAAGAAAAACAACAGCATGCCTTTTGCTCTTCAAATCTCAGAGTAGTATGTTGAATATGAATATAAAATTTACCATATGGCCATATATTAGAACTTAATCTCGTTGTTGTTGTTGTTGTTGTTGTTGTTGTTGTTGTTGTTGTTGTTGTTTTGAGACAGTCTTGCCTGTCTGGAGTGCAGTGGCACGGTCTCGGCTCACTGCAACCTCCACCTTCTGGGTTCAAGCAATTCTTGTGCCTCAGCCTCCTGAGTAGCTGGGACTACAGGCATGCACAACCACGTCTGGGTAATTTTTTGTATTTTTAGTAGGGACAGGGTTTTGCTGTGTTGGCCAGGCTGGTCTTGAACTCCTTGCCTCAAGTGATCCGCCCACCTTGGCCCCTCAAAGTTCTGGGACTACAGGTGTGCGCCACAGCGCCCAACCTAGAGTTTAATCTCTGCCAAATATGCTACCAATTCTTAGAGGCTCTATTTGTCAGAAAGTAAAATGCACAATTAGAACAACTGTAGAATATAGAGTTCAATGTGTTTCCCTCACATCCTGTTATAGTACATAGAGCCAACACATTTGTTTTTCTTTTATGGTTCCTAGGAGAAAAATCCTCTGCTTTTTCCTTACACGCCTCATTTGGTGCCAAATCCCTGATGTATATGTATCTAGGGTCAGATGCTAAGCAAATATCATGGGCCAAAGACCAACACACATGTGCAGTGGTTAAACAGCCTAGGAAAAGTCTTTGGGTGGACTTCAGCAAACTGTTCTTTTCCTCCATTAAACCCAAATTCCAATCTCCCCACTCTTGGCAACATTGCCCAATTTCTGAAATTTCATTTCTTCCTTCCTTGTTTTTAGTATCCACTTGCTTGGCTCTCCAAATTCCCGCTCAGCTGCGCCTTATGGATTTCATATTGAACCAGTCTTCTGCTCCTGGTTACCCAGGACTGTGTCTCAGGTGCCCAGTCTGCCCAGTATGTGATAATGCTCTGTGAGAAAGGCAGTTTATGAGATTGTTTATAGAGTACAAACAAACAAACAAAAGTAAAACTATGCATGAAAAATAACCTAGTAGAAAATCCATCAAAATATTAATATAGTGATAGCCTCTAGAGGGTGAGACTAAGAGTATCTTTTTAGTCATCTTTCTACTTTTCCATTTTTCAAAATTATCTGTGCATCACTTTTTCTTTTTCTTTTCTTTTTTTTTTTTTTTGAGACAGAGTTTCACTCTGTCGCCCAGGCTGTAATGCTGGAATGCAATGGCACAATCTTGGCTCACTGCAACCTCCGCCTCCCAAGTTCAAGTGATTCTCCTGCTTCAGCCTCCCTAGTAGCTGGGACTACAGGCACACGCCACCACACCCAGATAATTTTTGTATTTTTAGTAGAGACAGGGTTTCACCCTGTTGGTCAGGCTGGTCTCGAACTCCTGACCTCAGGTCATCCACCCACCTCGGCCTCCCAAAGTGCTAGGATTACAGGCATGAGCCACCGTGCCCTGCCCACTTTTTCTCTTAGTAGTTTTCCTGTTTTATATATATTACTCTTTTCGTGTGAAGGACTCAAGAAACTCTTTGAAAAAGCTCACACCCAACTTTCTCAAAATTAATCTGATTCAAAGCACTTTGTGTTTCAAAGGGCAATGATATCTACAAAGAAAAATGTTATTGCATTAACACTTCCAAATATATGAACTCTAGATACAAAGGGCAAAAAGATAAACAGATTCTCCCCCAAAAAAATCAAGCCTCTGGAGAAATGATCTTATACTCGCTGCAGAGTCCATATATTATACTGGGTACATCAGCTGGTTATTACCACTTCACTGAGTATCTGTACTCTACTATATACTATCTAGCTAGCTATAGCTATAGTTTCTGTTGTGAGTTAAATAAAAATACATTCAAGTCCTAATCCCAGTATCTGTAAATGTGACATTTTTGGTAATAGGGTCTTTGTGAATGTAACTGAGTTAAGGTCAAACTGGATTAGGGTGGGCCCTAAACCCAGTGTAACTGATGTCCTTATAAAAAGGGGAACAGGCCAGGCGCAGTGGCTCACGCCTGTAATCCCAGCACTTTGGGAGGCCGAGGCGGGCAGATCACGAGGTCAGGAGTTTGACACCAGCCTGACCAACATGGTGAAACCCCATCTCTACTAAAAATACAAAAATTAGCCGGGCATGGCGGCACATGCCTGTAATCCCAGCTACTCGGGAGGCTGAGGCACAAGAATCGCTTGAACCCTGGATGCGGAGGTTGCAGTGAGCCAAGATGGTGCCACTGCACTCCAGCCTGGGCAACAGAGCAAGACTGTCTCAAAAAAAAATAAGGAACACTTGGACACAGGGACCCAGAGACACAGAGGAGACACCATGTGAAGATGCAAGAAGAGGTTGGATGATACCGCTGAAAGTCAAGGAGCATGTGGGATTGCACCCAGAAGCTGAGAGAAGCATGGAACAGCCCTGCCCCCATCAGAGCCCTCCAGCAGGAACCAACCTTGCCAACACCTCGATTTAAGACTCCTAGCTTCCATAATTGTGAGAGAATACATTTTTCTTAAGTCACCCAGTTTGCAGTACTTTGTTATGGCAGCCTTAGAAAACGAATACAATTTCTCTCACACTTTGGGAGAATTACTCAGCTCATTTAACAAACATTTATTCAGCACCCACAATCTGCCAGTTCTGCTAGGTGCTGTGAAGAGCACCGTAAATAAAACACTGTTGCTGCCACTCTGAGACTCTTACAGCCTCGTGGTGAGATTATGTCATATGATAAGGCCAGGGAAGGAGGCCTGCACCGGGTACTGAGGAAACAAGGGCATTTATTCCAGCTCAGGGTAAAGGAAAGACATCATAGAAGAGATAATATCTGAGAAGAGTCTTTTTTTTTTTTTCTTGAGACGGAGTTTCGCTCTTGTTGCCCAGGCTAGAGTGCAGTGGCGCTATCTCAGCTCACTGCAACCTCTGCCTCCCGGGTTCAAGCAATTCTCCTGCCTCAGCCTCCTGAGTAGCTGGGATTACAGGCATGCACAACCACGCCTGGCTAATTTTGTATTTTTAGTAGAGACGGGGTTTCTCCTGGTTGGTCAGGCTGGTCTCGAAGGCCCACCTTGGCCTCCCAAAGTGCTGGGATTACAGGCATAAGACACTGCGCCCAGCTCTTGAGAAGAATCTTAAAGGATTTACTCCATAAAGGAAATCCGCAGGCTAGTATGAGACAGCTCCTCCTCTGCCACACTCATCACTAAAGCAGCCTCTTCCTGCAGTGAGAGGGTTTAAATGACATCATTAAAGCCATGTTGCACCATATTATGACTGTCTAGTGCTTTTCCACAGCCTGAAGTTTCTTGCCAGTTGGATCTTATGGGAAAAGAAAAAAAATAAGATCATTTCTCCTGAGGCTTGATTTTTGGGGGGAGAATCTGTTTATTTTTTGCCTTTTGTATCTAGAGTTCATATAATCAGAAATGTTAATGCAATACCCTTTCTTTGTAGATATCATTGCCCTTTGAAACACAAAAGGCTTTGAATTCAGATTATTTGTAAAAAGTAAGGTGTGAGCTTTTACAGAAAGGAGAATTTCTTGGGTCCTTCCCGTGACAAAAGTAATGTATATAAAACAGGAAAACAACTACAAGAAAATGTGATGCACAGATAATTTGAAAAATAGAAAAGTAGAAAGATGATTTAAAAATACTCTTAGTTGGCCGGGCGTGGTGTCTCACGCCTGTAATCCCAACACTTTGGGAGGCCGAGGCGGGCGGATCACGAGGTCAGGAGATCGAGACCACGGTGAAACCCCATCTCTACTAAAAATACAAAAATAAGCCGGGCTTGGTGGTGGACGCCTGTAGTCCCAGCTACTGGGGAGGCTGAGGCAGGAGAATGGCGTGAACCCGGGAGGCGGAGCTTGCAGTGAGCCGAGATCGTGCCACTGCACTCCAGCCCGGGTGACAGAGCAAGACTCCGTCCCAAAAAAAAAGAAAAAATACTCTTAGTCTCACTCTCTAGAGGCTATCACTATATTAATATTTTGGTGGATTTTCTACTAGATTGTTTTTCATGCATAGTTTTTATTTGGTCTCTTGGTAGTCTATAAACAATCTTGTATCCTGCCTTTTTAACACAGCATTATAGCATAAACATTTTCCTAGGCCTTTAGAAACTCTCTATAAACATAATTGTATTGGCTATAAAACATTTGGTCGCATAGATGCCCATAGTTTATTTAACCAAGTCTTGTGTTGGCCATTTAGATTAGCTCATAACTTTTAAAATAGCCTTCAGATAAACGTAATGAGTTTTTAATTGGAGATTTTAAGTAATTTCATCATAGACTGACAGTTGCCTCATGATACGAGGACCGTTTTATCATCAGGAAGTTGACTTTAAAACAAACTAGAAAGACAAAGACTTTGACAATGTCAGCAGGTCCTCTCTCCCCCCACCGCCAATGCCCCCAAAGATTTTCCCTCTGTTGGCCTGTGGCTCTCTATTGCTGGACCCACTTATCTTCCCACCTCATACCCTACTTACCCCAGTTTCTTGGTCAAGCTGAGCATGAAGCAACAGGCTCTGGAGCCTCAGCATCCCCTCCTCAGGCTGAGAATTGGCCATGTCTCCTTCTTGTCCTGGCCCATGGCAAGCACTTCAGAGCTGGTCCAGGCTCCTGCTTTGCTCCCCAAGTCACTCCCCTCTGGGGTTCATTTGAGTTTTTCTTGCTGCTAGTGTAGTTCGAGATCCTGGAAAAGCCCACATTCTACCTAAGTCATCATTCCCACCCCAAGATATTCTCTAATAAAGAAACTTTGTCATCCAAATGTCCTGGCCTGTACAGACACACACCCCCACCCCCACACACACATTCATCCACCTGGGCTTCTGTATCAGTTCCTATTTTTTCCATTTCTATTATAGTAACTGTCTTAGTCCATTTGTGCTGCTATAACAAAATACCTTAGATTGAGTAATTTATAAACAACAGAAATTTTTTTCTCACAGTTCTGCTGGCTGGGAAGTCCAAAATCAAGGTGTTGGCAGATTCGGTGTCTGCTGAGGGCTCTGTCTCTGCTTCCAAGATTGTACCTTACTGCTATGTCCTTATACGGTAGAAAGGGACAAAAAGGGATGAACACTGTATCCTCACATGACAGAAGAGATTGAAGGACCAGGCAACTCTGGAGCCTTCTTTTATAAGGATATTAATCCCATCCCTGAGGGTGGAGCCCTTCTGGCCTAACTACCTCCTAAAGGCCCTACCTCTTAATACTATTACTTTGGGGTTTAAGTTCTAACATAAGAATTTTGGAGAGACACATACATTCAGACTGTAGCAGTAACCTGTCTGCTACCATGATCCCCGATATCCTAGCCCTTGCCCTGAACCTCACCTGATATCTGATACCCAGACACCCTTACCTGTGCTTATTTATCTAGGCTCTTGAGAGTCACCTACCTGTGGGGATGCCCAGCTACTGCTTGAATCACTAAGGCTAGATATTGCCCTTAGGTAAAACATTCTGCTCTCTCAGCTCAAACTTCTCTATTGGATAGGCCCATCTGCCCTTATATCTTCAACATGCCTCAACACCCATCTCACCGCCACAGTGAGCAAGGCTAGCAGCAGTTCCAGGCCCATGCCTGCCATTCTGAAGGGCTATGAATGAACAAGATATCACAACAACCGCTTTTAAAAGTACTTGGATATCAGTCCTAAATATAGGTGTATGAAATCTGAAAACTCACCTTTTTTTTTTTCATTGCCCATTTGGCAGCAAAACCTGACTATATTTGTTTCCTGTGGCTGCCATAACAAATTACCACTAACTTCATAGCTTAAAATGATAGAAGTATGTTCTCTTATAGTTCTGGAGACCAGAAGTCCAAAATCAATTTCACTGAGTCAAAATCAATGGGTTGGCAGGGCCACACCCACACCTGAGGCCCCAGGGGGTGGGGGAATCTGGTCCTTACCACTTCCAGCTTCTGGTAGCTGCCAGCATTCCTTGACTTGTGGCCATGTCACTCCAATCTGTCTGCCTCCAAAGTAACATCATTTTTTCTCTTCCATGTGTATCAAACCTCCCTCTGCCTTTCTCTTACAAGGTTATGTGTGAGGACCTTTAGGGCCTACTCAGACAATTTGGGATAATCTCACACGTCAAACTCCTTAGCTCAATCACATATGCAAAGACTATTTTTCCTAATTAGGTAACATTTACAGGTTCCAGGGATTAAGACTTGAGATCTATAGGTGCCCATTATTTAGCCTACATGAATAAGGCTATTTATGATTTTTATCAAACCCTCTTAATGTGAATAATCATGTCTTGCTAAAGAAATACTCGTGTGGGATTACAGGGTGCTGCTCCAGACTTTAACGGGAGTGTTGAGTAATATGCAACATGGGCACTCTTCTTCGTTTCTTTTTTTTTCTGAGATAGTCTTGCTCTGTCACCCAGGCTGGAGTGCAGTGGTGTGATATTGGCTCACTACAACATCCACCTCCTGGGTTCAAGCGATTCTCCTGCCTCAGCCTCCCGAGTAGCAGGGATTACGTGCACCTGCCACCACACCCAGCTAATTTTTTGTATTTTTAGTGGAGACAGGGGCTTCATCATGTTGGCCAGGCTGGTATCGAACTCCTGACCTCAAGTGATCTGCCTGCCTCAGCTTCCCAAAGTGCTGGGATTACAGGCGTGAGCCACTGCACCCGGCCTCTCTTCTTCCTTTCTAAAGTCAGAAAAAAATCTGGGACACTCTAAAACACATTTGTCCCCAAAGGTTTTCAATAAAGGTTTTGTGGTTCTGAATTCTCTGCCTCAAGAACACCAATCCTTGCCATCTGCATAGCATTTTACAGCCCTTTCACCTACACATCAATCCTACAACAATGCAGATGTAATGATCCCTGTTTCAGACACAGGAAACTTGTGGAGTTGAGTGCCTTGCCAGCTTCAAATAATTAATCAAAGACCAGAACCAGAATCCATGGCTCTGATCCTCAATCCAGTACTTCCATTGTATCAGAGCTGTCTCCCTAGAGAGGCAATCTGAAGCGAATATGACTTGAATACTCTTTAAAGCATATGATTTGAATATTTTTACCGGTGAAGATTAGAAATAGCACTTTGAATCCTGTCGAATGATAAAACAGATAGGCCCTGAGCCAAGATTAAACAAAGGAGACATGAAAGGTACAATAAAATATTATCTAAAAACTAAAGGCAGTTATGAAGGCTATATGCTTATTGACTTGCCTTTTTTTATTACTCTTTTTTTATTTTCCATTTACGAATTGTCTACTTTCAGCATTTGGGAAGAAAAATCTGCATTCATATAGAAATTCGCATTATGTTACAGGCAAGTTGACACATCATTTATAAACTGAGGATAATGATGCTTCCTTTGTAGGATTATTGTGAGAATTAAAAGAGCGTATGTGAAATGCCTAACACAGAGCTTTAACAAACGTGAATTACCTTGCTTCCTCCCTCTCACCCTCTTCCCCTAGCCCCACTGCCACCCTAAACCCTAATCCTAGTTAAATGGACTAACCTCTTAAAGCTTAGGCTCCTTTTATTATTATTATTATTTTTGAGACAGAGTCTCGCTCTGTCGCCCAGGCTGGAGTGCAGTGGCGCGATCTTAGCTCACTGCAGGCTCCGCCTCCCAGGTTCACGCCATTCTCCTGCCTCAGCCTCCCGAGTAGCTGGGACTACAGGCGCCTGCCACCACGCCCGGCTAATTTTTTTGTATTTTTAGTAGAGACGGGGTTTCACCGTGTTAGCCAGGATGGTCTTGATCTCCTGACCTCGTGATCCTCCCGCCTCAGCCTCCCAAAGTGCTGGGATTACAGGCGTGAGCCACCGCGCCCGGCCTTTTTTTTTTTTTTTTTTTTTTCTGAGACAGTCTTGCTCTGTCATCTAGGCTGGATTGCAGTGGCACAATCTCGGCCCACTGCAACCTCCATCTGCTGACTTCAAGCCATTCTCATGCCTCAGCTTCCCACGTAGCTGGGATTACAGGTGTGCACCACCACACCCAGCTAATTTTTGTATTTTCAGTAGAGACGGGGTTCACCATCATGGCCAGGGTGGTCTCAAACTCCCGACCTCGGGTGATCTGCCCGCCTCAGCCTCTCAAAGTGCTGGGATTACAGGCGTGAGCCACTGCGCCCGGCCAAAGCTCAGTCTTCTGAGATTCAACATCCTCAAGCTGCTGAGCCTGTGTGGGACCCACCAGCACAGCTTTCCCCACCTGGCCAGGTCCTGAGGGATATGACCAAGCACACTGTCCCATCTGGAAACTGCATGCATCCCTGCTAGCCTTGGGGAGCAGCCAACGTATAATCCTCTCAATTCGTTCTTCTCCCCCAGAACTTTCATCCCCTTATCTCCATGATACTCTACTTCCTCCGTAAATGATAACATTGAAAAAGTAGCTGGATAGTATTCCCAGAGGGTTTGTGCCTTAACTAAGGAGAGGGTTTTAGATGGTGTTATCGGGCTTCCTCTTTTCTTCAGGCCTTGTATTATCTTTTAGTTACCATTTATAAAATCTAACTAGCCTAAGCATCAAATTTCCATGTCCTCCTCAACTCTAAATCTAGACTTCCACTCCTTGCTCTGATCACTCTTGACCTCTCCACCTTCTCCCACGTTTCCACCATCCTCTGAAACTCCTCTTCAAGGGCAATAAGGTCTTTCCGGTTTCTCATGCAGCACTCCCTTCCTTTTCAGGCCTTAACTGAGACCTAGTCCTCCTTGGAGGATCTGGCTCTCCCTGAGATACTCTCTCAAGGGAGGCTGTTCATACCCCTCTACTTAAAAGCTAGATCTGCATTTCCCTCATATCCATGTTGATTTCAACCTATTACTTCTGTGCCTTAGTATGAGAGTTTTTAAAGTCCTTGATGAACTGATCAGGAGCTTGTAAGTGATAAAAACGAAAATGTGGGGCTGGGTGCGAGGGCTCACGCCTGTAATCCCAGCATTTTGGGAGGCTGAGGCAGGTGGATCATCTGAGACCAGGAGTTCGAGACCAGCCTGACCAACATGGTGAAACCCTGTCTCTACTAAAAAAAATACAAAGTTAGCTGGGCACGGTGATGGACACCTGTAATCGCAGCTACTTCGGAGGCTGAGGCAGGAGAGTTGCTTGAACCCAGGAGGCAGAGGTTGCAGTGAGCCGAGATCGCACCATTGCTCTCCAGCCTAGGCAACAAGAGCAAAATTTCATCTCAAAACAAATAAAAGTAAAAAGAAAATGTGGGGCCGGGCGCAGTGGCTCACACTTAATCCAGCACTTTAGGAGGCCAAGGCAGGCGGATCACCTGAGGTCGGGAGTTTGAGACCAGCCTGACCAACATGGAGAAACCCCATCTCTACTAAAAATACAAAATTAGCCAGGCATGGTGGCGCATACCTGTAATCCCAGCTACTTGGGAGGCTGAGGCAGGAGAATCGCTTGAACTCAGGAGGTGGAGGTTGCAGAGAGCCAAGATCACACCATTGCACTCCAGCCTGGGCAACAAGAGCAAAACTCCATTTCAAAAAGAAAAGAAAGAAAGAAAACGTGGAGAAATGTGGAGTGGATTCCATGTCCATAGGGCCCATGTCTTAAATAAGGAGAGGGTTTTATATGGTGTTATCAGGTTTCCTCTTTTCGTCAAGCCTTGTTATCCTTTAACTACAATATGTAAAACCAAACCAACCTTGGCATCCAATTTCCATGAGTTCCTCGATGCTAATCTGCAACTTCCATTCTGCCTAAGTCACTCACTCCGATAGCCTCACCCAGGACCTTCTTATCCTACATCTCAGTCTAGCTAATTAACTGCTTCATCTCTGAAATCTTGAGCACCAATAGCCAGGATTCTCCTTTCCATCCGGTTCTCTCATATACCCACTCCAGTTACACATGCTCTTCCTTAACTTCTCCAACTTAGCAGAGTAGATCAACCCCTTGCCGGCATCGCTTCTGCCTCCATCAGCCTCCAGGCCTACAGTCTATGGCGGATCACCTGCTCTACCATGTTACCTGGATACCTCACTCCCTTGCCCATTTGTACCTCTAACTACTTTGCACACGAGCACCAAACTCCCACCCGGGGTCATTTCTACAACCGATTTCCTCTGCCCACGACCGGGGGGTGCTAACTTCCAGAAATCAATCACACAACCCTGCAGAATTTTGCCACTTAATGTTCATGTTCAACAAACTCAGCTTTGTCCTTGTGCCAGTCGACAATTATTTTAACTGCCTTGATCAGCAACCTCCCCCATTCTCCTAAGCAGTTAATCCAAAATTTTAATTCTCTGCTGAAGTTCATATTTTTCTTCCTTCGTTCTCAGCATGTGGTTTTATCTCTTTATTTAAAAAGAAAATTAGCCGGGCACAGTGGCTCACACCTGTAATCCTAGCATTTTGGGAGGCCAAGGTGGGCGGATTGCCTGAGCTTTGGAGTTTCAGACCAGCCTGGGCAACACAGTGAAACCCCGTCTCTACTAAAATACAAAAAATTAGCCAGGCATGGCGGCGTGCACCTGTAGACCCAGCTACTCTGGAGGCTGAGGCAGGAGAATTGCTTGAACCCAGGAGGCGGAGGTTGCAGTGAGCTGAGATGGTGCCACGGCACTCCAGCCCGGGCAACAGAGTGAGACTCCGTCTCAAAAAAAAAAAAAAGAAAATTAAAGCAATCACAATCTGCCTCAACATCCCAATTACAAACTTGCCCGTATTTGTCACCATCTCTAGCTTCAGAAAGTGAATCATTTCAACTCTGGTTCAAGGCCAAGCCCTCCACCTGTGCTGTTGACCCCAGTCCTCCACGTGTACCATCAATTATCCCCTATCAAACGTCTTGTTTTTCCCTCTCCAGTAGCTTCTTTTTCTCTGTTTTTTTTTTTTTTTTTTTTTTTTTTTTTTTTGAGATAGAGTATCGCTCTGTCACCAGGCTGGAGTGCAGTGGTGCAATCTTGGCTCACTGCAACTTCTTCCTCCTGGGTTCAAGCAATTCTCCCGCCTCAGCCTCCCGAGTAGCTGGGACTACAGGCACATGCCACCACGCCCAGCTACTTTTTGTATTTTTAGTAGAGATGGGGTTTCACCATTTTGGCCAGGGTGGTCTCCATCTCCTGACCTTGTGATCTACCTGCTTCGGCCTCCCAAAATGCTGGGATTAGAGTCGTGGGCCACCGCACCCAGCCCCTCTCCAGTAGCTTCTTCTCTCAGCCTATAAATATTCTCTGATGACTCCATTAAAAAAAAAAAAAAAAAAAAAAAGCTTGACCCTAAATCCCACTCTAGCTACTGCCCTTACTCTTGCTTTCCATTAAAAAAAAAAAAAAAAAAAAAGCTTGACCCTAAATCCAACTCTAGCTACTGCCCTTTCTCTTGCTCTCCTTTCTCAGCTAAACTTTTTGAAAAGTCACTAAAGGGCCGAGTGCAGTGGCTCATGCTTGTAATCCCAGCACTTTGGGAGGCCGAGGCAGGTGGATCACTTGAGCCCAAGAGTTTGAGAACAGCCTAGGCAACATACTGAGACCCCTGACTCTACAAAAAAATTAAAAAAAAAAAATTAGTGGGACATGGTGGCATGCACCTGTAGTCCCAGCTACTCGCAGTGAGGGGCAGTCCTGAGGTGGGAAGATCACTTGAGCCCCAGAAGTTGAGGCTGCAGTAAGCCATAATCACAGCACTGCACTCCAGCGTGGGCGACAAAGTGTGACCTGTCCCAGAAAAAAAAAAAAGAGAGAAAAAGTCATTACACTCCTCACTCTCTACCTCCACTTCCTCACTTCTCATCACCCTTCAACCCTCTTCACTAGGAATCTGTTTCATCAAATGTCATTAATGGCCGGGCCTGGGGGCTCACGCCTATAATACCAGCACTTTGAGAGGCCGAGGCTGGCAAATTACCTGAGGTCAGGAGCTCGAGACCAGTCTGGCCAACATGGTGAAACCCCATCTCTGATAAAAATACAAAAATTAGCCAGCTGTGGTGGTGCATGCCTGTAGTCCTAGCTACTCAGGAGGCTGAGCACGAGAATCACTTGAACCCGGGAGGCAGAGGTTGCAGTGAGCCAAGATCGTGCCACTGCACTCCAGCCTGGACAACAGAGTGAAACTGTGTCTCGAAAACAAAAAAATGCCACTAATAACATCCAGTTTCCAGTCTCAGTGCACATTTCTCAGTCCTTAGCTTCCTGGACTTCTCTGCTGCATTTGACACTGTTAACCCTTCTCTCCTTCGTGAAACTAATAGTCTATTCCCTTGAGTTTCGTGGATGGAAGTATGGTGATAACCAACATGTAGGTAGTCATAAATGACCAGTGGTGAAAAGAATGGATTCGCTATTGATAGTATCTAGAGGAGGAAGAACAATCAAGGCCAGAAAAACCTTATGCTTTAGAGAAGCCACTCTGGCCCTTTCTCAGCTATGCCCCTTCTCACAGGGTGAAGCATCCGCAGGGCCTATGTACCAACCATGACTCCAGTATACTCTGCCCAAATGGCCCCAAGACTTTCAAGGCTTTTATAGTCCTCTTGCCTAAATCCTGAGGGTGGACTGCACCATCAGGGTGCTCACATCTAGGCCTAAAGAGTGGCTGGAGGCAGCTGTTTACAGAAGTGTGAGCCGAGCTTTATATGCAAGTGGGGGTAACCACATGCTTGCAAAGAGGTCCCTTGTAGCAGGGGCTGCAGCCAGGTCCAAGAAGAAAAGGGGTTAAGCCATGGCCAGAGGCTGTTTCTCCGCATGCTGCCGTGTTCCAACATGAACTCCAACATGGAATTCCAATATGGAACACTAAAGAGTAGAGTTCCAGGTTATTACGAAGCTATGTTTTTCAAAGTAGGAGAGTAAAACATGTATCATTTAACATTTTGTTAGATGGATTTATAACTATTTTGGTAAAAAAAAAATCTTTGTTTTGGCTTCTTTTCTTTAATGGTTGCTTAGCAAAGTATAGGATTTTAGGTTGCCAGGTCTTTGAGGATAGCACTAATTTGTTTTGTTTTGTTTTTTTAAATTGTGGTAAAATATACGTAACACAAAATGTTCTGTCAACCATTTTTAAGTCTACAGTTCAGTGGCATTAAGTGCACTCACATTGCTGTGGTACCATCACCATCATCTGCCCACAGAACTCTTTTCATTTTATAAAACTGAAACCCTCTGCCCATTAAACAATAACTTCCTGGCAGTCATAGTAGCTCATACCTGTAGTCTCAGCTACTTGGGAGGCGGGAGGAGTTCAAGGCTGCAGTAAGCTATGATAGCGTCACTACACTCCAGCCTGGGTGACACAGTGAGACCCTATCTCAAAACACATACACACACACACACACACAAATTCTAATTCCTCATTCCCTTCTCCCCACCCTTAGCCCTTGGTAATCACCATTCTACTTTTTGTCTCTAAGAATTTGACTATTCTAGGTACCTCATATAAGGAATCATACAGTATTTGTCCTTTTGTGACTGGCTTATTTCACTTAGCATAATGTCCGCAAGGTACACTGATGTTGTAGCTTGTATCAGAACTTCCTTCCTCTTTCCAGCTGAATATAATATTCCATTGTGTATATAAATCTTTGGTTTATCCATTCATTCATGGATATACACTTGGGTTGCTTCCACCTTTTGGCTATTGCAAATAATGCTGCAATGGACGTGGGTGTCTCTTTGAGTCCCTTGATTTATAACTTTTAAATATTTTGACATACAGCATGTGGCCTCCATTTGTACTGTTTCCCCAGGCCCCACAAATGGGGCCCCAGGCCTGTGTGGGAGCTGAACATTCATATTTGCCAAAGACAGCAACCAGCTTTCACATTAGATGCCACTTCCAGTGGATACATGGAACCTGCTTGGAAATTTGCATTGACAGTCAGCAGGGAGGAATCCCTGAAGTGATTAGTGATGTCTGCCCTGGGCATACCTAACACTTTCCCTGACCTAGTTATAGCTCTTCATTCATGTAGGAGAAAATTGGGGTCAAGAGCAGTTAAAATACTTCCCGGCTCTAGTGAGGAGCAGCATAGCACGAGGACTCAGGTTCTCTCATGCGAGGTCAAAGTATTGATTCTTGCAATGCTGGAGGTGAGGCAACTTCATCCTCAGGAGGCATGAGGAAGAAACTCTTCCCAGGTTCCTCACAGAGGAGAGCTGCTGGGCTTGTGCTCAGAAAGGGGGTAAAACAGAATGGAATAATTAATTCGAAAAGATGTCATGTGAGAAAAATGCAATCACAGGGGTTTTCTAACAAAGCCAATAGTGTTCTAAATTATGTAGAAATTATTCTGATTTAATTTTAATGAAAAGGATGTGAGCAATCAGTTTGGAGGCACAAGGAAATATTTTAATAGCAAGACTGAATTTGAGGAATTTAAATGAGGATAAACTAGCTAGGTCTTGTAAATGGATTATTTTAAGGGGAAATTCCAAACCCAATACTTTTTTTTTTTTTTTTTTTGAGATAGAGTCTTGCTCTGTCACCCAGATGAGAGTGCAGTGGTGCAATTTCGGCTCACTGCAACCTCTGCCTCCCAGGTTCAAGCAGTTCTCCTGCCTCAGCCTCCCAAGTAGCTGGGATTACAGGCACGTGCCACCGCGCCCAGCTAAGTTTTATTTTTTTAGTAGAGACGGGGGTTTCACCATGTTGGCCAGGCTGGTCTCGAACTCCTGACCTCAAGTGATCCACCTGCCTCGGCCTCCCAAAGTGCTGGGATTACAGGTGTGAGCCACTATGCCCGGCCTCATAAGCCAATAATTAATTCTACCCTTGCAACAGTCCCAGGATATGGGTGGCTGCATTAGGTGAACAGACAAGCATGACTGACAATGGTCTGGAACCTGTATCTGTGGTGGAGTAGCTGTCTGGCTTTGCACAAGATACAGTCCAATATTATTTTGCACAGGATACTTATTCTGCACAAGATAGTCTTTGCACAAGATAATTACTTTGCACAAGATAATTACTCCAAACTTCAGCTTCTTCATTTGTAATACAAGGGCAATAATATCTACTTTTGTTTGTTTGTTTGTTTGTTTTTGAGACGGAGTCTCGCACTGTCTCCCAGGCTGGAGTATAGTGGCACGATCTTGACTCACTGCAACCTCCACCTCCCAGGTTCAAGTGATTCTCCTGCCTCAGCCTCCCCAGTAGCTGGGATTACAGGCACCCGCCACCACGCCCGGCTAATTTTTAGTATTTTTAGTAGAGACAGGGTTTCACTATGTTGGCCAGGCTGGTCTCGAACTCCTGACCTCAAATGATCTCCCCACCTCGGCCTCCCAAAGTGCTGGGATTACAGGCGTAAGCCACCACGCCCGGCCAATAATATCTACTTTTTTTTTTTTTTTTTTTTTGAGACAGAGTCTTACTCTGTCACCTCGCCCAGGCTGGAGTGCAGTGGCACACGCTCGGCTCACTGCACACTCCACCCCCCGAGTTCAAGTGATCTCCTGCCTCAGCCTCCCGAGTAGCTGGGATTACAGGCACCTGCCACCACGCTGGGCTAATTTTTGTATTTTTAGTAGGGACAGGGTTTCACCATCTTAGCTAGGTTGGTCTTGAACTCCTGACCTTGTGATCCACCCGCCTCAGCCTCCCACAGTGCTGGGATTACAGGCGTGAGTCACCGCGCCCGACGATATCTACCTTTTAATGTCGCTATGATAAGTAAAGATAATAATGACATAGAAAACAGAAATACAGAAAGCAGACATTTGAGTCCTTAGCTATGTGGACTCTACCATTCGCTCAGTCATACAATGACATTTTACTAAGCATCTGTTATGCACCATGCACAACTGGGCTGTGGGTCCCACTTCCCCATCAAGGGAAGAAAAACAAATGCCAGTGGAGGGAGCTGGTACCCATTCAACTAAATTAAAATCCTCTTTTGCACACTCAGTCCTGGAAATCAGGTTAATTTCTGAAAATGCTTTCAGTCTCCTTTGTGGGAAGGTAACAAAACCTCTGAGGACAATTCCAACAAACAGTATCTGGTTTAACACATCTTGTTTAACCAGCAATGGTTAGACACATATTATGCAGCAGAAATTCAAAGATAACTGCTTGGGTTCAGCTTTCAGCTGTGCCACTTATTAGACGAGTTAATCCCTTAACTTCACCATACCTCAGCCTCCTCATCTGTAAAATGGGAATAATAATGCCTCCGCTAGGCGCGGTGGCTCATGCCTGTAATCCCAACACTTTGGGAGGCTGAGGCGGGTGGATCATGAGGTCAGGAGTTCAAGACCAGCCTGGCCAAGATGGTGAAACCCGCCTCTACTAAAAATACAAAAAAAGTAGGCGGGCGCGGTGGCAGGCGTGTATAATCCAGTTATTTGGGAGGCTGAGGCAGGAGAATCGCTTGAACCCGGGGGTGGGGGCGGAGGTTGCAGTGAACCAAGATCGCGCCACTGCATTCCAGCCTGGGAGATACAGCGAGATTGTGCCACTGCACTCCAGCCCGGTAGACAGAGACTCCATCTCAAAAACAGTAAATAAATAAATAAAAATAATAATGCCTCTTCATGGAGTTCATGCGAGTTTTTGTTTGTTTGTTTGTTTGTTTTGTTTGTTTTTGAGACAGAGTCTCTGTCACCAGGCTGGAGTGCAGTGGTGTGATCTTGGCTTACTGCAACCTCCACCTCCCTGGTTCAAGCGATTCTCCTGCTTCAGCCTCCCGAGTAGCTGGGACTACAGGCGTCTGCCACCACGCCCAGCTAATTTTTGTATTTTTAGTAGAGACGGGGTTTCACCATGTTGGGCAGGATGATCTCCATCTCTTGACCTCGTGACCCGCCCACCTTGGCCTCCCAAAGTGCTGGGATTACAGACGTGAGCCACGGCGTCAGGCCTGATATGAGTTTCACATGAATTAATATGTGCTAATGTAGCTATGACAGCCTGGTTCATGCTCAGCGTTATCAAATATTAGCTATTCTTGTTAAAATCTCCATTAATCAATGACATCTAAGATTCTCCTATTTCCATTACAAACACAGGCCTGGTCCCTTTGTAAGTATTCCTGCACTGGGAATTGGTTAGGTTTTTTGTTTGTTTGTTTTGTTTTGTTTTTTTGAGACAGAGTCTCACTCTGTTGCCCAGGCTGGAGTGCAATGGCTTGATCTCAGCTCACTGCAACCTCCGCCTCCCCAGTTCAAGCAATTCTCCTGCCTCAGCCTCCTGAGTAGCTGGGATTACAGGTGCCTGCAACCACACCAGCTAATTTTTGTATTTTTAGTAGAGATGGGGTTTCACCATGTTGGTCAGGCTGGTCTCGAACTCCTGACCTTAGGTGATCCACTTGCCTCAGCCTCCCAAACTGCTGGGTTTACAGGTGAGAGCCATTGCACCCGGCCGCTTAGTAGTATAACTTCACAAAATGTGAAGAATCTCAAACTATTGGCACTAAACAAGTAAGCAAATTATAGGTACGTGGAAAAATTCCGATACCTACCCTAGCACCACTTAACACATGGTCTAGCTTCTGCATTACAACCTGTTTCATTCCCAATTGGCCCAGCCTTTCCCCGTAAGTCTCTAGGTGAGAAAAACAACCATGAGTTTAGAATGAAAACACTCTTTCCAAATCCTTTGAGCCAATGATTTCCCTTCTGGCAAACCATCCTGGTTTGGTAAACTACCCTCCTGAAAGAAATTCAAAGATTTACATACAAATATTTTTGTAACATGAATTAAAACTGAAACTTCAACTGAGGCACAAAGATAGAATCGTTGCTGCATTCCAAAGGAGGTATAAGTCAAATGCAAAATTTTTACAGGACTCAGCTGAAAATTGGTGCTTTAACTCTTTTAAATTCCTGACTCACATTGAAGATATAAAAGGCACACACTTGGGCCTGTCAAGGTGCAGAGGGAGTATGGAGGGGAGGGGGGCATCAGGATAAATAGCTAATGCATGTGGTGCTTAAAACTTAGGTGATAGATTGATAGGCGCAGCAAACCACCATGGCACACGTTTGCGTATGTAACAAAACTGCATGTCCCGTACATGTATCCCAGAAATTAAAATTAAATTAAATTAGATTTTTAAAAAAGATGTAAAAGAGCTGAGAGAGAGGAGAAAAACGGGTTTTTGAAGAGGACTTCTCAGAAAGAGATTGTGCTGTGTCCCACTTCCCCACCAAAATGGGGAGGAGTGCTTCCCCCTTCACTTCAAGACCCAAGAGGAGGATTTAAAGGGACCATTCAGAAAGTCTCATATGTGCCCCTTGCCGTTGAAGGTCACAGGCATTGGTACCACTCACATCTGAGAAAGCAGTGGTAACTGGCAGCAGGAGAGAGGGCTTTGTCTGAGCAGTGGTACAGTGGATGGAAGTTGTGTGCATCCCAGGAATCAGAGGCAGACTCCCTAGGAGAACGCTCTGCCTGGGGTCTTATTCAAAGGGACCTGGCCGGGTGTGGTAGCTCACACCTGTAATCTCAGCAATTTGGAAGGCCAAGGCGGGTGAATCACTTGAGGTGAGGAGTTCGAGACCAGCCTGGCCAACATGGCAAAACCCTGTCTCTACTAAAAATACAAAAAATAGCCGGGCATGGTGGCGTGCACTTATAGTCCTAGCAACTGGAGAGGCTGAGGCAGGAGAATCGCGTGAATCCAGGAGACAGAGCTTGCAGTGAGCAGAGATGGTGCCACTGCACTCCAGCCTGGGTGACAGAGTGAGACTCCGTCTGGAAAAATAAAATAAAATAAAATAATTTTAAAAAGGGACCCTACCCAAGACCACGTGGGTGACAACGATAGAACCCAGCTGAGAAAGTCTGTACGGAGTGGACTGCAGGAAAGCAAGGGTCCCCCAGGACAACGGCCAGCCCAAGGAGACTGTATCAATGCTGCCATCAAGGGAGCGCACCCCTGACAGGGAGGCAGCTGCAGACTGCCGCAGCTTATGAGACAACCACGTAGGAATTCTCCGTCTCATCCCCTTACCTCTCATCCCTCTCCCTGCCCAGCCCCAGGTCAGCAACAGTAGCTATTGAGTAGGGGAAGAGGGAAACAAGAAGAAGCTGACCACACACAACCTGCCACTGGCCTACCTGGGGATGGGAAGAGCCATACCTTTAAATGAAGATTAAAATGTGACTTCTTATTTTGGACTAGACGTTTTAATTTCTGAGTGGAGATAATGAAGCTTAAAGTAACTTTGTAATTCAGAAATTCATGGGACTGCCCAAGTTTTCAGGGTTAAGGGAAATACTTTCCTTCCCTGGATACATTGTTAAAGTCAAAATTTTGAAAGACAAAAATATGGCTGCCTTTTGTTTATTTCCTATGAACCTGATTTCTTCAGTGTGCCATTTATGTGTCCTTTATTTTTATACTAAAGTTGGGAATAACCTAATTATCAATTAATAGGAAAATAATGATATGGAAGTACTATATTTAGTTTATGCTTTCAAGTACATACATATAAAGTATTAAACTTAAAATACAAAATGTCAAATTATACATAGTATGATTATCATATAAAAATGTATAGTTGGCCGGGCGCAGTGGCTCATGCCTGTAATCCCAGCACTTTGGGAGGCCGAGGTGGGAGGATAATGAGGTCAAGAGATGGAGACCATTCTGGCCAATGTGGTGAAACCCCGTCTCTACTGAAAATACAAAAATTAGCTGGGCGTGGTGGCGGGCGCCTGTAGTCCCAGCTATTAGGGAGGCTGAGGCAGGAGAATCGTTTGAACCCGGGGAGACGGAGGTTGCAGTGAGCTGCGCCATTGTACTCCAGCTTGGGTGACAGAGCGAGACTGCATCTCAAAAAACAAAAAGGGTAATTTATATGATGAGCATAATCATACACACACACAGTAAGATGACTAGAAGGAAACATATTGCAGGTTTAAAATGGTTATTTTGGGGTGGTATGAAGCAGGAATTTTTATTTTCTTCTACGTATTCCTCTGTATTTTTCAGCTTTGTCTTCCTTTTTTTCCTGCCTTTTTCATCCCTATCCCTCAGTCACACAGGGGGCTGTCCAGTGGCATTGCTTAACCATTGGCAGCCAAGAAGTCAACTGCTTTGGGAGGCTGAGGCGAGTGATCGCCTAAGGTCAGGAGTTCAAGACCAGCCTGACCAACATGGAGAAATCCTGTCTCTACTAAAAATACAAAAAATTAGCCAGGCACGGTGGTGGGTCCCTGTAATCACAGCTACTCAGGAGGCTGGGGCGGAAGAATCACTTGAACCCAGGAGGTGGAGGTTGCAGTGAGCCAAAATCATGCATTGCACTCCAGCCTGGGTGACAAGAGTGAAACTCCATCTCAAAACAAACAAAAAAGAAGTCAACTGATGTCCCAAGCATGGGCCACTTCCCCACAGGTTCTCTCCAATGTTCAATGTTTCACAAACTGTTTTCGGCACACCTTTAATTCCAAGACATGCAATGCACATTAGAACATTAAATATTTTGAAATATCCTGCAAAAAAAAAAAAAACCCCTTGAAATTTGTTTAACCCAGGACTTTTCATATCTTTTTTTTTTTTGACCATACACAATGGCTAAAACAAAACAGAACAGAATGAAAATATTAGCAGTTTAAGCAACTTGAGTTTGGGGGAATCCTGTTTGGGAAATGCCACCCTGATTTGTAGCTCATCAAGGCAACAATGATTTCAGCTGGGAGATTATTGCTAAGGTACTAGGTGGCTCTGGGAGGTCACTTCGTTCTTTTCAGCAAGTCTTCCAGACATAAATCTTGCTTCTTTGTCCATTAAGAGAAAATAGGAGAAACCAACTACTGCTATCCAAAAAGCCTCATCCCACCCATTTTAGCCAAAGACAGATGAAATGAAGCAAAAATAGGCCTATGATTGATGGACACATCAAAGTCAAAGGATTTTTAGAAGCAAAATTACTGTTTGAAGAGTTTTTCTGGACTTTATTACTTTTTATCTCAATGCTTTGTCATGTTGAGTGTGATTTCTTCACTATGTCTCTTTTAGATATCACTATTTATCTTATTGAAGTCCAAAGTTGGATTGCCTTAAATAAACCCTGTAACTGCTATAAACCTAGCACCACAGCCAGGAAAACCAAGTTGTGTAACAGGAAGGAAAATGATTATCCAACCCTATAAGTTCAGGCACGGGGATCTCCCTTTTCCTTACAGTTGCCTGGAAGTGATGAATCCCTAAGTCTTTCTCATTGTTAAGTCCCCAGTAAGATGTCTCCAAGGCCAAAGTACCTGCAGCAGTGTGAAAAATTTTCAGAGCCACCAATAAAGAAGGGAATCTGTATTAGGTCTAGAGTTTCTAGGGTACCTGCTGGGTCTTTTTCTTTTTACCAATTTCCCACAAAGATTTCACCCAGCAATGTGAGGTCCTCTGCAGGAATTTACAGATCACTTGGGACTTCATCACACACACCTATACTTTATCATTCTGAATACACAACTTCATTCCTCCTGATCACAGACAGACCAAGCTCTGTATTTCCTGACACATTAAAAAGGTTGTATTTTTTAAGTTTTTCTTCTTTTTTTTTTTTTTGAGACAGAGTCTCGCTCTGCCACCCAGGCTGGAGTGCAGTGGCGCGACCTCGGCTCACTGCAAGCTCCGCCTCCCGGGTTCACGCCATTCTCCTGCCTCAGCCTACCGAGTAGCTGGGACTACTAGGTGCCTGCCACCACGCCGGGCTAATTTTTTTTTTTTTTTGTATTTTTAGTAGAGACGGGGTTGCACCGTGTTAGCCAGGATGGTCTCCATCTCCTGACCTCGTGATCTGCCCGCCTTGGCCTCCCAAAGTGCTGGGATTACAGGTGTGAGCCACCGCGCCCGGCCAGATTTGTTTGTTTTCTGGAGGAGAGACATAATTTCACTGTATAGTGCTTAAAACCTTCTTATAGAAGTGTGATATTTATTGTATCCAATTTTATGTTTCTCAATACAATCATGCATTTTTTAACGATGGGGAAACATTCTGAGAAATTGTCATTAGGAGATGTTGTCGTTGTGTGAACATCATAGAATGTACTTACACAAACCTAGATGGTGTAGCCTACTACACACCTAAACTACAGGGTCTAGCTATTGCTTCTAGGCTAGAAACCTGTGTAAAACGTTACTGTTCTGTATACTGTAGGCCATTGTAACACAATGGTAAGTATTTGCCCATCTAAACGTATCTAAACACAGAAAAGGTACAGTAAAACTACAGTATTGTAATCTTATGGGACCACCGTAATACATGCAGTCCATCCTTGACCAAAATGTTATTACGCGGCACACAACTGTACTAATCTCCTAAAACACTGGCTTTAATCTCCACGTTCCCACTTTTGAAACAGCAGGGAAAGTCCCAAGTGATAAGCATTAGCAGATAAATGCTTACGTCCAGAGGGAACTGCAGACACTTTTAAGACCAGCTGGAAATCATTTTTTTAATGTGTGGGAAGTGTTTCCTTTTATAATCTATATTTCATTTAGAGCCATGTGACTGATAGTGGCAAGACATTTGTGGTTAAAACACAATAAATGAGCAATAGAATACTTGACCAGAGGGAAAAAAGATGTTATACTAGAAAAAAACATGAAAGGCATAAATAATATATTGAGAAGGTCACTCAATGTGAGCCACTAAGCTACCCAGTGTTATTGACATCATGCATTATGTATGGACCTATTTTACAAACCATTGTTCTTCTCCCTCCCGAATGTACTGTGAACGAATGACAGGGAGCCCATGCTATTCCTCTTGTGCTATTCTGGTTGAATCTGAGGTTTGGTAATTTTCCTAGCGGAAAAAAAAAATCAAATTCATAAAAAATGTTCTCTGACTACCTGGCAGAAGGCCTGAGACCATATTCAGGATGTGATACAACACAATTATTTGATTGCTTTCTTTTTCAACACACATTGGAGCTCTCCAAAATTAGTTTTGCCTCCATTCCAAACTCTGTTGGCACGGCTCTTTCCCAGGTCCTCTGATGAAGTGAAAGTATCTACTGCTGATGTGTTATCCAAGGAAATAGATGATACTAGTGAAAAGATTCAAATGGAAATTAATATGGATGTCGTGTAGGAACCTACCTTGGTGGAAAGGCTCAAAGCCTCAAAACTAAATATGCTCGAATTGCATGATTTCGTAAATCAATATAAAAGACACCACAAAAAGCAACGTGAAAGAGACAGGTAAGTGAACACACTTAGGATAGGATGCAACGGGTGGAAAGACCCCACTACCTGAGTCTTGGCAGGGTCAGTGCATGTGTCTCCTATCTCTCTCTGCCACATCAGCCTCCCCTACTGACGTGTGGTTATGAGGGCCAGAAATAAAGTGATGAGGTTGCAGCAAGGGGTTCCCAGAGAGAAGGTGCCCTGGGCCAGTGACACACTTGCTCTATCAAAGGGGTCCAGGGGCAAGTAGGCTTGACCACAGCTATAGCTTCCCAATTAGCCTGCTGAGCACCTCTGGGTTTTATGTGCATTTCTTGGGCACAAACATGTGGGATCAGAATGGGTATCACCATTGGATGGGCAATTTAGGAATGATGTAGCTGTCAGACCAGAGGGGCATGATTAGGACTTAATCTTTTCATCCCTTTCTACTTATAAGTAACATTCTTTCTTTTCCCATCATATATTGCTTTATTCCATCTTTCTTTAATATGTTTTACAGATTACTAACTTACTGTCTATATTTAACACATCTTATGAATTCTGCCTGCCACGCAAGGCAGGCAGAATTTCCTTACTCATTATCTAAACTTAACATCCTGGGAGTTTTACCAATATCTCATAAGCTGCTAGCTTGATTTCTATGTGTGCTCGGTATTTCTTGTATGCTTTATCCCTCCCATTTGCTTTCTTCTATAGCAGAATTGAATATGCATTACACATAGACCTTCTCTTGTACCTTTTAACAGAACCCACAGAGAACATCACATTAGACAGAGACAAAGCACAGTCTTCAGGCTCTCTCCTGTATTTTATAAACATTGATTCCTTTCAAGAGAGTAAGAATAATTATTTTGGAGGTATTTTGAGTATTTGGGGGTTTGACCTGAAACAGGAAGAACTGATAACCTATGAAATCTCTGGGACTGTGAAATGTTTTAACTCCATTTTCAGGTTGTCTAGTTGAGCATGCGCAAAAAACAAGTTTTGGTATAATTTTCCTCAGAAGTTCACTTACGGCCAGGTGCGGTGGCTCACGCCTATAATCCCAAAACTTTGGGAGGCCAAGATGGGTGGATGACCTGAGGTCAAGAGTTCAAGACCAGCCTGGCCAACATGGTGAAACCCTGTCTCTACTAAAAATACAAAATTAGCTGGGCGTGGTGGCGCATGCCTGTAATCCCAGCTACTCAGGAGGCTGAGGCAGGAGAATTGCTTGAACCCAGGAGGTGGAGGTTGCAGTGAGCAGAGATTGCGCCATCGCACTCCACCTGGGCAAAAACAGCAAAACTCCATCTTAAAAAAAAAAAAAAAGAAGTTCACTTAGTATAAAATCTCACATGTAGGTAGAAAAGGAGCCTGAGACCATCACACCACTGCAACAAGGTACAGAGTTAACAGATCAGAATCCAGCTAAGCTAAGGCTCTGGCAAGCACACGACTCAGCAGTGCCTGCACTGAGACGCCAGAAACAGAATCACTCTATTGCCGCTTCTGTGAAATGGAGACTCAGTCAAGGCAGCCTCTGCCAGCTAATCATGTGTTTACGGCCATCTGTGCAAGAAGGGCAGGAAAACCTACAGAAAGAAAGGTAAAGAGGACCTCTGGTCTGTCTCACAAAGGTTCCCCCAAAGCTTAGTTTTCTCCAGTATGGCATGGAGGATGAGTCCACACCCAGTCTCTGAAGACACACAGCCCTAGGTTCAAATCCCAACTCTTTAACGACTACTATCTGTATGCTCCTAAGCAATCATTTAACCTCTCTGAGCCTCAATGTCTTTATTTATAAATGGATAATATAATAATACCATCCTACAAGGGTTGCAGTGAGGATTGAATAAAACAATTTACATAGGCCAGGCCTGGTGGCTCTCGCCTATAATCCCAACACTTTGGGAGGCTGAGGCGGGCGGATCACTTGAGGTCGGGAGTTCAAGACCAGCCTGACCAACATGGAGAAACCCTGTCTCTACTAAAAATACAAAATCAGCCGAGCGTGGTGGTGCATGCCTGCAATCCCAGCTACTCAGGAAGCTGAGGCAGGAGAATCGCTTGAACCTGGAAGGTGGAGGTTGCAATGAGTCGAGATTGTGCCATTGCACTCCAGCATGGGCAACAAGAGCAAAACTCCGTCTCCAAAAAAAAAAAAAAAAAAAGATTTATATAAAGGGCATAGCCCACTTGTACCTATCACATGTCACTTCAATGGTCATTGTAGTCACTGTTATTAAAAATCATTATATTGTGGTTGCTATTATTAGCAAGACCAGACTTAGAGTGAGAATTATGTTATTTTAGGAGGAGAATTTCCAAAATCCTCCCCCCACCTACTGCCTAATGCCTTAAATCTCTTCAATGAAATAAAGACTTTTATTTTAGAATCAGCAAAGGATCTTAAAATGAGACTATTTCTCTGGAATTGTGACATATTGATTTATTTATTTTTATTTTTTTTTTTTTGAGATGGAGTCTTGCTCTATCACCCAGGCTGGAGTACAGTGACACGATCTCGGCTCACTGCAACCCCCGCCTCCCAGGGTCAAGCTATTCTCCTGCCTCAGCCTCCCGAGTAGCTAGGATTACAGGCATGTACCATCATGCCTGGCTAATTTTTTGCAATTTTAGTAGAGACGGGGTTTCACCATGTTGGCCAAGCTGGTCTCAAACTCCTGACCTCAAATGATCCGCCTGCCTCGGCCTCCCAGCAAGTGCTGGGACTACAGGCGTGAACCACCGCGCCCAGCTGTGACACATTGATTTAAAATTTACACAAAGACTTAAATGTCTACTGTAAAATTCCTCTTCTGAGTGGAGATTTTAAAAAGGATGTTGTATTCGTCAGGGTTCTCATTCAATTCTACAGCCCCCAAGATCCTTAGGATGATATTTGAGCCCCCAGGGCTAAGCTGGGGAAGGGGCGAGGTGGAGGAAGACCAACAGGAGCTAACATCAGGGCTCTTGCATACGTAAGTGTCCCTGGTTCCTCCACTTTCACACTACTGAATGTGGTCCCAGGACAGAGGGAATGGTATCCCACAGAGTTTGTGAATTGAGGCATTTCTAGTAGCTCAAATGTAAAAAGAAAGGATGAGCTATACAGTCTAAGAATTCCAAGATTTGGGGTAGAGAATGCAGAGCAGGCAGGAGAAGCATCTTATCAACAGCAAAGTTCTGTTTGCAGAATAATAAAAATAATTAACACTTAGTATGTGCTCACTGTGTGCCTAGCAGTGCTCTAAAGGCTTATTTCCTTTAATCCTCACAATAACCATACAAGTATTTGGTAGTCTTCTCCTCATTTAAAAGTTGAGAAAATGGATGAACAGAGAAGTAACTGGCTGAAAATTGCACAGCCAGTAAGTATTAATAGTAAAGGCAGGATCCAAAGACAGACATGCTGGCACTGGAATCTAGATGGTTAGCCACTGGGCTAAACCATAAGGATAGCAAACATTTATTGAGACCTAGGCTCCAGGCATTGCACTAAACATCTATTTTACGTGGACTATGTCATTTGATGATCATGGTAACCCATATGGCATCGTTAAACCCCATGTTGCAGATGAGTTAACTGAAGTTTAGGTACATCGAGTGACTTGTCCCAGGTCCCAGAGGTCTACTTAGTCCAGGTTTACAAAGAAGAAAGCTACTACGTTTAAAGAACCTTTTTGCCATTCCATACCACAAACCAGAAGTTTTGGTTTGAGTAGACATGAAACAGTTTTGCAGCATCTACTTCAAGGGAGCTTCATTTTTGTTGTTTATGGGTATCAGGGTGTATTTAAACAAAAAGCATCTATTTCAGGAGACAGAGTTTTCATGATGTGCTTTTTTGTTTCACTGTTCAGTAAAAATCCCATCTGTTTATGCTGCATCACACCATGATTTTTTTTTTTTTTTGAGACGGAGTCTCTCTCTGTTGCCCAGGCTGGAGTGCAGTGGCGCAATCTTGGCTCACTGCAAGCTCCGCCTCCCGGGTTCACACATTCTCCTGCCTCAGCCTCCCGAGTAGCTGGGACTACAGGTGCCCTCCACCACGCACAGCTAGTTTCTGTATTTTTAGTAGAGACGGGGGTTTCACCTTGTTAGCCAGGATGGTCTCGATCTCCTGACCTCATGAACCACCCACCTCGGCCTCCCAAAGTGCTGGGATTTCAGGCATGAGCCACCACACCTGGCCACACCATGATTTTACTTGTGCTACTTCTACCCAGATGTGAAAGACATTAGCTAATGAGGTCTGTGCTCATGTCAAAGAGGGAGACTTAATCATCCCTTAGAACTGTTCTATTGGCAACATTTTCAACTTCCTCTGATCATCCAAAACCCATCCCACCTAATAAGTTTTGCCTATAGTAAATGAATCCAGTTTTCTTACTGACAAAACAAAAAGCAACTCTTAAATTGTCATGCTTGCTTTTTTTTTTTTTTTTTTTTTTGAGACAGGTTCTCGCTCTGTTGCCCAGGCTGGAGTGGCAGTGGCAGTGGCAGTGGCATGGGCAACAGAGCAAGACCCTGCCTCCAGAAAGTATGAAAATTTAAGAGATGTTTTTTTTGCTGCAGCCACAACCTCCTGGGGTCAAGTGATCATTCCACCTCAGCCTCCCAGGTAGCTAGGACTACAGTCATGCGCCACGACACCTGGCTAATTTTGTTTATTTTTTATAGAGGCACAAGCTCCCTATGTTGGCCAGGCTGGTCTCGAGCTCCTGGACTCAAGCGATCCTCTCATCTCGGCCTCCCAAAGTGCTGGGATTACAGGCATGAGCCACCGTGCCCGGTCAGATTTCCATCGTTTTGATGTATTTCTTATTTTCTTCTGTCTGCAACTGGTCTTTGGCCGCTCACAGCCACTCCTCAGACATGTTCTCACTCCTCTGGTGGCTTGCTCAAGAGCGGTGAGGTTTTGGTATTTTTGGTTTGGGGTTTGAGGTAAGGGAAGTTTCAGAGAGGAAACAATGAAACGGTCCAGTGATTTCTTCTTAAGTCATATGCATAATTGACATTGACTCTGAAAAAAGAGAAATTCAATGCGAAGGTGGTCAGCTAGGCCCGCCCGGCTCTGACATAGGACTCTGAGGTAAGCCCCACCAGAAAACATGATTTGCAAAAGACACGACTGTGCTTGAAGGTAACTTCATTTTGAAAAGGGAAGAGAAATGTTGTTTGGGAGAAGAAGGGTTTTCTTGGGATTTTTTCCCATGGGATCCAGTGAGATACGTCAGGTCATCTCCTGAAGATCAATCACTATTGCTGATCTTCTGTGATTCCAAACCCATGCTGGGCCTTGTCCTAAACACTCAGACCCCCAGCCCAGCTCCGGCAACCAGCAGGACCCAGACATGCTGACATTGCCCCCATACGCCCAGCACCTTACCATTGAGAACTTCTTTCTGGTGCCCAATAGCCCTTGGATAGAATGAAAGATTAGGAGCCAGACATGCCAAAGAAAATCAATCTGCTCTTGGAGCTCAAGAAAAAAAGCAGGACTAATACATGGTCTCAGCATTTTCTTTCTTTTTTTTTTTTTTCTGCGACGGAGTCTCACTCTGTTGCCCAGGCTGGAGTGCGGTGGCATGATTCCAGCTCACTGCAACCTCCGCCTCCCAGATTCAAGCAATTCTCTGCCTCAGCCTCCCAAGTAGCTGGGATTACAGGCATCTGCCAGCAGGCCCGGCTAATTTTTGTATTTTTAGTAGAAATGGGGTTTCACCATTTTGGCCAGGCTGGTCCTGAACTCCTGACCTCGTGATCCCCACCGCCTCGGCCTCCCAAAGTGCTGGGATTACAGGCATGAGCCACTGTGTCCAGCCCAGTCTCTGCATTTTCAAACCCCTTTGCTTCCACTTTCTTTCCCCAGGCCTTTTTCCTTCTCTCTCCTTTATAGACCACCTTCTCTGTGCTTCACTTCCAGAAAAAAAGACCTCCTTCTATTCCTTGTCTGTGTTCAAGTCAAGCGAAGGAACATTTACCTAAGGCTAGGCCACATGGGGAATGCAGAAGTTGTGACAGAGCCCCTGCTCTCAAGGGGTATACAAACCCATTGGGGAGACATGGTGAACACAAGGGTAATACTCAGGGACAGCCAGGGCCAGCACTCATCCACTGATGTTTCCTGAGAATTCAGAAAGGCACTAGGGATGCTACTGGCATGGAGAAAGGAGCATGGGCTGGGTCTCCGCTCCCACTCAACTCTTTGGCCAGGTGCCCTTGGGCAGAACAAAAAATGCATATCCATGGGGGACAACCCTGGGAAAAATAATCACAATGTTCAGCCCATTTTATGAATGTAATCCACTGCAAATAGGCATGGTACAGAAGCTGCCTGACACAGTCCAAAAAGGGAGACATAAATGTTGGTTAGTTTTATCAGGAAGACTTTGTGTAAGAGGTGGGGTTTGGACCGGTGGGGTGAGCTAGAAGGTCACTACCCTGGATAAGGAGTGCATTCTGAAAAGAGAAAACTGTATAAGCAGAGACACAGGGATGAGAAGGAACAGGATGGCCGGGCGCGGTGGCTCATGCCTGTAATCCCAGCACTTTGGGAGGCCGAGGCGGGCGGATCACAAGGTCAGGAGATCAAGACCATCCTGGCTAACATGGTGAAACCTCGTCTCTACTAAAAATATCAAAAATTAGCTGGGCGTGGTGGCGGGCGCATGTAGTCCCAGCTACTCGGGAGGCTGAGGCAGGAGAATGGCGTGAACCCGGGAGGCAGAGCTTGCAGTGAGCTGAGATCGCACCACTGCACTCTAGCCTGGACGACAGAGCGAGACTCCATCTCACAAAAAAAAAAAAAAAAAAAAAAAAGGAGTTCCCATGCTTTTTCAAGCCCTTTCTTTCTCCTTTTTACTTTCATGTGACCTCATTTAATTGCATTAATTCATCGTTTGCATTAATTCATCTTTTTTTCCCCAGATCCCCTTAATAAGGATAGGCAGGCACTCCGTTTGCATGAGGAAGCCTGTTCTGATTCTGTCAGTGCTAAACCTCCTCAGTGGTAAATAAATCACACCAGTCTCCATAGTTACTAACCTTGATCGTGTCATGAGCTTCAGACACACAGTAAAAAATATACTTGAGGCTGCACAAACATCAGACTTCGTGAGCTTTTGAGGTGACCTCAACCCAGACAGCTCAGTTCCCAAAGTCTGATTTTTCGTAATTATTCTCTTGTTCTTTGTCTCTCAGTGTAACTGGTATTAAGAGACATGGCTGAAGTATAAGAGAAATCAACACCAATGTACTATGACCAGTAAGTAAACAGAATTAAGATTGACAAAAACATATCAATGAGTCATTCATCTGCCACCCAGCCTGAATAATATTTTTCAAATGGAATTTTGTTTTCAGATTTCAGCCCTAGTTAGCAAACTGATTAATGAAAACACAGCAGGTTGCCAGCATATTTATATGTTTGTTTCTTTCTCAGTCTAATACAAATAAAATAACAGTTATGGAAACCAGTAAGATTGTCCAGTGTCTTTCCATACTGGAATCTTTGCTACAATATCCCTGAAGGACGATTATCTAATTTCCACTGGAAAAGTTGACAACTTTGGGGGGCTGGCCCTTCCATTATCGGAAAGTTCTTGCCAGTGTTTTTGAAAAATTTTTATATTGAATTCACTGCCTTCTGCTTCACTACCATTGGCCCTTAGTTCACTTTCTACAAAAGCACAGGATGTCTTATGTCATTGAAAGAACACTAAATATAATTCAAGAGGCCTGCATTCTTGTCCCAACATCTCCACTTAACCACCATCCTACTTAGAGCAAAATGAAGTTAATCTCTTTGAGCTTGAGTTTCCTCCTTTATAAAACAGCTTACCGTTTTATAAAGGTCTACCTCACAAAGCCAATATAAGCATCAAATTAAATAATAAAAATAAAGGCGCTTTGGAAATTGTGAGATGCTACCTAAGTTAAAATGTTGCCATTATTCACACCTAAGTCCTCCAAGTATTTGAAGGCAGCTGGTATTCCCTTGGTCTTTCCTGGCATTATAGTTTCTAAATTTATTTTCCATGCTAATTGTCCTAATCTACAAGCCTCTCACTTGTCTTTGTCTCTTTTAAGCTTGGTTCTCAGAATAACACCCCAGAAATGGTAAAACTAGAAAGGAGAAGAGAGTGATTCTTTTCCCTGGCCCCCAGGCTGAGCACAGGATAACACTTCCATTACATTGCATTGGTGCATCTAACAGCCTTTACAGACTGTTGCTATATATTAAGTTAAGGTCAATTAATATCTCTCCTTTTTTTCCTTTTTTAATAGACTACATTTTAGAACAGCTTCAGGTTCACAGCAAAATTGACTGAAAGGTACAAAGATTTCCCATATTCCCCCTATCCCCACACATGCATTGCCTCTGTGTCTTTTTCACATGAGCTGCTATCAAACCAGGCCTACCCCTTCCTGAACCTGTTTAATGTTAGGGTTAACATCAATGAATACTTTTATATTTATGTGCATTGACTTCATCTCTGTTGAACTTCATATGATTGCTATCAGCTCATAATCAAGGAACAGAGGACTATTTCATTATCCTTCAGCTACTTCAGCTGACCTTTGTGTATGGAAAGGGGGTTTCTGTAGCAGTGTCTCACAGGAAGACTTCTGAGAAATCTCAAAATGTTCAGTAAACAAAAAACACTTGGAGAAAGATCTATGGATTGCAGAAGGAAATCTCCCTAACCAAAGTCTCATAACTAGCATTCCTGTGGTGAGAAAAGACTGTTTTAATAAGATTTTATTATTAAGATGATTGATCTAGTAAAGTATTTTTAGCATTAATAGATATCTCTGCTGCAAACATAATTGCAATTCCAAAGTTTGAAAATATTTTTCTATGTTCTGAACATTTAACATGGATTTTTAAAAATTAAAACACTTTTTCAATAAAACAACACCTATAGATGCGTATTATCCATCACGTGAAACAGAAGTATTGAGACTTTTTCCAAAGGAGGCACCAATTATTGAGTGTAAAAGCATGGGTGTGCCGGGCATGGTGGCTCACATCTTTAATCTCAGCACTTCAGGAGGCTGAGGCAGGAGGATTGCTTCAGGCCAGGAGTTTAAGAGTACCCTTGGCAACGTAGCAAGACCCTGTCTCTACAGGAAAAAAAAATTTTTTAATTATCCAGGCATGGTCATACCTGCCTGTAGTCCCAGCTACTTGAGAGCCTGAGGCAATAGGATGCCTTCAGCCCAGGAGTTAGAGACTGCAGTGAACTAGAATCACATCACTGCACTCCTCCCTGGGTGACAAAGCAAGACCTTGTCTCTAAAAAATAAATAAGTAAATAAAAGCATGGCTGGGAGTGCTGAAGGGACATGGAAAAAGGCTACTTTATTTTTGGCCTCTCCTAAGAAAGTTAGAGGTGGCCAGCAGATAGGACATGGTACCCTTCACCTTCAACAGGCAAGGATTAACCAGGCATCCTTTGGGTAAAAGTCACATAAACTCATTAACAATGGCTTATGCAAAAAGAGAATGCATTAATTATGCAGTAATTAAAATGTCCTGAAGTTAGTGTTAGCAATTCCATTTCTGCATATATCCCTAGACCTGCATGAAGATGTCAATGACAGCATTGTTCATGGTAGTCGGAGCTTTACTGAACCTAGGAGCTCTAGCCACAGTTGGGCCAATGGGTTATATACAGTAGTGTGGTGAGAACTTTAAAACACAGTACTGGGTTAAAAACAAAAAAAAAGAATCTTAGTGAAATCTATAATATAATGCCATTTGTATTACCTTTTTAATTTAAATTTATATTAAAAACACATATATACACAAAACGATGCCAATATATGTTATTGGGTATGTATGTATCTTTGAAAAATACATAAACACATTTAAGTGGTGCCTGTAGTAACAGGAGAATGAGAGAGGGAATGCTGGATGAAGAACAGTAATTTTTTAAGTGAATGTTGTCTTTTACACACCAAGTAGTGATGTATGTCAAGAACTGAGGAGTATGATTTACTCAGCTCCGTGCACCATTGGTCCAAGACTTCTAAAAATAAAAAATAAAGGCTGGGCGCGGTGGCTCACGCCTGTACTCCCAGCACTTTGGGAGGCCAAGGCAGACGGATCACGAGGTCAGGAGATCGAGACCATCCTGGCTAACACGGTGAAACCTCGTCTCTACTAAAAATATCAAACATTAGCTGGGCGTGTTGGCGGGTGCCTGTAATCCCAGCTACTCGGGGGGCTGAGGCAAGAGAATGGCGTGAACCCGGGAGGTGGAGCTTGCAGTGAGCCGAGATCCAGCTGCTGCACTCCAGCCTGGGGAAGTGAGACTCCGTCTCAATAAATAAATAATAAAAAAATTAAAAGAAAACAGATCCCTGAGTCTTTTTTTTTCCATCAATGTAATCATGAATCAGGTGGACTCTGTTTCTGTCTCTCAACTCACTTCTCTCTGAATTGGCTTCTTTCTCCAGCAAGCTCTTACCACGTGAAGGGAAAGACAATTCTGGACACAACAAGTATGCATAATGTTTACAGTTCATGATCTCAGGAAGAGAAAGACTTTTGCCATTCCTAACCCTCTACAGACAAGGACTCTGCTTGGCCCTGCTTGAGTCATGTGCCCACCTCCAGACCCATCACCGTCACCTGGAAACAGGTTGTCCTAATTGGTCAGCCTGCACATACACCTACTTTTGCAATGGGGGAGGCAAGGCCCTTTGATTGGCAGCCCCACTAGTGGATGCCACCTCCCAGCTACAGTAAGGCACCTTTAGCACAGTTCCAGGGTTAAAGAAGCCCTAAGCAGTCCCAATTCAGAGATAACTTTACTCTGACAAAAGCTTGTTTATTAATCAGGCAGGACCCTATAAAGTGCAGTCAGGAAATGGCTTTATTTTCTTTTTCTGCCGTGCTTGTGCTTCAGACTTGCTCTGTCCAATCTCTTTTTCCTGACCCCAGACAATATCTTGAGCAAACTCTGTAACTTTTCCAGTGCTTTTCACTTTTGTAATAATCTTATTTCAAGATACTACATGGGACCAGGTACAGTGGCTCACACCTGTAATCCCAGCACTTTGGGAGGCCGAGGCAGGCAGATCACTTGATGTCAGGAGTTTAAGACCAGCCTGGTCAACATAATGAACCTCATCTCTACTAAAAATACAAAAATTAGTCAGGCATGATGGCACACACCCGTAGTCCCAACTACTTGGGAGGCTGAGGCAGGAGGATTGTTTGAACCCAGGAGATGGAGGTTGCATTGAGCCGAGATGGCACCACTGCACTCCAGCCTGGGTGACAGAGTAAGGCTCCATCTCAACAAACAAACAAACAAACAAACAAAAAACAAAAAACAAAAAAAAGATACTATACAGGTTCAGCCTTCTTTAATATCCAAACTTCACTCTTTCTTCTTCTTCAAGTCTTCCTCTCTTACATTCCAGGTCAGGTCTTACTGGGTCCCAGTAACCTGCAGTAGGGAAGTGGAGCATGTTCTTATTCCAGTCACACCCCAGTTACTCTGTGGTTTGTTGTTCCTCCCCAGTGAGGGATAGAGGAGAAAGGAGAAGTAAAAAGCAAAAGGTTCTTCATTATTTAGCTGGTGCTGTTTTCTTTGGATGTTGGTATGTTCTGTGGGACCCATGTTCAAATGCCAGCTGACTCACTCTTGAAGGGAGCTTATGTGTGTTTTTTAGAAAAACCCTCAACCTCCACTGGGGATCTCCAACACTTTCCTTTTTTTCTCAGATGGAAAATATACTCCCCTGGTGACCACTAATGATTCTCCCCTAGCTCTGGGTCAGAAAATAATGCACCACACAGATAGTATTGTTGGGCAAGGTGTTTTAAAAATGGTTGTATCTTCCACAGTGTGCACTCTAGTCTTCAGAAAACACAACACTTACCCTGAGTACTGTAGAATTGTGGCTTACTCCCACTACAATCTTGGCTCTCCTCTTTGCTCTAAGGTGCAGCTCCAGCCAATCCCATGTCTAGACAAGGAACAGACTTCATACTCTATGCTCACAAACTTCAGGGAACAAGGTCAAATTCTCCTAAGACCACACAAAAAAATGTAAATGAATGTTCATAGCAGCATCTTCATAAGAGTCCCAAAGTGGAAAAAATGCAAATGTCCATCAACAGATGCATGGATGAGTAAAATATGGTATATCTTTACAATGAACTATTATTCCACTGTAAAAAAAAGTGAAATACTGATACACGCTACAACATAGGTGAGCCTTGAAAACATTATACTTTTGTTTTGTTTTGGTTTGGTTTTAATTATGGTTTTTGAGACACAGTTTCATTCTGTTGCCCAGTCTGGAGTACAGTGACATGATTTCGGCTCACTGCAACCTCTGCCTCCCGGGTTCAAGTGATTCTTGTGTCTCAGCCTCCCAAGTAACTGGGATTAAAGGTGCATGCCACCATTTTTGTATGCCAGGCTAATTTTTGTATTTTTAGTAGAGACAGGGTTTCGCTATGTTGGCCAGGCTGATCTCAAACTGCTGACCTCAAGTAATCTGCCCACCTTGGCCTTCCAAAGTGCTAGGATTACAGACATGAGCCACCACACCTGGGCTTGAAAACATTGTTCTCAGTGAAAGAAGCCAGACACAAAAAGTCACATGTTGTATGATTCCATTCAAATGAAACATCTAGAACAGACAAATCCATAGAAACAGCAGATTAGTGATTGGCAGTGGCTGGGAGGAGAAATGGGGGGTGACTGCTAATGAGTACAGGGATTCTTTTGGGGATGACAAACGTGTTCTAAAATTAGACAGTGGTGATGGCTGCACAACTCTGAATAGATTTTAAATCACTGAATCACACACCTTAAAAAGGTGAATCTGATGGTACGTGATTATATCTCAATAAAGTTGTTATTTAAAAAAAAATCTGCAAAAGAACTCTCTTGTCTGAGATGGGTGGGGGCCACAGGTTGTGGAAACTGTTTTGGGCACCTGTTAGCCAGACCTGATGTTAGTCTAGATCCTTTCCATGAGATGCGGAGGTACTTGTCCCCTTATCATGCTCTGCTTTGCAGTCTCAAGCTGAGACCACAGAAAATTACCCTCTAGCAATTTTACCTTGGTTCCTTTTCTGGGCTGTCAGGATAATCAAGATGCATATGGTATTCTCACCAACCTCCGTATGGGATACTCACTTCTCAAAATATTCAGCAAAGGAACAAATTCTTGCCCATACAGAAACTATCGCTATCTATTCAAAAGCCAGGGACACTCCACTGCTTTGTGATCTCAGAAATAAAGGCAGGATATTCACTAAAGAATAATGTTTTTTGTTTTGTTTTTTGTTTGTCTTGAAACAGGGTCTTGCCCTCAGACCGAGGCTGGAGTACAGTGGTTTGAACATGGCTCACTGCAGCCTCAACCTTCTGAGTTCAAGAGATCCTCCTGCCTCAGCCTCCCAAGTAGCTGGGACCACAGGCGTGCACCACCATGCCCAGCTAATTTTTTCTTTTTTTTTTTTCAGAGGCAGGGTCTCAACATGTTGCCCAGGCTGGTCTTAAACTCCTAGGCTCAAGCAATCCTCCCACCTCAGCTTCCCAAAGTGCTGGGATTACAGGCAAGAGCCCCTACCTTAAATAATGTTTTTCAAGGTACTATCTGAAGCCCTGTTACCTTAACTTCACACAGAGAGCTTGTTTCTTATTTTGCTTACTTTGTAGCATCATGCAAATGTTTCCTCTGTTGATAACAATAATTGTTATAGTTTTAGGAGAAATATGCTTTATTCACCCACGATTTTATTGAGGATCTACTATTGCCAGGGACTCAGATGATTAGGGTGAATAACATAGGCAGCCTCCTTGCCCACACTGAGCTTGTCTCACTTCCGCCATCAGTTAAGTACTGTTTTCCAATGGTTCTGCTATGCTTCTGTCAGAGATTGATTACCAGTGATCAGGAGAAGATGATGGCTCTAGCAGATATCAAAAAGTGGTAGGTCGGGCGCCGTGGCTCACGCCTGTAATCCCAACACTTTGGGAGGCCGAGGCAAGCAGATCACCTGAGGTCAGGAGTTCGAGACCAACCTGGCCAACATGGCGAAACTCTGTCTCTACTAAAAATAGAAAAATTAGCCGAGTGTGGTGGTGCATGCCTGTAATCCCAGCTACTTGGTAGGCTGAGACAGGAGAATCACTCGAACCCAGGAGGCGGAGGTTGCAGTGAGCCGAGATGGGACCAATGCACTCTAGCCTGGCTGACAGAGCAAGACACCATCTCAAAAAAAAAAAAAAAAAAAAGGTGGCATAATCACAGAAGCAGCTAAGCTATTTAAAATATAACATAGGCAAACACACACACACACACAGACACCATGATGTGAGCCCTAGAATTGAAATCCTTCTAGGTTATGTGCTGCAAAACAGATACTCTTCTGGTTACATCCTTCTTTGGCTAAATGTTAGCCACATAACATTGTAACACACAAAAAGGAAGAAAAAGCCTCCCCCTTTCCAAAATGTTACAGCAAGACTCTCATGCAAAGATTAATAAATCCATTGTTTCAAAAACATCGGGTGGGGTGCAGTGGCTCATGCCTGTAATCCCAGCACTTTGGGAGGGCGAGGCAAGCAGATCACGAGGTCAGGAGATCAAGACTATCCCCGCTAACACGGTGAAACTCCGTCTCTACTAAAAGCACAAAATTAGCTGGGTGAAGTGGCGGCCGCCTGTGATCCCAGTTACTCAGGAGACCGAGGCAGGAGAATCGCTTGAACCCAGGAGGCAGTGGTTGCGGTGAGCCGAGATCGTGCCATTGCACTCCAGCCTGGGCAACAGGAGCGAAACTTTGTCTCAAAAAAATAAATAAATAGGCCGGGAGCAGTGGCTCATGCCTGTAATCCCAGCACTTTGGGAGGCCGAAGCGGGCGGATCACAAGGTCGGGAGATTGAGACCATCCTGGCTAACACGGTGAAACCTCGTCTCTACTAAAAATACAAAAAATTAGCCGGGTGTGGTGGCAGGCACCTGTAGTCCCGGCTACTCAGGAGGCTAAGGCAGGAGAATTGCTTGAACCTGGGAGGTGGAGGTTGCAGTGAGCCGAGATTGTGCCACTGCACTTAAGCCTGGGCTACAGAGCCAGACTCTGTCTCAAATAAATAAATAACATCACAGTTTTGCATTTATAGAGTAGCTTTACTTTCAGAGTTTTGGTGCTATTTTTTTTTCCAAAAGTATTATTTTTTTATTCAGGGCCTAGCTCTGTCACCCAGGGTGAAAAGCAGTGGCACGATCTCAGCTCACTGTGACCTCCAGGTTCAAGTGATTCTCATGCCTCAGCCTCCCAAGTAGCTGGGACTATAGGCACGTGCCACCATGCCCAGCTAATTTTTGTAATTTTTTTTTTTTTTAAGACACAGTCTTGCTCTGTCTCCAGGCTGGAGTGCAGTCGTACGATTTCGGCTCACCGTAACCTCCACCTCCCAGGTTCAGGCAATTCTCCTGCCTCAGCCTCCCGAGTAGCTGGGACTACAGGTGCGTGCCACTACACCCAGCTAATTTTGTATTTTGTTTTTGTAGAGACGGGGTTTTACCATGTTGGCCAGGCTGGTCTGGAACTCCTGACAAGTGATCTGCCCAGCCTCCCAGAGTGCTGGAATTACAGGCATGAGCCACCACACCCAGCCACAAAATTCGAATGGTTACTATATTTCTATCAGCCAACATACAGTGAAACTTTGTAATTGATGTCCAGTTTGTTTCTCCCCTAAAAGGAAACACTTTTCCAACCTTTTCCCAACCTCTAATTCCTCCAAATTTGCACTGAACTGGTCCCAAAGCTGTCCCAGCTGGGACTTGCCACCTCACTCAACCTAGAATGAATATTCACTACACCTTTTGTTTGTTTGTTTTTTTGAGATGGAGTCTCACTCTGTCACCCAGACTGGAGTGCAGTGGTGCGATCTCAGCTCACTGCAAGCTCTGCCTCCCAAGTTCACACCATTCTCCCGCCTCAGCCTCCCAACTAGCTGGGACTACAGGTGCCCGCCACCACACCTGGCTAATTTTGTTTTTGTATTTTTAGTAGAGACGGGGTTTCACCGTGTTAGCCAGGATCTCCCGACCTTGTGATCTGCCTGCCTTGGCCTTCCAAAGTGCTGGGATTACAGATGTGAGCCACCGTGCCCAGCCCCACTACACCTTTTCAAGAGCAAATCATCTCTTCCTACATGCTCAGTTCCCTGGTTCTCCCAGCCCCCTCACTTCAGGATTGCCTATCTCAACTCTTGGGCCCAAAGGAGTCCTTGATGTGAGTGTGTGTGTGTGTGTGTGTGTGTGTGTGTACTTCTGTGTGTGTGTGTGTGTGTGTGTGTATTCCTCACCTATCAGCGGTTGAGTAGGGAAGGTTAATATGAATATGCCGGCTTAAACAAACATCACACAGACTCAGAACTGCAAGAAACCCTAAATTTAAGTCCCTCATTTTTCAGATGAAGAAACAAAGCTTGAGAGTTTAAGTAACTTGCCTAGAGGCATGCAGCTCATAGTCAACAACGCCAGAGCTGCAAGCAGTGCTTAATCATCAGGCTCTTCCTCCTATGCACTTTTTACTTTATTCTCCCACAATCTTTTTCCCTGCCATTATTTTCTCGTCTGTAGCATAGGCATAATAACAGTTCTGCCTACCTCACAGGACTGTTGTGAGAATTAATGAGATAGCATATATGAATGTGCTTTAAAACCCTTGCAAATGTCAGATGCTATTTAAAATGAAAATTATTTCGATCAAGAAAATAAATGCATACCATAAAAATGGATAATAAATCACAAATGAGAAATACTCTGCAGATGACTTCTAGCACTTATAATTAAGTTTCCAATTAACTCTAAGTACCAAATAGAACTGAAGGGAAAATAAGATCGTCTTCTGTGCATGGGGCTAAAAGAAATCAGCATGCGCCTAATGGAAATTAGGCAGCTACATGGGACTGAATGAAAATTAGGTTATGTTGCTAAGAGCTGGGGATTATATTATGCCCTTTATTCCCCTTCCACTATTGACTCACTTTCATGACACCCTCGTCAGTAATGCAACTTCGAGGTTATTATCGTAATTGAGATGATTAGGTTTTCTTATTCAAAACAAAAGTGGCCATGTTCAACAGAAGTGATTCCAGGGAAAGGGAAATTCTTTGGGCTGACATTGACTATAATCAAGTTTTGGAAAACTCCGAGAAGTAAAAATAGGAATGGTGGGGAGCAGAGGGGAAACCATGACGTCCTAGAATGTTTAGCCTGCATGCAAACACTAAGAATGAAAAATACGTAGAAAGTACTGAACTTGAAAGCCCAGAACCACAGTATTATGACTTCATTAGAGTAATTTAGCAGCAGTGGGACAGCACATGAAACTGATTATTCAGGGAGGACGGGTTATTCAGGAAGATAAATTAGTAAAGGAATTTCCTTAACTGGGGCATCAAGAAGAGAAAGTCTTCACATAGGAAACTTTGTAGAGAGCAAGCCCCTCCTAATTACACATATGGCTATGCATAGTTATTTATGATAAGCTACCCCCAACAGATACACCCAAACATTCCTTGGTAAACTAAACTAGGTCACTTGATGAGCAACACAGAGTGTCTCACTCAGCCGTTCTTCCTTGCCACCTTCTTTCTTGTCAGTAGGGAAGATTAAGTGGTGGCCGAACAAGGCATAAGTGAGATGATAAGATCAAACACCTGTCCCTAAGGGCCAGGCAGCCACATGGAAAACAGGCAATTAGAGACACCAGCCAGGTCAGGGCATAGTGTCAGGAGAGTAGAATAATAGGCAGATGGGTGGCTAAATGCATGGAAGAAAAATAGCAATGGGGACTCCTAGAGCAAGTAATATTCAGAAACCCAGGCAGCAAGCAGGCCTGGCAGCTGGTAGCTGGAACCCTGCTTGGAGAGTGGAGCTTACGGGCATGCAAATTAGCAAGATCAAGGCAGAACCTCTGTTCCAGAAGAACTGAGGACTTGACCAGAAATTTAGGCAGAGACTAAAGATGCAGGAAAATAGGACAAAGACTCATTTACTAGGACAAAGATACCAGGTAGAAATTTGACCCAAGGAATGAGACAAATGTTCATTAGTGGAAGTAAGTTGTGGGCTAAGGCCTGCACTAATGCTGCACTGATGCTGAGCAGCCAAACTCTGGCTTTTTTTTTTTTTTTTTAATTCTCCTGACTTCGGAAATGTCCCCATACCTTGGACAGACCTGAACAGAAGCAAAAGTTTGATATTGCTAATTGGACAAGGTACTCCTATAATACCCTGTATATAGCTCGATTGCTGCACTTATTTACTTAAATGTTTACATAGCACTTACTATGTTTCAGACACTCCCCTACATAGTCATAAATATTAACTCCTACAACAACCCTAGGTACAATGACAGTTGCCACTTGACAAATAAGGAAACTAGGCATAGAGAAGTGAAGTTATTATGAAGTCCAAGGTCACACAGCTAGTAAGTGGCTGAGTAAGAATTTGTACCCAAACACTCAGGCTCAAAGTCCATGTTTCTAACCATGACCCCACACCATTTTGCTACCTTTGTCATATCCACCTGTGTTTCTCTTCACCTCTAGAGTCTAATATATAGTCATGAGGTGCTATCAAGAATCTAGTCAGGCTAGGCATAGTGGGTAACATAGCAAAAAATAAAAATAAAGGGCTAGCCGCGGTGCTGTAATCCCACCACTTTGGGAGGCCGAGGTGGGTGGATCACTTGAGACCAGGAGTTTGAGACCAGCCTGGGAAACATGGTGAAACCCCATCTCTACCAAAAATACAAAAATTAGCTGAGTGCAGTGGCGCCCACCTGTAGTCCCAGCTATTCAGGAGGCTGAGGCGCAAGAATCACTTGAACCCAGGAGGCAGAGGTTCCAGTGAGCTGAGATAGTGCCACTGCACTCCAGCCTGGATGACAGAGCAAGACTCTGTCTCAAAAAAATAAAATAAAATATTAACTGGGAGTCTTAGTTACTTGGGAGCCTAAAGCAAAGTTGTGGGGAGTGGGGAGAGTTGGGGGGTCGCTTGAGCTCAGGAGGTTGAGGCTGCAGTGAGCTATGATGGTACCACTACTCTCCAGCATGAATGACAGAGTGAGACCCTGTCTCAAAAAAAAAAAGAAGAAGAAGAACTTTGGTCATATTTACATTCCCAATGCTTAGTGCAATGCCTAGTGTATAGTGGGCCTTAATACATGCCTAAGTGGTGAATTAATAAATGAATATGTGCTCCACATATTAAATCCACAAACTGCAGATCCTTGACAGAGGGAGCAACAAGGAGATACTGGATTCACTTAGCATAATCTGCAACACTGCATGACACAGCCAGCCTCCAAGACAAGAAGTGGCTACTGGAGCTGCACAGAGGAGGTGCTGGGGATATGGCTCATAGCAGAGGCTGTGGGTCAGTACCTTAAAAAAGTAGCTGAGGTCAGAGGAGGCTGGGGCACAGGAAATGGTTGTACAATGATCTGCTACTTATAAATGCCCCACCTCCCACTCACTGTGGCATTTTAGAGGTTCTGCCCCACACCTGAGAGAATATGTGGATTTAGTCAACCACAACTTGTGTACAGAAATGATTGTTGCCATAGATCATTGTCAGTAGTCTTACACGATTGGCACAGGACCACCTACGATTAAGAGTCAGCTATAATAGGCACAATTTGAATTCAACCATCAAAAGGACAGAATGATATTTAAATATAGAACTGATTTGCCTAACAGCTTAAAAGCCAGGAAAGTCTTTTTTGAGAAAAGTCTTCATAAATGTTTGAGCATTTAATGGGCCTTTTTTTTGGCTTTTATACACAGATACGGATACACCTAGAAGTAAAAGTGGACAGATGGCACATCCACACATTTCTCACTCCCTTATAAATCCTTCTCCAGCCAGAAGCATCAAGCTAGACAATGAGTCAGTAGTCAGTGAGCATCACTTGTAATTTCAAGAGAAGGAGAAAATAAAAACAGCTAATATTATTGAGCACTTACTTGTTCCTGAGTATTGATCTAAGTTCCTCACATATATTAACATTGAAACCTCACAACAATGCCCATTTCACAGAGGCAAAGAAAGAGGTATAGTGAACTTACGCAATTTGTCCAGGGTCGATTGCCAAACAATTGGTAGAGGCAGGATTCAAACTGAAGGCAGTTTGGCTCTAGAGACTGTGCTTAGAACTATAACTTGTATAAATAATCCACTTTGTACAGCTAATATTTGAAAGACTAGAATGAAAGACTGGCTTCTAACATCCACACTCAACTCACCTTCAGACACCCATTTGGAGCCCACTGTGTAGATAAATGCTCATGACCGTGCTAAATTACCAGGTTGCTTATCCTCTTGGTTTAATAGACGCAAAGGAGTGTAAGAATTTCAAAGGGCTTGCATACATGCAAATATAGTTTCAGGATAGAGCCTTTTCTGGTTAGAGGTGGAGCAAGAAAAGATCCAAGAAATGTTCTGTCCAGGATATGACAATGAACTTTGTTCCATGCTACTGAACCGCACAATCTACTACTTAAATCGACTGGTTTTTTTTTTCAAGGCACTACTACCATGCTTGCAGCTCTCCAACATACTTTCTTTAGGTCAAATTTATTCTGATTAGAGGATGTCCAGACAGGACTAGGAAGCTTTTGGCATTGAATTTCTACCTTGGCAAGAAACCAGAGTAAGAAAGTCCTCCTCAGCCAATGAGGACCAAGCCCATCCAAAGCAAACAGTTCCCATAACTGTTTACAGTAGAACAAACTTCTTCCTTTAGACAGGACGAATGTGGAAAATCACCCAGCTAGACATTGCTTGTTATTTTAACACTTTTGAAATTCAGAGAGGAGAGAGATCTAGCCCTCTAGTCAAAAGATCTAACTCTCTTCAAGAGGGAAGTGCGCAAATTTGGAAGCCCATCAAGTATCCTATCAGAGGCTATAAAGATTTCACTGTTTCTGTAACAGCCCCTTTTTATATAATCACTTAAACTGTGATTATGTTTAATATCTCTACCTAAATAGCACCTCCTGGCCCGGCTTTGAAATTCTCCTTGCTTTTCTGTGATACTACCCAGAGGAATTTCATAATTTGCCTGTGTTCCTCTGGCTTGGCATTGGCAAAACCAGCAAGACCATGGTGAGTTGCCTCCTATTCATTGGTTTCCACTGCTGGATTATCCTAGTTTTATTAGTTATAAATAAAGACTATTACGTTATTGCTGAAATATTCTGAGACAACCAGTAATGTATGCTAAATTATTTAAGAAAACATTTGTGGCTGGGCACGGTGGCTCACGCCTGTAATCCCAACACTTTGGGAGGCTGAAGCGGGCAGATCACGAGGTCAGGAGATTGAGACCATCCTGGCCAAGATGGTGACTCCCCGTCTCTACTAAAAATACAAAAATTAGCTGGGTGTGGTGGCACGTGCCTGTAATCTCAGCTAGTCAGGAGGCTGAGGCAGGAGAATTGCTTGAACCAGGGAGTCGGAGGTTGCAGTAAGCCCAGATCGCGCCACTGCACTCCAGCCTGGTGACAGAGCGAGACTCCGTCTCAAAAAAAAGCGAAAGAAAAGAAAAAGAAAAAAGAAAATATTTGCAAGTATTCACAGACCGAAGTCTGAAATGTGGTGAGCCAAAACAAGACATCTGGATGATATGCAAGTTAGTTGACAGTTTTATGAACCACAGGGTAGGGTCAGGTTAAGGACTATGGCATACGCCAGTACATGAATGATTTGAATGAAGCTACATGGATTTGAACTGTTGTTGTTGTTTTCTAGTTTCCCAAGTATCAGGAATCCCTGATGCAACCTTGACTGAGCCTTTACTATTTTAAATTCTGAAATGACTAGCCCAATTAAAATAATTGACAGTATTAAATGTATTGGGAATAGCAAAACAATATTCAATACTTATTTATAATTCAATTCAATTTATAATTTCTGGACCTGTTCCAGAATTGAAAAAGACAGTATACAAAGAGAAAAATTACCCACTTCAATCTCCATGTTGCTACATTATTAAAAGGGAGTGGGTTGGGGGGATGGGGCGGGCAGCATGAAACAGCAATCTTTAAGAGGGTTTTACTTATTCAGGTTTAAAATAAGGTAGGCATTCATTCAGATGCCTTACAGGGGTTAATTCATGATTACTTGAGATCCTGACAGCTAACGATCCAGGAAAAAGGAAGGATCATGGGAACCCCTGGCTTTACCCTTCTGTGTGTTCAGCTAAGAATGAGAAGGCCCTTTGGCATCATGTGCCTTTCTTTGCCCCGAAAAGCTGAGAGTAGACATCAGCTCTGCTGTCAGATTGGCTAATGAATGTGCTGGCATGCGCCAGTGGCAGCTGCACGTGCTTCCAGAAAACTCTCCTCCCCACAAATCAGCCTTTGTATTCCTAATCCTGGGAATCAGGGTGCCATGCATGGAACTACAGCCGCTGCTATATCAGTCTAGGAAATAAACAGCACTAACTCCAGGCCACAGAGCTGTCAATCTGTTTATAATTCCAAAAAGCCCTAAAAATGCTAATATATACCTTTTTAGATGTCTTTTACATAAGGATTGGTTGAAATGTAAAAAATGTACTTTACTCAGATGTTGCTGCTCTATTCTTTTTAAAGTAAAGAAGATAAATTGTAAAGAGCCTTGGCTATTTTTTTTAAATAGAATTTTTAGTTTCTTTTTGTTGTTGTGTTTTTATTTGTTTGTTTGTTTGAGACAGAGTCTCACTCTTTTGCCCAGGCTGGAGTGAACTGGCACGATCTTGGCTCACTGCAACCTCCGCCCCAGGGGTTCAAGTGATTCTCCTGCCTGAGCCTCCCGAGTAGCCGAGATTATAGGCATCCACCACCATGCCTGGCTAATTTTTGTATTTTCAGTAGAGACAGGATTTCGCCATGTTGGCCAGGATGGTCTCAAACTCCTGACCTCAGGTGATCCACCTGCCTCAGCCTCCCAAAATGCTGGGATCACAGGCATGAGCCACCACACCCAGCCTGGGAATTTTTAGTTTCAAACAGAGGGGAAGCATTAAAAAAAAAAGTTTACATAAATGCTAGATTATTTACCATTACAAACAGAATTGCAGGCATATGCAATGAGTAGTTAATACTCTAATGTCTATTATTGGCATGCTTTTATTTTGTTTTGTTAAAACAGTCCATACTTGTCTCTATTCACTATTGAAGGAAATAAAAATATTTCACCCCAGAATATATTTATTTGACATACTTTGTGATGGCTCTTCAGAGGGCCTGCAAAGAGAAGTAGCCCTGGAAAGCTGTCTATTGTCAGGAAAATATGCATCTGGAAGCTATACATTGCTGCAGCCAGGCTTTCTCTGAGACTTTCCCTTGGCTGGATCTAGGAAAGATTAACTGGAAGTCTGACACCTTCAAAGGTCTGAAGGAATCATTTACCTTCTATTCTCTCTGAGGGCTGCTACCCGGCAGGCAAGACTACCTTTGCTAGCCAGGCCTCCTCTTCTCCCTCTCCCATAACCTGTTTTGTCACCATAAACTGTTTTGTCACAATCCAAGCCCCCCCCTTCTTTGTGTAAGCTCAAGATGGCTTATAAGCTTCTGAACCCCACTGAGGGATCAGGGTAATCACTCTGCGGTTCTTGTCTGTGTACACATTAATACATTTATATGCCTTTTCTCCAATTAATCTGCTTTTGTGAGTTGATTTTTCAGCCAACCTTCAGAGGGCAAAGGGGAAGCTTTCCCTTGGCCCCTACACTGCCACTTCATACCCTTATTTATAGAGCACTGTCATAATCATTCTATTAATCATATGATTAGTACAAGTCTTCGACACTGTACATGATATTTTTAGACAATGCTGAACAGTGATTGCAATCTTTTAGTAATTTCATAAATGTAGAGACCTCAGCTTTCTCTCTTGGGCTACATTAAATACATTCACCACATCAAACCAGAGCCACAAATTTCAGTTTGAGTCAGTTGTGTTTGTTTTCTGTTTATTTATAAACCCTGCCTCTTCCCAGAAAGGATTTGAGGCTGTTCTTACAGTTGGTTAGTCACACCAGTCCTTCTGAGACCAACTGTTGGTAGAAACCAGTATTTCTGGTTCCTTACTGCCTGTGGAACCTACGAGTGCTGATTCATAGCAATCAGGGACCTGTGCAGACTGGCTCAGATAACCACCAGTAGAACTGGCCATGCTGGCTTGCTTCATCAGCCAAGAGAAGTGCCAGCCAAGGTCCTGAACTCTACAAAGCCTATGTCTTTCTTATCAGTATAGAATAGGCAATCACTTCCAACTCTATCTCTTACTCTACTAGGAAAAAATATACCCAACTTAAGAAGAATTTCTCAAAGACATCATGTCCTGGGCTCTGACTGTCAAATGTCAACATCGTCAACATAATCACACTGCTGCCAACTCATGGGATACATATGTGTGTTCTGTCATCAGTGTACTTTCTTCTCATACAGACAGCTTTCCAAATCTAGCCTTCCTATTCACATATTTATACTGTTCATTAGGAGCCAGAGATTTTCAAGGGAATACCCTGCTAAATGGCTGGATGGGTGATCAATGTTTTGATAGCCCAGAGACACAATGTTCCTTCTGCGTTATGAACTTGTCACCCCTCATTTAACTCTGGACAGTTCTTATATAAGGGCTTTCAGAGGCAGGGAGAAAGATCTGATTCCACAGAAACTGGGGTTGATGATCCAAGTGGCAATTTTCTCCCTTGAGTAAGAATTAAATCAACACACTAGTTGAAACATGACCAGTCCTGGCAAATTTTGATTTTCTAAAAACACACCATTGCTTGAAACCAACACCAGAGTAGTTTCAAGGTTTTCAAGGAAAACTCTTCCCCTCAAAATGATATTATTTCTTTTCTTCCATCAGAAAGTCTTTCATGAAAGAAAGCAACTCCATGTTCCCAGATCTAGTACAATATCTAGTACATAACTCATAGTGGTATCAATAAATGTTAAAGGAATGGATGAATGAAAGAATTCATGAATAAATGAGTCTCCTCCTCTTTAACTCCCCCCGCCCCTGCTTTTATCTCCAATCTCTTGAACAACGCTTCTTTAACTCTAAATACCTCAAACTGTTAATCCACCAGGTAAAGGCTTTTATAGAAGAGTTGTCAAATTGAAAGAGTGAAAACATCTTCAGGAATAAGATAAAGTCAAACTGTCTCACTGTAATCCCTAACAGTGTTGGAACATTCCACTTTCAGTGTTAATTTCAATAAATAAAAATAATTATCTAATTTTATCTCAATGATGTTTCCATTGTTTATTTTTTTACATATAGTATCCATGTGGAGTGTTTACTCTTACATATATCAGGGATTGTTTATCTAATTATCTGATCTCTATCAGCACTTAAGGTTGTAAAAAAAAAATAGTGTAGCAATATTGTCTATCTACATGTCTTCAATCCAAAGAAGAAAAATAGTCTTAAAATAGAAGACAGTATTTACAATGGTGGTGAACTTCAATAAACAGATTATATATTCTCTCTGTGTATTTATTCCTACCCAAAAGATCTCTCTCTATCCCCACAGGACTGATTTGAGGTCAAAAGGGGGCATGCATGCAAATGGCTTTGAGAGGTACAAAGCAATACAGAAATAAAATATATCGTGGGCATGTCGCTAGTTCCAACTACTAGCAGGCTGAGACAGGAGGACTGCTTGAGTCCAAGAGTTGGAGGCTAGCCTGGGAAACATAGCAAAATCCTGTCACTAAAAAATAATAACTTTTAAAAAAAGAAATAAAATATATTATTGTTGCAATCTTCTTTTGTTTCCATAATCATCAGCTAGTTAATTCTACTGAAGAAGGCAAGAGGAAGGTTTGTCATACAATTTTGTAGCGATAGTCCCATTGTTTCATCTGTAACCACTCAAAAACACCATCAAAGACAAATGCTTGGAGTCCAAAGAGAAGTGACACCAACCCAAATGCCCATCAATGATAGACTGGATAAAGAATGTGGTATATGCCATGGAATACTATGCAGCCATAAAAAGGAATGAGATCATATCCTTTGCAGGGACATGGATGAAGCTGGAAGCCATCATCCTCAGCAAACTGACACAGGAACAGAAAACCAAACACCGCATGTTCTCACTCATAAGTGGGAGTTGAACAATGAGAATACATGGACAGAGAGAGGAGAACAGCACACATCAGGGTCTGTTGAGGGATAGCGGGTGAGGGGTGAGGGGAGGGAACTTAGAGGACAGGTCAATAGATGCAGCAAATCACCATGGCACGTGTATACCTATGTAACAAACTTGCGCGTTCTGCACATGTATCCCTTTTTTTTGTTTCAGAAGAACTAAAGAAAAAAAAGAAAGACAAAAATTTTTTAAAAAAGAGAAGTGTACAAGTCAGGAGGAGAAATTGGCACTCCAAGACAGAAAAATCAATGACTAAAGTAGCTTCATACTAAACCCTTTGAAGTGGAATCTTCTCTGCTATGTTTCCTGATCTACTCCAGACATCCACCACTTCTGGTGCCTAGTGATACCTGGTTGCTATTCCCTTGTATTAAAAAGTGTGAATAGCAAGTGTGAAGACCAGCCACTCCATTATCTCAAAGAAGGGTTTACATTAGCATGTGTGAGAAAGACTCAGGTAACCTCCCCAAATGGCAAGTGTGTGTGTGTGTGTGTGTGTGTGTGTGTGTGTGTGTGTGTGTGTTTGAGACAGAGTTTCACCCTCTCGCCCAGGCAGGAGTGCAATGGCACCATCTCGGCTCACTGCAACCTACGCCTCCCAGGTTCATGTGATTCTCCTGCCTCAGCCTCCTAGGTAGCTGGGATTACAGGCACACACCACCACACCCGGCTAATGTTTTGTATTTTTAGTAGAGACGGGGTTTCACTATGTTGGCCAGACTGGTCTCGAACTCCTGACCGCATGAACCGCCCACCTTGGCCTCCCAAACTGCTGTAATTACAGGCGTGAACCCGGCCGGCAATGTTTTAATGCTTAATCCATTATGGAATAATTTTCTCTTGCTGTTGCATTATTTCCCTGACATTAAAGCACAGAGCAGTTGTCCTAACAGGAAAAACTGTGATCTTTGTGTCATTTGTTTTGTATACTTCAGCAAATGTTTAATAATTAATCTAGTTTTTACCCCTATCAATCGCTCTCTTATCAATCTCCTTCTAATCACTAAATCCCATTTTCTTCTGTCCTCATCCTCCTTCGAGCTTTCAATTGCAGTCCTCAGTGTTGCTCAACTTCTTCCTGAAATCCTCTCTTAAATGCTACACTGCACTGCACGCTCCAGTTTCTCCTACTACTCAAACCATTAATTCAGGATCTTATCACTTCCCCTTCTTTCTCCTGTGCTCTAAAATTGGGTTTTCCCTAAAGGTTTCCAGTGCTCTTTTTCTCTCTATGTAGTTTTTCTTGGTGATCTCACCCCTTCCACAACTTCTACTATTATCCCTGCATGTCTATCCACATTCCCAGTCTCAAATTCTCTCTAGACAAGATTTCACCTACCTCCAAGACGTTATACCCACCATATTTCACTGAAATCCCAAACTTGACGCATTCACAGGCAAACATGCTCTTCCTCCCAACTTCCCTATTTCCATGAATGGGGCCACCATCTTCCCAGCACCCAGATTTTTGAAGACACACACCTATTTCCTCCATTTAACATTTCCTGGACATTCTTCTGCTTCAAGTCCCCATGGTGTATGGCCTGCAGGCTCACTTATGGTGTGGAACATATCTACCTGGCATGGCACATAGCCTCCCTTGTAATCCAGTCAACTGCCTTTATCTTATGTTCCCTACCAGATATAAGCTCCTTAAGAAAAAGACTATGCTCTACTCAATTTCGTACACCCTGCAGAGTCTAGCTCAGAGTCTCATACATGGTACGTATATTTAGTTAAAAAGGTAAAAGTAAGCATTATTTGATATATTTATTCACATCTCCCACTATCGTTTGCCATCTACAATCAGCAACACTGAGCTAAAAATTATACGTCACCTCAATACTCTGGGGAAAACAACCAAAGAAACATTCTAAGTAATACTATAACATGCGGAGTGCTCGCTACACTGAATTTATTGTGTGTGTGTGTGGCCCACATTTTCAGTCATTGGTACCACATGAAAAAAAAATCTATATTTGGAAGGGACACAAATGTGTGGGGAAAAATTCATGTCTCGTGTAAAAGCTATTCCCTTGGTTTGCTTCCTCAGTAGTGGAATCCCTTCTCAAGTTCCTTATAATCTGCTTGTCCTGTTATTACTCCCACACTTGGTTATGGAAGCTCTGTGTTGGTAAAAGCTACGTTCAAAACACTGCAACTTTAATTCAGTGAAAGCATGCACCTCTGAGGATGAATCATCATTGCAATTGTGCACCCGCTCCTGCTTTCGCTGATCGCTTCACCAGCCTGGGGTTGGTGTTGCCTGGACTTAACTAAGCACACGCAACAATTTTTGAGTTTAAGGGTTTTTGTTTTTTTTTATTTTGTTTGATAACAGAACCAGCACCATCATGGAAGGCAACATGGTCAAGCTCTCTGATTTCCTGGTCTGCATTCTAGTGCCAAATGCATGGCTTTAAATCCACCACGAGGAAGACAGCAGATGTTGGGTTTATCGTAGCCTGGGGAACTGAAAAGAAGCTTGCACTAACCTGCATTCTGCCACAGACAGAGGTTTAAGAAAATTTCAACAAATCATTCCACTGGTCTCATATTGCTGAAAGGGATATAAACATATAAATGAACAGAGCTCTACCTCTGTCCTGAGCATTTTTCCAGATTTATCATTTTTATTTTTATTTTATTTTATTTATTTATTTATTTATTTTGAGATGAGGTCTCGTTCTGTTGTCCAAGCTGGAGTGCCATGGTGCAATCTCAGCTCACTGCAACCTCCGCCTCCTGGGTTCAAGCGATTCTCCTGCCTCAGCCTCCCAAGTAGCAGAGATTACAGGCACATGCCACCATGCCTGGCTAATTTTTGTATTTTTAGTAGAGATGGGGTTTCGCCATGTTGGCCAGGCTGGTCTTGAACTCCTGACCTCAGGTGATCCACCTGCTTCGGCCACCCAAAGTGCTGGGATTACAGGTGTGAACCACCACGCCCGGCCCAGATTTATCATCTCATGGGGAAAAAATATTCTCTCCATGCTTGAGGCATTTTCAAGAGAACTTCATCCAGCTCACAGTATTTTTTGGTTTGTTTGTTTGTTTGTTTAAATGTCTGGCTAGTGGACAATATAAAGCTAACACATATTACCAACACCATTCATCTGTGAAAAGTTTAATTTGTTAAGTCAATCAGGAACGCTACAGCTACAGAATTAAAAATGCATTTACAACCCAAATTTGGTTCACATTTAATGGCGGACAACATCTCAAGCTAATTTAGTGTTTGGACATTCGCCAATTGTTTAACATTGGCTGAAAATAGATTTCGCCCTGAAAGAGTGCTACCAGATTGTTTTTAATAAAGCAAAGTTCAGGTGGTATCACTCATCTGTTTACTGCTCCTCACTTCCTACTGCCTGAAGTCTCATTACTTCTCCCACCTTATTTCCAACCCTTCCCCTTCACACTCCCACATCCAGACAACTAAACAATTCACTCCTCTCCCTCATGGATTTTTGCTTCTACAGATTTGATATATGTGATGCGCCATTCTCTGATCTCACTCTCTAATCTCAGTTCAAACGTTACCTCCTCCAGGGACCATTCCTTGACTCTCCTTCTGACCAAATATTCTCTTTATCTGTACCTCTCAAACAATTTTTATCACTTTCTACTTTCTATTTTTCTTGTTATTTCTGCCTATCTTGATTTCCTCTGCTAACGTGTAAACTCCCTCAGGGCAAAATCCAAAGAGAATTCATTTTTGTATTTTTAGAGCATATGCCACAATTTTTACATATAGAAGTCATTTAAAATTTTTTTTAATTTTAATTTATTTATTTATTTATTTATTTATTTATTTATTGAGGACTCTTGCTCTGCTGCCCAGGCTGGAGTGCAGTGGCGTGATCTCGGCTCACTGCAAACTCCCCCTCCTGGGTTCAAGCAATTATCATGCCTCAGCCTCCCAAGTAGCTGGGATTACAGGCTCGCGCCACTATACCTGGCTAATTTTTGTATTTTTAGTAGAGACAGGCTCTCACCATGTTGGCCAGGCTGGCTCGAACTCCGGACGTAAGGTGATCTGCCCGCCTCAGCCTCTCAAAGTGTTGAGATTACAGGGACAAGCCACTGTGCCAGGCCAATATATCAGTTAATATACCTTGGTATAAAAATATAGGCTGGGCGCTGTGGCTCATGCCTGTAATCCCAACACTTTGGGAGGGCAAGGCAGGTGGATCACCTAAGGTCAGGAGTTCGAGACCAGCTGGCTAACATGGTGAAACCCCATCTCTACCAAAAATACAAAAATTAGCTGGGTGTGGTGGCAGGTGCCTGTAATCCCAGCTACTCAGGAGGCTGAGACAGGAGAGTCACTGAGACAGGAGAACCCAGGAGGCTGATGTTGCAGTGAGCCAAGATCGCACCACTGCACTCCAGCCTGGATGACAGAGCAAGACTCTGTCTCAAAAAAACACACACACAAAAACACAAAAAAACCCAAATGCTTCCAAAGTTATAAATGAGAGTAGAAAGTCCTTGGTGGTTTGACTATACCTTGCAGGTCAACCATCTGTGAGTCCTCCCCTTGGGTTAACCATCATTGATACTATTAGCGTGGTCTCTTAAGACTTTCTTTCCTTATAAGGAGCCACTTCATGTTTGTCCTGTGCCAGGCTTCTTCATTGTCAGGGGCTGTTCTTCTGCGTACAGTGGCGTTACTACATAATTTCCATAAGCTGTGTCATAAACAAGCACGAGGCACGTGTTTTATAAGTTGCCATAAAAAAAGAGCAAAAAAGGCCGGGCAAGGTGGCTCATGCTTGTAATCCTAGCACTTTGGGAGGCCAAGGCTGGTGGATCAACTGAGGTCAGGAGTTCGAGACCAGCCTGGCCAGCATGGTGAAACCCCATCTCTAGTAATAATACAAAAATTAGCTGGGCGTGGTGGTGTACTCCTTTAATCCCAGCTACTTGGGAAGCTAAGGCAGAAGAATCGCTTGAACCCAGGAGGCAGAGGTTGCAATGAGCCGAGATTGTGCCATTGCACTCCAGCCTGGGGAACAAGAGCAAAACTCCATCTCAAAAAAAAAAAAAAAAAAAAGAGAGCAAAAAACTACCAGTAAGCAGCAATTTCATTCATTCTTTCTAAGGCAATGCCAGCAATCTTGAAGCAGCCAGTACACAGTCACTAATGTCTTGCCAACTCTTCTTACATTGTCACCTCCACTGATATCAAAGCCAGGCATCATCATTGTCTCCTATTTATTCAGTTGCCACAAAATGCTTGGCATCATACTAAGCACTGGAGTAAAAATGTACCTGAATTGTCAAGAGTACAGTGCTTAAGTTCTTGGAATTTCTTTCTTAGACCATGTTGGCATGAACTGTCATTAATAAGTTACAAGACTGCATTTTCATAAATGAATTAGAAGTTAAATTTCTAAAGCAGTTACCTTGGAAAGCAGTGTCATTCCAATGATGTTGGCATTGCCTAAAGTTATTTCAGAATTCTACTTCTGATTTGTTTTTAAAGTCAATTTATGTGCTATATTCATCATAATCTTTTATTATATTTTATTTTACTATTTTACTTATTTATTTGAGACAGAGTCTCACTCTGTTGCCCAGGCTGGAGTGCAGTGACCAATCTTGGCTCACTGCAAACCTCCGCTTCCCAAGCGATTCTTCCCAGCCTCCCTAGTAGCTGGGACTACTGACACATGCCACCATACTGGGCTAATGTTTTGTATTTTTAGTAGAGATGAGGTTTTGCCATGTTGGCCTGGCTGGTCTCGAACTCCTGGCCTCAAGTGACCCTCCCAAAATGTTGGGATTACAGGCATGGACCACCATGCCCCGCTTTTATTCTATTTTATAGTTATCAGATTTTGTTTTGTTTTAACCTCAAGTGGAAGTATCCAACTTGACTATCAAGACTTGACTTCAAATGACCATTGGTGTTTTTTGTTTTGTTTGTTGTTGTTGTTGTTTGTTTGTTTGTTTTCAGACGCAGTCTCGCTCTGTCGCCCAGGCTGGAGTGCAGTGGTGCGATCGCAGCTCACTGCAAGCTCCACCTCCCAGGTTCATGCCATTCTCCTGCCTCAGCCTCCTGAGTAGCTGGGACTACAGGCACCTGCCACCACGCCCAGCTAATTTTTTTGTATTTTTAGTAGAGATGGGCTTTCACTGTGTTAGCCAGGATGGTCTCAATCGCCTGACCTCGTGATCCACCTGCCTGACCTCGTGATCCACCTGCTTTGGCTTCCCAAAGTGCTAGGATTACAGGCAGGAGCCACCGTGCCCGGCATAGGCTTTTCAACTGCTTAGTTGAGCTAATCGAATATGAGGACCCTACCTAGGATGGTAAAAAACATCTAAGTTATAAATAGGCTAAAGAAAGTCCTACAAGTAATACACTGCAATTGGAAATGTGCAGAATTATTATTATAAATATTATCTTTTTATAAATAATGCCTTAAGAAAACATCTTCAGTATTATAAAAGTAATTAATTATTTGATGAGGCATTCTAAATCTAATTATAAGAGTTCCATTTACCGTGCACCTATTCTGTACCCATAGTGCATACTTGCAGGTAGCTATTAAGTGTCCTCATGTGACATGAGGAGCAAATGAAACTCAGAGGCACACAGCTGGCAAATGGCAAGGTCTATGATGTGTGTCTAGACCCAACATGAAGGTCTTCCCTGATTGCTGTAAATCTATCTCAGTCCTCAAGAATAATAGGGGTGGTAACAGGGGAAAGAGGGAAAGAAGAGAAGGAAGGGAATAAAGGAAGGAAAAGAAGAATGGGGAAAGGAGGAAAGGAAGGAATGAAGACAAGAAAAGAAGGGAGGGAGAGAGGCTGCAACATCGTATCCGTTGTAGATACCCTATCCATGGTTTGAATTATTCCATCTGTGAACCCACAACCCATATACATGCTATTAGTTTTTGTTTTTGCTGAGCCCAAGGGAGTATAGAGCCATTTGCCAAAGTGAGAAGATGGCTGTGGCTGGTATAAAACAATGCTAGCTCCATACATTATGGTCCCTGTCTTCCGGGAGTTTATATTCTGTGAGAGAACATGTCTGTTTTCTCACTAACATGTCCCCAGCATTTGGCACAGTGCCCATCACAAATTGTGCCCAATAAATACTTGTCGCTGAAAGCATATTGAACGGAGTATTTTGAGGGGAATATGAATAAACTTAGGGAAGTGGCTGCTTGAAACAATCAAAGAACAACAGAAACTGCTCCTATCCAAAAGAACCTCTCAGAGACATTCTACCACTCAGAGGCCTGATTGTGTAATATATTTCTCTTTGAAGAGGTAAGCAGAGCAGTCATTCACACCTCGGTGTCAATGCGTTTATTAGATAAGCATCTTTGTGAGGGGGACGAGGGAATAAAAGAGAAGGGGATTAGAAAGTGAAACTAAGAAAAAGTAGACAGCGGCCAGTAGAGAGGGGCTCACGCCTGTAATCCCAGCAGTTTGGGAGGCCAAAGTGGGTGAATCACCTGAGGTCAGGAGTTTGAGACCAGCCTGGCCAACATGGTGAAACCCCATCTCTACTAAAAATACAAAAATTGGCCAGGCGTGGTACCGCGCACCTGTAATCCCAACTACTAGCAGGGGCTGAGGCAGAAGAATCGCTCGAACCTGGGAGGCGGAGGTTTCAGTGAGCCGAGAAGGTGCCAGTGCACTCCAGCTTGCATTCATTATGATAACCTATTTCCTCTTGCTCCTCCAACTTTGTCCCCACTCCACTTTCAACTTTTAATGAGTCCTCTCCTTGGGCAAGACAGTCCTTTATTAAACAAGACTGAAAAGCATCTGGTAGCATCATCAATGCTACAGTAAGAAGGTATCTCTTTTCTTGGTCAATAGCTACCTTTATCTGGACCAGATGCACACAGATCAGATAATACTACCAATAATCAGACCAATACAGTTTGTGAACAAAATGGACAAAACCAGAGATAACTAACTGGGACCTGTTGTTTACTATCTTTTTTTTTTTTTTAGGGTTGGCCTTGAGTACAGATTTAGAGAAAGGTAATTGAACACCAAGCACTAACGTGCTTCTTAACCTAGGTTTTCTAATCTAATCTTAGCCTAGGTTTTGAATCACCATTCACTGCTTACTATTTTAACCATCGTTTTAATTGTATAACAACATCTATGTCTGAAGCCGTGATTCTTAACAAATTATTTTCCCATGTACACAGAATATAGATATATATATAGTTATTGGTAATAGAAAACATGGTACAAGATAATTTGCATTCTTTAAAATAGCAATTGGTTTGTCCCAAGGCTTCAGTGGTATCATGTGAAAAGTTCATAAATCTTCAAGTCCTAGTCCTCTATTTATTCTGTGTTTGACCATGAACACATCATTTCTCCTGGTCTGTAAAGTTTCATAATAACGCATACCTCACAGAGTTGTTTGGAAACAGAAGGTGATAACATGTGGGTAACTGCTTTGAAAACTATAGAGCTCTGCACAAATATAAGGTACCATTACTATTTGAAGAAGCGGAATTATAGGAGTTAGATAAATTTGGGTTCCAATCCTGGTTCCACCACTTTAGAGCTGTGTGACATTAAGCAGTTATATTATCCAAATTTTCTTCATTCGTTATAGAGATAATAATGTATCTCACAGGTATGTTGTGAGGTTAAAACAAGAAAATGTTCCTGGAATATTGCCTGGAACATGGTAGGTGCTCAGTAAATGTTAGCTCCCTTTCCTTTCCCTGCTGCAGTTTTAAATGCCTGTATTTTCCTTAAATCAGAATAACTTCCACCATTCTTTGTTGCCCAAGGATAGCCAAAATGAGGCATGACAATAAAATGAAACAACAAAGCAACAAGTCAACAATATGTTAAATATGATATAAGCAATATGATAAATCATGGTATTTTCCCATCCAGTCATACTCTCTAATTTTACTGGAACCATCAACAGCAAATTGCATCAAATGCCAAATAAACAGCCAAGGAGACAGCAAGAGGCAACCACAACAAGGTAAACCAACTTGGAAAATTACCATAAAAAATATGAGGGATAACCCTGGAAACATCCTTATTTATACTCAAAAGATAATTGCTAATTGCTTAAGCAAACAAGTTATGTTCAATTAGATTCTTGAAATTCTACCAGACAAATGGTTTTGGCTTCCTAAGACCTTGTGATGCCCTGAGCTCACACTTTGTGATGCACAAAGCCATTGTGCAATTTATCTGGGATTGCTTTTTACCACAAATAGTCCAAAAAATGCATAATATTGCATACTCTGCCACTAAGCTCTATTGTGTGTTATTTCCTAATTAAGGATGCAGACAGGCTGTGCAGTAATGATGATTGATGTCTGCTGCATGTCTTAGTGAGGAGCAAGGTGAGAACGAGCATTAGCTCCAGCCCATAGGAGAAAGGAGTGATTGCTATTGCTCACTGCACTGCAAATCACATCTTCCTGGAATTACAGAAGAGGCACTTAGGAATAGAGAATGATCTTGCATAAAATTGCAGTTTTGCTCATCCTGAGGAACAAGCCTATGAAGAACTGTTTTCCATTAATTTCAGTATGTAAATTAATGACAATGTAATTCTTATTTCATTTCAGTTGGGTCATCAGAATACCAACAATAATAATCATGGTTTATTTTTGACTTACTGACATGGACTTCTTTTCATCTCCTGTGTTTTAGACTTACCTTTGTGTCTTGAGATTTGTCGGTCTTTTAGTCTGTACTTAACACCTGCCAGCTTGAAACCAGCTATTTTAATGGTAATGGTAATAACTGTCCTTGAAATAATGAGAAACAGTCAATGACCAAAAAGCAAGTTCAACAGTCAAGCACTGGATCTTGGCCTACTCCCACCATCCTGTGGCTTGATCTCTCAGTAACTCACTTCTTTCCTCAAAAATGAAACATGTTAATTACCACCAATTAACAAATGCCAAGCACAGGTAATACATGCAACTGCACCAGATATCATGTCGATTTCACAGCATAGGGAAGGTTTGCCAACAGAGACTGTTCCTGTTACTTCCCCAAGAAGCACAAAAAGGGGTCTTTGCTTAGAAGGAGATCTGTATTCTATCCAAAGCTAATCTTATAAAGAGACTGTCTAAAAAGTGTGGCTTCTTATTTATGCTCTCTGACTTATCCAACTAAGAAATAAAAAGTGGCTGGGCGTGGTGGCTCACGCCTGTAATCCCTGCACTTTGGGAGGCCGAGGCAGGCAGATCACGAGGTCAGGAGATCGAGACCATCCTGGCTAACACGGTGAAACCCCGTCTCTACTGAAAACACACAAAAAACTAGCCGGGCGTGGTGGCGGGCGCCTGTAGTCCCAGCTATTGGGGAGGCTGAGGCAGGAGAATGGCGTGAACCCGGGAGGCGGAGCTTGCAGTGAGCCGAGATCGCGCCACTGCACTCCAGCCTGGGCGACAGAGTGAGACTCCATCTCAAAAAAAAAAAAAAAAAAGAAAAGAAAGCAGAAGTGGGATGAACAGAAGAGCTCATTTATAGAGAGAGAGAGGAATAGAAAAAAAAATGTGAGTACATGTGTTGGATGTTTTTATGGACTGAAAACGTCTGGAAGGATATAAAAAGAGGTCTTTGCACATCTTCATCTACTTATATTATTTGCCTTGTTCACTTATTATTTTTTTTAATCTGAAAAAAGCTGGGGCAGCTTGGGTCTACAGTTCTCCAAGCTCTGCAAATCTGTTTTACCCTATTGCTGCTTTGATTAAGAACAAAAACTCTGTTCCAATACGAATTCTGTACTTGTTTGTTTTCTCCCATGGAGCACACTGGTGAACGGACAGAGGCAATAGGCCTGGCTTCTTTCTGATCATGACGTGAAGTGTCAGAAAAGGTGTTTAATTTACATTTTGCCTAATGATTTTCATAAATCAGAACGAACACAGTATCTGGATTTCTTAAGGAGGCTAGCTGGTTTTTTAAGGGCCAGGGATGGTGGTTGGATAAACTGGCTCTACCATTGGAAGGGGTCCTGAGTGAATCAGAATCAGCCTCTGGTAAACTCAATGCTCCCTTTAAAGGGCAATTTTGTTCCACTCTGAAAAGAAAGGAGAGAGGAAATCAGGGATGTAGAGCCCCATAGAGCAGATAAAATTGAGGCATTTTGGGCTATTTCATGCTCAAAGAACAGAGTGTCATTAAAGGGTAGGTTCACAGATATGTTTTTAAAAATTTAAAAGCTGAGTACAAGCCAGGCTAGGTGGGGCTCAAAGTGAAGCAAATCTAACTGCAGGGATTTTGCTCCTTGATCAGGAACCACCAATCACCTGAGGCAACCCAAGACTAGGCACAGAGCTGAGTAGGAGTTAGAGAGTTGCTTTGGGAGCAGGCCTTCAAGCATTCTCCCTTTGCAGAGACAAAAATGTCAGGACAGCAAGACTCATTGTTACACTTGCCCAGTTTACCTCACTGTGCCTGCTCTTCCTTAGTAGAGATGTGGAAATTTGGAGTGGAACAATATCCTCATTCTACCAATGTGTAAAGACAGGCTGGGTAAGGGGAGTGATTTGCTCAAAGTCACACAACTAGCTATTAGTAGAGTGGTAATTAGAGTTTTGATGCCCTTAGTCTCCTGGCCAACTCTTTCTACTGTATCAGTGGCCTCCTGTGCTTAGGTCTCCTAACGTTTCCCAAAATGAATGAATTGCTTATTCCTAAGGTGCTAACAGCAGACAATGGTCCAATGTTGCATTTCATCCAGAGGCTCCTGCATTTTAATCTGCCACTCCTGAAATAAAATATTTTACTTCAAAGGAGTGAATATCAAATGATGAGAAGTCTAGAGTAGCACATCTGTCTGTTACCACAGCTTCCTTATATTTCTTTGCCTGCATCCACTGAGGTTACACAGCCAGCAGTGATGTTAACAAATCTGTACTTAATTGAGTTGGAGGGCTGATGGCATGAGTTTCCACAAGCAGCTCCAGACTTCAAGGTTGCACAAATTATGTGTGATTTTGTAACTAGTGGAGTTTCCAACTGGTGCCAGTATTCTTTTTCTGAGTCAGTTTTATTACTTGGAAAATACATAAAAGAAGTATTTTTGTTTTGACAGATATAATTTTAAATTCAGATGTTTAGAAAAATGTCTCAAAAAACAACTGCAAACAGATACAAAATTATAGCTAGATAGGACAAATAAGTTCTAGTGTTCTATACCACTGTAGAATGACTATAGTTAACAATAATACATTAATAGTTTCAAATAGCCAGAAGGAGGATATTGGATGTTCCCTACACAAAGAAATTATAAATATTTGAGATGATAGATTCACTAATTACCCTGATCCAATCACTAAACATTATACATAGGAAAACATCACTATGTACCCCCATGAGTACGTACGATTATTGTCAATTTAAAAATTAAATTTAAAAAACTGCAGACAAAAAACAGACATTGCATATTAGCATTCTCAAGCAGAACAGGGAAAAGCTATTTTTTTCAATAAAGGATTTATTTACACATGGAGAAGAATGACTACATATTGACATTGTTTTTTGCTATAATTAGAATCATATACACAAAAAGTGGTTGACTCTAGATGTCAGACAAAAGCAAACTTAAAGCACTTCTCTTTCATCTGTACAATAAGAAATGATGCCTTAGAGTAACATGTTATAAATATGCAATCCTCATCATTCTGAACTGGCAAAAATTATCCAAGATTCTTCATCTGTAGAAAAATGATCTCTAAGGCTCTCGAGCTCACAGGCTTCTCTTTCTTCCATGGGAAGGGGAAAAAGAGTTTGCCAATTAGCTAATTGCAATGAATCAGTGGCAATATGACTTTTACCTTGGGCAATTCTTTTCTATTTTGCCATGTTAATAAAGTCCCTGGACTTAAATGAAAACCCAGTGGTTTAATTTGTACCTTAAGAAATAGGAACAAGATTTTTCCCTTATAACAAGCCATTTATCTCAGAAGGCAGGATATCTGAGAAACTTCCAGATCTTTTTATGCTGTTTTTATAGCTTCCATTGTGTTAAAATGTATTGACTAATGATTCAAATAGAGTAGTGTCACAGAATAGATCCCCTTGTAGATCATGTGGTGTTCAAGAAACATAGAAAATCATTTTTGGTAAGAATATTGCCTTCCCAAAGCAATATGTGAATTCCACTCCCATAGAAAAGCAGAACCATTAATGCAGAAGGTTACATTCTTTTGACCATTTCTGTCTTTTCCTTCCTATCATGCTTGACTTTCTTTTTTGTTTGTTTGTTTGTTTGTTTTAGATGGAATCTCGCTCTGTCACCCAGGGTGGAGTACAGTGGTATATTCTCACCTCACTGCAGCCTCTGCCTCCTGGTTCCTGTGATTCTCCTGCCTCAGCCTCTCAAGTAACTGGGATTACAGGCACGTGCCACCACGCCTGGCTAATTTTTGTATTTCTAGTAGAGACAGGGTTTCACCACTTTGGCCAAGCTGGTCTCAAAATCCTGACCTCAAGTGATCTGCCTGCCTTGGCCTCCCAAAGTGCTGAGATTACAGGTGTGAGCCACTGCTTCTGGCCGGCCTTCAAAATAAGTATTGAAGAGCGTTAGTTTGTTTATATACTTCCCACACAATTAAATGCATAGCCTAGGTGGAAGGAAACTTATTACCATCCCAAATTTTGGATTGCAAATATAATTATAATGCTAATTTGGTGGAGGGGAGAATAAACTTAATAATGCCCTATAGCTTCTGCGATGGTTTGAATACAGTTTGTCCCCGCCAAAACTCATGTTGAGGCTATCTGCCCTGATTACCTTGAGGGCAATAGGGATTCAATGAATGGTTTTAAAATCCAAACTTCTTACCATGCCACACAAGAGTTTTCTTTGGCCACTCCCTACTTTTCATGTAATACTATACCTAAGTAATAACAAACCCTTATCATTTTGCTATATACCAGGCACTATTCTAGGCAATCTAAACACTTGTATGTATCAGGTGTATTACTCCTCACAACAATCCTATAAGGCAGGTTCTATCATCATTCCTATTTTACAGATGGAGAAACTAAGGCAAAAAGAGATTCAGTATCTTGCCCTACGTCACATAGCAGCAGTCAGAATTCAAACTTAGGTGGTCTGGCTTTGAGATCATGATCTTAACTACTATGTTATGCTGCCAAACAGAGCTACTTAAGAGCTCCTGGAAGATGCTGTGCTTCATGTATCCTCTGGCTTACACACACACACACACACACACACACACACACACACACACACACACACTGTCTCTCTCTCCTTCCTTATGTGCTTAGGTAACTCCTACTCATCCTTCATCTTTATACAGAAACCAACTCTTCTGGGAAGCCTTTCTGACCACTCCCCCACCCCAACCCAAGGTTGGTGCCTCTCCCAGGGCTCCGAGAGTCCCATGCATGCCCCTGTCACAGCCATGGTTGGTCATTGGTTAACTTGCCCATCTAACTTTCTAAACCTAAAGGCTCTCAAGGTAAGGACTGTGTCTTGGTATGATGTCTCTCCAATACTTCACACAGTGCCTGGCATATGGTAGGGGGTGGGTGGTAGGGCATGGTAATTGCTGAATAAATACAAGAAGAGTGTTAAAATGGCATCAGTAGACAGGCTGGCTTGAGGCTGAGTTGTCTAGATACTGGCCTAAGACTCTTTAAATTCTCCCAGCCCTGCCAAAGAATTGTTCCCAAATATAAACATAGGGCTGAGCCTACAAGTGAGGGCTTCGAGATCCCAGCTGTTGGAGCTAAAAACAGGAGATCGCAGAGAGCCAGGAGGAGACTAAAGCATTAGCCCTGATGGGAGCCTGAACAGATCTTATAAAGTGGATTAGGCTATAAGAACAAATGAAAGCAGATAAGCAGGAAGGAGAGCAAAGGATTAGAGAGAATGTTATTCTGGGAGGTTAGAATCAAGGGAGGAGTGTGGGAATTTGATATAGGAGCTTGATCTAAATTTAAACTAGATAGTTTAAGGTTCCCAACCCCACACAACTGATTTGGAAAATGCAACCAACCCAGATAGTAGTCATGGTGCATTTAGAGTAAGCCTTTTTGTGTGATTTGGAATGTGCTCTGCTAACTTGTAACTATTCAATTCTTGTAGGTCTGGGCAGACCTGGTATTTTCTGTTTCTTTGCCACTCTAGAGAGAGTTGGAGTCAACATGGCAAAACATAAAACCCCTGTTCTAGTTGAAATTCCATTAGCAACCCTTGGGTATGCTTTCTGGATGAAGATTGATCTTAGGTTATAATCACTCCATTCACTAACTCTCTTAATAGGATGCCTGAGGTCAGGTGCAGTAGCTCATGCCTGTAATTCCAGCACCTTGGGAGGCTGAGGTGAGAGGATTGCTTGAGCCCAGAAGTTCAAGACCAGCCCAGGCAACAAAATGAGACCCCATCTCTACAAAAAATGTTTAAAAATTTTAAATTAGCTGGGCATGGTGGCATGTACCGGTAGTCCCAGCTACTCAGGAGGCTGAGGCTGGAGGATTGCTTGACCCCAAGAAGTTGAGGCTGCAGTGAGCCAGGGTTGTGCCACTGCACTCCAGCCTGGGCAACAAAGCAAAACTCTGCCTCAAAAAAAAAAAATTATTAAAAAAAGATAATACATAAAAAGCACTTAAAATAGGCCAGGCAAGGTGGCTCACGCCTGTAATCCCAGCACTTTGGGAAGCCAAGGTGGGCGGATCACGAGGTCAGGAGTTTGAGACCAACCTGACCAACATGGTGAAACCCCATCTCTACTAAAAATACAAAAATTAGCCTGGAGTGGTGGCTTGTGCCTGTAATCCCAGCTACTATGGAGGCTGAGGCAGAAGAATCGCTTGAACCTGGGAGGCGGAGGTTGCAGTGAGCTGAGATCACACCACTGCACTCCAGCCAGGGTGACAGAGTGATACTCTGTCTCAAAAAAATAAATAAAGTCCAGCAGAACATCTTATTGGAAATTTTTAGTAAATGACAATAATAAGGGTACTTGTATTGCTGGGGTACCACTAGCTGCTGTAACTAAGAAACTTCTATTGTCTTACAGCTATTACACATCTTGGAGGCTATTTTGCCCCAAAATAGGTTGGCAGGCAGCTTTCTTCCAGATGGTGATTTGGGGACCCAGGGTCTATGCATCTGGGGCTCCACTTCTCTAAAGCCCCATCATCATGTGCCTCCAGTCAGATGAAGGAGAAGGAAGAGGAGATGGCAGAGGATAGAAAAGGAATATCTGCTTCTTAAAAGTCTTGGCCCAGAAGCGACATTGGTCACTCTTGCTCACTTTCCATTATCTAAAACTATGGCATGGCCACACCTAGGTTCAAGGGAGGCCAGGAAATCTAGACCCTGACTCAGGAGTCATGTTCCAGCAATAGCTATAACCATAAGAGGGAAAGGTTTTGGGGGGACAGCTGGCCGTCTCTGCCACAGAACTTGAAAATAATGTCTAAAAACATGTTTAATATTAATTTCAGACTTCTCAACAAATCAAATTGGCATTCTCTTCAGTAAATGTACTGCGATTGGCAATATCCTACAAAGGTACTTTAGAATTATCTCTTCTTTTTTTTTTGAGACAGAGTTTTGCTCTTTCGCCCAGTCTGGAGTGCAGTGGCGCGATCTCGGCTCACTGCAACCCCCGCCTTCCGGTTTCAAGTGATTCTCCTTCCTCAGCCTCCCGAGTAGCTGGGATTACCGGCACCCACCACCATGCCCGGCTAATTTTTGTATTTTTAGTAGAGACGGGGTTTCACCATGTTGGCCAGGCTGGTCTCGAACTCCTGACCTCGTGATCCACGCGCCTCTGCCTCCCAAAGTGTTGGGATTACAGGCTTGAGCCACGGCGCCCGGCTAGAATTATCTTTTCTTACAATTTTTTCCTTATACTTCTGTCATGTCCTTCATTTCCACATAGCGTACTTTTAAATGTGATTTAAAATGATTCAAGGATCACACAACTCTTTTCTAAACACTAATATATATGAAGCATTCAATAGTGACAAAAATGGCCTCCAATACTTTTTTCTAGCTATAAAAATGTGTCATTTCATACTGTGCTCACAGCATATGTTGAATGTGCACAAGGAAAAATAATGTCAGCCAAATTTCTATTTAATTGATACAGAATATTCACTTATTTAAATGTCTGCCTTTGGCTTTCACATCAAATTTATAATGCAGTAATTTTTGGATAAAAGATACACTTTAAAATATGAAAAAAAATCATTTGCTCAAGGATTAAAATGGAAAATAAAAACTCCTGAGTCGGCATTGAAGGTGAGTTCCTAAGAAGTAAAAGTAAATGGAGTTAGGGCATCACAAATGTGAGGAGAGAGGATAGGACTTCCACTTCCTCCTATTTGAGAAAGAGATTGAGTCAACAATTTGGGTGAATCATCTGAATTTGCTTATTTTATAGGTTTCTGTCATTAAGTGATATGTGTATGTGCATTTGTATTGTCATCATTATTATTTTAGTTAGCAGAAATAGCAATTAAGGCTGGGCACAGTGGCACATAACTGTAATCCTTACCCTTTGGGAGGCTGAGGCAGGAGGATCACTTCAGCCCAGGAGTTTGAAACCAGCCTGGGCAACAGAGTGAGACCCCGTCTCTACACAAAATTGAAAAATTAGCTGGATGTGGCTGTGTGTGCCTGTTGTCCCAGCTATTTGGGTGGCTGAGGTGGGAAGATCACTTGAGCCTGGGAGGCCAAAGCTGCAGTGAGCCATGATTGCGCCACTGTACTCCAGCCTGGGCAACAGAGCGAGACCTTGTCTCAAAACAAACAAACGACAACAACAACAACAACAAAAAGAAATAGCAATAACAATGATGAAATAGTAGCTTACTATGTAAACCTGGACCAGTTCTATTTGGAATGAAACTGCTTTTTAGTGAAGTCGTGATTTAAACTTCGCTAAAGTTTAAATCACAACTTTGCTACATAGTAAGTAATAATAATAATAAATAATAGCTTTTCTACATAATAAGAAGTGTGCATTGTGCAAGTGAAAAGCAATATTCTTGAGTAGAATAAATGACATTTGCCTTTAGAGTCCCCATCTCCCCTCTCCCCATTTTTTTTTCTTTTTTTTTTAAGAAGGAGTCTCACTCTGTTGCCCAGGCTGGAATGCTGTGGTGTGGTCTCAGTCCACTGAAACCTCTGCCTCCTGGATTCAAGCGATTCTCATGCCTCAGCCTCCTGAGAAGCTGGGACTACAGGTGCATACCACCACACCTGGCTAATTTTTTGTATTTTTGGTAGAGGCGGGGTTTCACTATGTTGGCCAGGCTGGTCTCAAACTCCTCACCTCAGGTGATCCGCCCGCCTTGGCCTCCCTATCATCTGCCCTTTTAATAAAACTCATTCCAGTCTTCCTGTTCTATGTAGACCTCTCTTCACCTCATCATCCACTTCAAGGAGTCATAGCTTCTGCCAAATCAGTCACTTAGGCTTGTTAATTAATTGGCCTATCACTGTGGTATGAATGAGCATCAGTCAAGATACTTCTTCAATGAGGCATTTGTCTTTTATCTCTAATTGTCAATGAAAAGAGCTGTCAAGGAAAGGAATTTCAGCATAATCAAGCAGGTAAAGAGATCTTTGTGGGGACAGGGAGACTCTGGCATGGCCTATGTGTACTCGGAATGAAGAATTAATTATTTTCCTGTATGATAAATGTGTCAGGGTCTCCACAACTAAATCCTTGTTCCTGGCCTTGAAAGAACCATGACTTTAGACTGAGGATTCCTCTGACAGGTGGAGGACAAGCCTTCTCAACCAAATTACCCAATCTCCCTGAGAAAATGGTCACTTCTGTGCAGCTCCCATTTAGGCTTGAAGATAAGGCCTCCCTTTCAGTCATGTTTCTGATCAGATTTCTGGCTGGAGCCAACCATTTGGTCAATAGCTGAACACTGGCTGAAGAGCTCTTTGGGAAACCCATTGAAAGAACCAAGTCTGAAATAGAGTAAGGTCTTTTTAACAACAAAATGACTTTGCATGGGTGTAAAGCCAACCAACTAGGTCAGACTTTCTAGGAATGAACTTCAGTAGAATTTAAACTTTGTTAGAGACAATTCACACCTCAGTCTCTATCCAGTGGATCAAGCTCTTTCTGGATGAAGCTCTATGTAACCTAGTAAATCAGAGCTTTCTTTGGGTGGGCCTGGAAGTTTGATATCAAGAATAACCAGCCTGTAATCCCAGCACTTTGGGAGCTGGAGGCAGGAAAATTGCTTGAGGCCAGGAGTTTGAGACCAACTTAGATAACATAGCGAGACCTTGTCTCTACAAAAAATAAAACATTAGCTGGGCATAGTGGCACATGCCTGTAGTCCCAGCTACTTGGGAGGCTGAGGCAGGAGGATCACTTGAGAGTTAAAAGTTGCAGTCAGTTATGATCATGCCACCTGCACTTCAGCCTGGGTGATGAGTAAGACACTGTCTCAAAAAAAAAAAAAAAAAAGAATAACCAAAGTCAGGGGAGTAGTCATCTATCCAAGATTGAGCCCAGGCAGTCATCAGGGTCCCTCTGTATCCTAGACCTTCTCTCTACCCACACCTACACAGGCTGTGTCCTCACTTCTCAATCCTAACTTTACCCCTTCCTTTTATTTTATTTATTTACTTATTTTTCAGACAGAGTCTCACTCTGTAGCCCAGGCTGGAGTGCAGTGGCACGATCTCGGCTCACTGCAACCTCTGCCTCCCAGGTTTAAGTGATTCTTCTGCCTCAGCCTCCCGAGAAGCTGGAACTACAGGCGCCTGCCACCACGCCCGGCTAATTTTTGTATTTTTAGTAAAGACAGGGTTTCACCACGTTGGCCAGGATGGTCTCGATCTTTTGACCTTGTGATCCGCCCGCCTCAGCCTCCCAAAATGCTGGGATTACAGGCATGAGCCACTGCGCCCAACCTACCTCTTCCCTTTTTTTCCCCAGGATTCCCAAATACAGATAATGGATTTCCAGAATATTTTCTTTTATTCCAGTTAGAAATAGAATTTAATTACATATTCAGATGACAAGTCTTATTTTGCTACATTTTATACCTCCTATATACTTTTTTTTTTTGAGACAGAATCTCACTCTGTTACCTAGGCTGGAGTGCAGTGGTGCAATCTCAGCTCACTGCAACCTCTGCCTCCCAGGTTTAAGCAATTCTGCTGCCTCAGCCTCCCAAGTAGCTGGGATTACAGGTGTGTACCACCACACCCGGCTAGTTTTTGTATTTTCAGTAGAAACAGCGTTTCACCATGTCGGCCCGGCTGGTCTCAGACTCCTGACCTCAAGTGATCTGCCCACCTTGGCCTCCCAAAGTGCTGGGATTATAGGCGTGAGCCACCACGCCCAGCCTCTCCTGTACACTTTCTACTTTTTAATAAGAAAGGCTTTAAACATCTTTAAATGTGATTCATTTTCTTCACTAATATAATACTATATTTATTATTATTGTCATATTTTTCTCAGCTGAATCACAGGGCTCCATAGGTGTTAGTTCTGTAAGACCTCTTGACTCTCATTTTTGTAATTTAGATCAATCACTTTAACAGGTATTTTAGTCAATCTATCAATGAGGAAAGACATGTTGTGATTTTCCAAAAAGAAAAATAGTATTTACTTTTGGGTTTGCATGATGAAAGACATGATCTTGGAGCTTTCAAACAATGGGATAAAATTTTAAGAGAAATTTGACAATAGAAGACATAGATTTGGCTCCTTCTCTGCCCTCAAAACTCTCCATGCCTGCTGGGCACAGTGGCTCATGCCTGTAATCTCAGCACTCTGGGAGGCCAAGGTGGGAGGGTCACTTGAGCTCAGGAGTTCAAGGCCTGCCTGGGCAACATAGTGGGACCCCATTTCTACAAAAAAATTTTTTTTAATTTTTTTTTTTATTATACTTTAAGTTCTGGGATACATGTGCAGAATGTGCAGGTTTGTTACATAGGCACACATGTGCCATGGTGGTTTGCTGCACCCATCAACCCATCATCTACATTAGGTATTTCTCCTAATGCTATCCCTCCCCTAGCCCCCCACCTGCTGACAGGCCCCAGTGTGTGATGTTCCCCTCCCTGTGTCCATGTGTTCTCATTGTTCAACTCCCACTTATGAGTAAGAACATGTGGTGTTTGGTTTTCTGTTCCTGTGTTAGTTTGCTGAGTCTCCAGCTTCATCCATGTCCCTGCAAAGGACATGAGCTCATCCTTTTTTTATGGCTGCACAGTATCATATACACCGTGGGATACTATGCAAAAACTTTTCTAAAACTTAGCCTGGGACAGGCACAGTGGCTCACTCCTGTAATCCTAGCACTTTGGGAGGCTGAGGGTGGGCAAATCACCTGAGGTCAGGAGTTCAAAACCAGCCTGGCCAACATGGTGAAACATTGTGTCTACTAAAAATACAAAAATTAGGCCAAGCGCAGTGGCTCACGCCTGTAATCCCAGCACTTTGGGAGGCCGAGGTGGGCAGATCACCTGAGGTCAGGAGTTTAAGACCAGCCTGACCAACATGATGAAACCCCGTCTCTACTAAAAATACAAAATTAGCTGAGCATGGTGGCACATGCCTGTAATCCCAGCTAGTCAGGAGGCTGAGGCAGGAGAATCACTTGAACCCGGGAGGCAGAGGTCGCAGTGAGCTTAGATTGCACCATTGCACTCTAGCCTGGGCAACAAGAGCGAAACTCCATCTAAAACAAAACAAAAACAAAAAAACAAACAAAAAAATTAGCTAGGCATGGTGGTGGGTGCCAGTAATCCCAGCTACTCAGGAGGCTGAGGCAGGAGAATTGCTTGAACCAGGGAGCCAGAGGTTGCAGTGGGCTGAGATCACGCCATTGCACTCCAGCCTGGGCAACAAGAGCAAAACTCTGTCTCAAAACAAAAACAAACAAACAAAAAAAAACACACTTAGACAGGCGTGGTAGTGTACACCTGTAGTGCCAGCTACTCGGGAGGCTGAGGTGGGCAGATTCCTTGAGCCTGGGAGATCAAAGCTGCAATGAGTTCTGATTGCACCACTGCACTCCAGCCTAGATGACAAAGACCCTGTCTCACAAACAAACAAACAAAACACCTCACCATGCCCTAATCTAGATGCCTTACCCCTCTCCCGGGTTCTGAGTCCAATCCTGTTTGGTCATAGGGTATCTAAGAAACCTGAAAATCAGCCGGGCATGGTGGCTCATACCTGTAATCCCAGCACTTTGGGAGGCCAAGGCAGACAGATCACGAGGTCAGGAGTTCGAGACCAGCCTGGCCAATATGGTGAAAGCCTGTCTCTACAAAAAATACAAAAGTTAGCCAGGCATGGTGGCGTGTGCCTGTAGTCCCAGCTACTTGGGAGGCTGAGGCAGAAGAATCACTTGAACCCAGGGGGCAGAGGTTGCAGTGAGCCGAGATCGTGCCACCGCACTCCAGCCTGGGTGACAGAGCGAGACTCTGTCTCAAAAAAAAAAAAAAGAAAAGAAATCTGAAAATCAGCCTTCTGCCAATTGTGCTCTGCCTTATCCTTATCACTGAGTTTCATCCTAGTTTCCTGCATCTCTCATCTCTTACTCCCACCTCAATAGCTGAATCCCCACAGCCATCTCATTATTTTCCATAGAGTTTTAGCCTTGTTTCTATTTCAATTAGGTATATGTTTGACAGTAAGCAACAGAAATCCCAATCGTGGCTTAACCAAACAAGTGTTCCTTGTTTTTTTTTTTTTTTTTTTTTTTTCACTTGACAAGATGTCTGGAACAGGCCATCCAGGGCTGGGACTCTGGCTGTCCAATGTCAAAGAACCAGCCTGCTTCTCTCTTGTTCTTCCATCATCCTTGGCTTGTTGCCTTTGATCACTATATACTGCTGCAGCATGCAGCATGCTCATATTCAAGGCTGGAAAACAAAAGTAAGAAAAAATGTTCTTGCCAGGTATGCTTAACCCTATTTATCAGGAAAGCAAAAGATTTCTCAAAAGCCTGCCCCTTACTCCCAACAGACATCTTTTAATAGTTCTTGCATTAGAATTGGATCACATGGCTACCCCTCACAGCAAAGGAAGGAGGCTGGGGAAGCTTTGGGGTGGTAAACAATACTATCCTTCATAGTTCTCACCCTAGGTACTCTAGGCCTGTGATCCATCTGGCTCTTGACCTCTTGGGAAAAGGAATAGCACTACCACAAACCAGGGCAGTGCTACACACTTCCAGGCCTCCCTACTACAGACCACCTGCCTGGGATTCTACTCATTGCTCTGACATGACTGCATGGCTGTTACTCTCAGGAGACTGTCTGGTTGAGCCGCTTCCCATTGCCTTAGCCCTCAAAGCACCCACCCTATGCCAAGTGGTCAATCTGAAACTCAGAGCCACCCTCCCTCACCACCACCACCCCAAACCAAGTTAGTTAGTAGAACTGAGCTCCCACAGTGACCATGGGACACAATTCAGCATTTCGGCCGTAGACTGCATTTGCTTTTATGTTTCTAAGAATATACCTGATTCATAGTATATTTGAGAGCTTACTAGCTCTCAATAAAAGTTTTTTGGTGAATCAATACATGATGGATGAAGATTAGAGTGACAGAAGGTCAGGCAAAGCCAAAAGTCCAGAAGAAATTATCCATGGTAATTCTTTGTTCTGTGTAATACTCTAGGAGTACACATTTCTATGTGATAAAAATTTTGATGTAGATGATTTATTCTTCAATTGCTATGCCACTCAGAAAATGCTGGAGGAAAAAGGTTTTTCTCTTGTTTCTTGGAATCTTAAGGAAAAAGTCAGACACACATCCTCACGTTACACTGACAGCTAATTGCTGGCTTCCGTGTGTGCAGTTTTAATGTCCCAGATTCTATGAACCATGATATATAGACATGGGTAATTAGTGGCAGATGTATATATCTTTTTCTTTAGAATAAGTTTAAGGAAATATAATTAAGGAATAGTTTCAACAAACATTGATATTTATTTGTTTTATTGTGGGTTTTGTTTTTTTTTTTATTTGAGACACAGTCTTGCTCTGTCACCCAGGCTGGAGTGCAGTGGTGCCATCTCAGCTCACTGCAACCTCCAGCTCTCAGGTTCGAGCGATTCTCATGCCTCAGCCTCCCAAGCAGCTGGGCTTACAGGCACGTGCCACCATGCACAGCTGAAACATTGGTATTTAATTAAAAGCCATGTTCCCTTTAAATAATACTTAAAGGAAATAATGTTTCTATTAAATAAAATTATAAACTATAAGTAAGAAAAATGGTAAAAATATTTAGGAAAGAAATCTTTCACTTAGTACATGGTAGGGATTTGACAAATATTCTATATAGACGGCCCTTTAAATAGAAAAATGCATGAAAAGCCCTTGTGGTTTCCCATGATTTGTTGTGGTAATAGCAAAGAATCTCTGTTATATATATATATATATATATATACACACACACACACACATACATACACACACACACACATATTACTCATCCTACATTACCATATATTCTAATTATAATATAACTTTTACTTAGCATTGCTATCATATGCATAAATGTATCCAAAACTAAAGCAGAAGAACAGAGAAGTCTCCAGACAAAATGGAGACTCCTATGTTTCCCTTTGTCAACACATGAGCTTCTAGGAAAAGAAAAGCAATAATTACAGAGCAAAAGTTATTACAGAAGTTGCAAACATATCACTGAAGAAACTGCTTGTAGTGACTTGCCTTGCTCTTTACCAGATTATTTTAGGAAAAAATATCAGTGGATGTAAGTTAAATGTAAATATACATGAGAGTATTTACTACAAATCATCAGGTGATTCTTCTTACAGTACAATCGTAACTATCTAAATTACATTCTCATTGACATTTTTAAAGGTAGAGTCATGCTCTGAAAGGACAAAATACCTACTGGAATTTTCTAACTTTATCAATTGACCCCGATTACAGGTGCTCATACTTTTAATATTTTACCTACTGGAATTAAACTTGTAGGAAAAATAAATGTAAACTATGAAAACAATTTTACGCACCCATTTTATTCCTCTGACCTTTGACTTTTCTTTCCCAATCAGAATTTCTAAGTTAATTTGTAGAAGAGGGTAGGTATCAAGTATAATGGCTTACTGGTGATTGACCTGTTTGCAGGCAAAAGAGTCTCCCTGTTAACTCAGCTGAGCAAGCTTGCGCAATTTGACTGTGTGGGAGGATGGAGCTTTTGAGATAGGTATTTATGGCGTTCTCTGTGTATTTTCCTCTTTCTTGTCCCATATTCAGGAAGATAGTAGGCCCCGTGCTTCTTTGCTGCAGGGAATATTAATATGTCACAAGGAGGAAAGCAGAAGTGGCTTCCAAGATACTTCCCTTCTTGGTCTTTTTTTCCAAACTCCTAAACACATAGAGAGGTCTATGCTGGATTCCCTGGAGGAAAAAGAGAACTGGGTTTGCCTCTGGGGAAAAGGGTGGGTATGTCTTGACAATGAGAGATGTTTGTTTTTCTGTGTCATTCTGAAGTCCTACTAAATAAGAAAAAAAAATTTTTAAATACATGACATTAATATAAGAAATTTTAAATTTTTTTTAAAAAGAGAAAATGAGAGCTGTCATGCACGCTTGTTCTTCTCCTGCACTTTCATCCCTGGTAGTGCCTTGAAGATGGGGCCATCTTATTCAATTCCTTACTTTTTTTTTTTTTCTTTCTTTTTTTTGAGATGGAGTCTCGCTCTGTCACCCAGGCTGGAGTGCAGTGGCGCAATCTCGGCTCACTGCAGGCTCCGCCCTGCGGGGTTCACACCATTCTCCTGCCTCAGCTTCCCGAGTAGCTGGGACTACAGGCACCCGCCACCTCGCCCGGCTAATTTTTTGTATTTTTAGTAGAGACGGGGTTTCACTGTGTTAGCCAGGATGGTCTCGATCTCCTGACCTCGTGATCCACCCGCCTCGGCCTCCCAACGTGCTGGGATTACAGACGTGAGCCACCGCGCCCGGCCCTATTTTTGTATTTTTAGTAGAGACGGTGTTTCACCATCTTGGGCAGGCTGGTCTTGAACTCCTGACCTTGTGATCTACCAGCATTGGCCTCCCAAAGTGCTGGGATTACAGGCGTGAGCCACCACAACCAGCCTCAATTCCTTACTTTTAGGCAAAATTACCCTTAATCCATTTTAAAAAGACTTTTTTAGAACTACCATAGAAATACATTATACAGGCCTGGGATGGTGGCTCACGCCTGTAATCTCAGCACTTTGGGAGGCTGAGGCGGGAGGATCGCTTGAGGCCAGGAGTTTGAGACAAGCCTGACCAACATGGCAAAACCCCGTCTCTACAAAAAATACAAAAATTAGCTGAGCGTGGTGGCACACACCTGTAATCCCAGCTACTCAAGGAGAATTGCTTGAGCCCAGGAGATGGAGGTCGTAGTGAGCCAAGTTCTCACCACTGCACTCCAGCCTGGGTGACAGAGAGAAACTGTCTCAAAAAAAAAAAGAAAAGAAAAAGAAAAAGAAATACATTATACAAAGTTCAGAACTCATTTTATTGTTTGACACCCTTGTAGTGAAAAATCTATCTAGACATACTTAAATTTCATCATGTGATTATATGCTTATGCCCCACCTCATTCTTCATTCCTAAGGAGGAAGAACCCTAGCTTCTGGATAGCAAATTTTCACAAATGTTAAGATTGTTAGGTCCTCTTCCATTTTTTCTTCTCACAGCTAAATAATTCTGGCTTCTTATTTCCCCATCAGGTCTTACTTCCCATTCTTAAATTATCTTTGTGGAAATGATGAGAAAGCATACAGCGTAAGAATAACAACTTAGTGTCATGAAACTGTCCTCCAATGTACTAGGCCATTTCTCACTCACAAATGTTCACAATGTCCACTGCACTTTCTTCCACAGAGGACTCTCCCTTAATATTTCTGAGCTTTTTCTTAACACGTGATTGAATTAATCAGCATGCACGGGTAGCTCTATGAGTGCAAAATGTAAGACATGGTATA